>NC_000004.12:153163805-153466835 GCF_000001405.40 Homo sapiens | reverse complement strand
CCCGCGCGCGCCACACAAAGCGGGGGCTGCGCCCGGGGCGCAGGGGCCCGCGCACAAAGGCTCCAGGGCGCGAGCGGCTAGCGGTCCCCAAGCCCCGCGACTGCCCCGCTCTCCAGCTGTACGGGGCAGAGAGGCGCGGGACGGGACGCTGTGGTCAGAAAATGTTATCAGCGGAGAATCGCAACAGCTTTCCTTCCTCCTCCTGCCCCTTTCCCTTTCCTCCCCTCGCCCTCTTATAGATTTCAGCAGTTCCCTAAAAGAAAGAGCGGGGGCGGGGTGGAGAGGCAGAGCGAGCCCAGCGGCGCAAGGCTGACCTTGTCCCTGAGCCCCTCCCGGGCGACAGCAGGGCAGCAGGACCTGGAAGACGCCCAGCAGGAGGTTCACGGCCGCCGCGGTGCGGCAGTAGCAGCCGGGCTGCGGGCGTCGGAGCCCCGCCATGCTGCTGCTCGCGCTCCTCTCCGTTGCTCGCCGCGCTCGCCGCTAGCTCGCTGGCGCCCCAGCTGCCTCGCCCCGGGCCCGCCCCCGTGCCGCCCCGCCCCGCCCCGCCCCGCCCCGCCCCGCCCCGCGCCGCACCACCCCCGCCGCTGCCGCAGCTGCTGCAGCTCCAGACCCGGGCGCGCCGCTTGCTCTGAGCGCGTGTGCGCCGCAGATAGGGAGGGACGGAACGCGGCGGGGTGCGGGGGAAAGTGGACAATGCGAACCCGCGGGTGCCCCGCCCCGGCGCGGAGCACATGGCCGCGGGCCCGCCCCGCAGCGCGCACTCTGCGGGGCCCGGGCGCTTTCCTCGGCTGGGACGGGGTCGCTTAGAGCTGTCCGCGGGGACTAGCGGCCCACTTTTGCCAAGTGCATTTTCATGAACTTTTGGGTGGTTGCCGCTTTGTCGAGGCGCTTGGGCCACGGTCGAGAGATTACCCTCGAGGGAAGAGGTGGCGGTGGAGGTGGGAACGAGGAGTCGCCAAGCGAGAGGCCTTGGACACAGGATATTAGTGGAAATAATGCAGTGGTTGTCAGGAAACGCGAGTGCAGCCACATGGCCACTGCCAGTTATGCAGCGAGGATATCCGGTGGCTGCAAAGTCTGTAATTTAGAATAAAAAGAGCTCTCCCAAAACCCGAGAGGCAGACCTCAGCGCCGCGTGGCGGTAGTGCGCCCGGCACCCTCTGTGGACACTGTCCAGGTCCTGACAGGTGGGGAAGACTCTTCCTAGGGGATTTATAGCTTCAAAGACCCTGCAAATACTCCCTTTTGGAATCATATTGCAAAATTCAGCCAGCCTCTCCTGAAATATGGTTGGGGTCGAGGATGTGGTTAGTTGCCTGTTTCTAACATTAGTAGGATAATGGAAGTAATACGTGGAAATACATTTCCTAGTTCCAGGTTTTGATGCCTATAACTAACAAGTCCAAAATCTGGCATCTCTTTAAGTTAACATCCTGCCTTTACCAGCGATGTCGCAAACAAGGGCTTATTCAGAAATCAATTTGCATAACCTAGAAGTATGGGCAATCTTATGATTTTTTAAAGTTAACTTACTGCTTCCACTGTAGCTTGTATGAAATTCAGAGAATATGAACAATATAGTATGAAGAGGGGAAGTGATGGGACACACCTGTTTACCTTAATCCTCTGTTTAATTGCTCCTTGTGCCTTACAAGCCAGACTATAGAAAACCAGTGCTTGCATAGCAGACACAATCCTGAGAAGGACAAAATGAAATCTAGATCCTCTTTCCTAAAGACGTAATACAGTACTGTGAACACAGTCTCACACACTGTCTGCATTTAACTCCAAACAAGGTTAAATAGTCTAATTGCTTGGCCAGACTTAACATTTAAGTAGATTAGCATAAACGTAAGTTGTTGATGTGAAAAAAAAAAAGGGACACTTTGCATTTTCCAACTTGAATACCTCCAGTAGTCTCTGTTTCATACTTTTTTCTGTATTCCTTGCCAACATCTTCCTTTATTTAGCAAGGATCTCCAGTGCCATCTCAATGTGCCCTTTTTTTCTCTTCACTTCTCCAAGTTTCTATTTGCCCCTTGGATTCTGAAGGTCCCCCACGCAGTTAAAGGGACCTCCAGTGACAGGAATATTTGCACAGCCCACTTAAGCAGTAACTGCACCTTCAAAGTTTGCTTCTAAATGAAAGTTCTCTCATGGGCCTATTTATTTACAGAATGTAATTTTAAGTCCTCATATGAGTATAATACGTATAAAGGAAAGCAAGCAAACATTAACAGCCTAACCGGTTTTGTTAAACAGATTCAAAGTTGTGATACAAAACTTTTTTGCTAACATTTAAATTACTTTACTCTTTTACTAATAAAGTCTTTCCCACATTAACGAGTATCACAGCATCAATGGAAATGACTTAAAAGATAGACTAACATTGCTATGGACCATATGTAAATACTGCTATAGCTTTTTCTAGACTTTGTAAGGCCAGCTTGATTTTTCAAGTTGTGGTCTTGTGGACTTTACAAAATGGGTAATGCTATTTGACTGTTGTTCACAGAGCCAAAAGCATGTATCTGCTGTGCCATGGGGTTGGAGAGGGATACGGGATTACACAGCTGTCTTCTTAGATAAATCTGACCTACTTAGCCTCCTCTGGAGTTATTTTTCATGCTGACTCATGGACAACAGGAAAGTTATGGCCCATTAAGCAGCATCCATGTTTTGGAGTAACCTTGTTCTTCAAAGAAGACTCCTGTGTCATTTGTGCTATATTTCCATTATTCCCCTTGTCAATCCTAGATATTGTCACAGAATATTAGAGCTGGAAATTTTTTAGAAATCATTTAATAGCCCAACTGCCTCATTTTACAGAAGAAACCAAAGCCCATAGAGAATTTTAAAATCCAAGTTATAGAACTCCTTTAAAAATTTTTATTTATAAATTGTTTTGAGACAAGGGTAGTGATGAAGAAAAAGGCTAGGTGTGGGAAATACCTAGATCTAAACACTAATAATAATTTTCTCTAAAAAGCCAAGGAGTCATATTTAATTCATCTTTCCTTTACACCCTTTAAATCTATGAATTAGTCCTATGGTGCCCTACTCTGTACTATTTCCCATACCTAGCCTTTTTCTTCATTACTACTCTGATCTCACTCTTTCACCCAGTCTGAAAGGCAGTGGCCCAATCTTGGCTCACGGCAACTTCTGCCTCCTTGGCTCAAACAATACTCCTGCCTCAGCCTCCCAAGCAGCTGGGACCACAGAGGCAGGCCACCACACCTGGCTGATTTTTGTATTTTTGTAGAGACATGGTTTCACCATGTTGCCCAGGCTGGTCTTGAACTCTTGGGCTCAAACAATATACCCACCTCAGCCTCCCAAAGTGCTGGAATTACAAGTGCAAGCCACCCTGTCCAGCCAGAGCTGCTTTTAGTGGCAGAGTTATGGAGAAGTATATATGAAATAATGTTAACTGAAAAAAAATTAATGTAAACACAAATTAACTCAATATGAAAATTATAGGCCAGGCAAGGTGGCTCAGGCCTGTAATTCCAATATTTTGGGAGGCCAAGGTAGGAGGATTGCTTGAGCCCAGGAGTTCAAGACCAGCCTGGGCAACATAGTGAGACTTTGTCTTTATAAATTTTTGTTTATTTGTTTGTTTGTTTGAGATGGAGCCTCACTCTGTTACCCAGGCTCGAGTGCAGTGGCGTGATCTCAGCTCACTGCAACCTCTGCTTCCTGGGTTCAAGCATTTCTCCTGCCTCAGCCTCCTGAGTAGCTGGGATTACAGGCGCCCACCATCATGCCTGGCTTTTTGTGTGTGTGTGTGTATTTTTAGTAGAGACCGGGTTTCACCATGTTGGTCAGACTTGTCTTGAACTCCTGACCTCGTGATCCACCCACTTCAGCCTCCCAAAGTGCTGGGATTACAGGCGTGAGCCACCGCACCTGGCCCAAAAATTTTTTTAAAGAGCCGAGCATGGTGGCACACACCTGTAGTCTGTATTCCCAGCTACTCAGGAGGCTGAGGTGGGAGGATTGCTTGAGCCTAGGAGTTCAAGGCTTCAGTGAGCCAAGATTGCACCACTGCACTCCAGCCTAGGTGACTGAGTGAGACCCTGTCTCCAAAAAAAAAAGAAAAGAAAATTATATACGCACAACTAAAGTGTGGAAGAGGCATTAAGGTGATGTCTTAGTGGAGTATATCAATGTTAAGTTAGATTCATATAAGATAAAATGGTTTTGTTTTTTTTAAAAAAAAAGACCTATGAATGGCTAAATCTCTACTGGCTTTTATTTATTTATTTATTTACTTATTTATTTTTCTTTTCTTTTTGACATAGGATCTGGTCTTGAATTGTTAGGTTTAAGCAATCCTCCTGCCTTGGCCTCCCAAAGTGATGGGATTACAAGTGTGAACCACCACACCCAACCTCTAGAGGACCCTTCTTACTATAACTTTATTCCATCTCATCTTATAATGCCTCAATTAAATGCATTGGATAAGGATAAGGATTCTCTCCTTTCTCAAACTCTGTTGTGTTAAACAACTGACCTTTTCTGTTATGGGACTGTAATGTAATTTTGGGTGAGTAGCAGCAGTATTCACAGTTTATTCTCTATTTTAAAAAATATTCATAAAACTGTAAAATAAAGAGTAAGTTTTACTGTAATTTAAAAATAAATTGATTAAATTAGAACTTTAACTTTGTGAAAAGTTTGAAAGTCTGAAAAAGTTTAAAGTTTGAAAATGAAAGACAAAAAATTTTTTTATTTTTACTTTATTATACTTTAAGTTCTAGGGTACATGTGCACAACGTGCAGGTTAGTTACATATGTATACATGTGCCATGTTGGTGTGCTGCACCTGTTAACTTGTCATTTACGTTAGGTATATCTCCTAATGCTATCCCTCCCCCCTCCCCCCACCCCACGACAGGCCCCAGTGTGTGATGTTCCCCACACTGTGTCCAAGTGTTCTCATTGTTCATTTCCCACCTATAAGTGAGAACATGCAGTGTTTGGTTTTCTGTCCTTGTGATAGTTTACTCAGAATGATGGTTTCCAGCTTCATCCATGTCCTTACAAAGGACATGAACTCATCCTTTTTTATGGCTGCATAGTATTCCATGGTGTATATGTACCACATTTTCTTGATCCAGTCTATCATTGATGGACATTTGGGTTGGTTCCCAGTCTTTGCTATTGTGAATAGTGCCGCAATAAACATACGTGTGCATGTGTCTTTATACCAGCATGATTTATAATCCTTTCGGTATATACCCAGTAATGGGATGGCTGGGTATTTCTAGAAACTGGTATTTCTAGTTCTAGATCCTTGAGGAATCGCCACACTGTCTTCCACAATGGTTGAAGTAGTTTACAGTCCCACCAACAGTGTAAAAGTGTTCCTATTTCTCCACATCCTCTCCAGCACCTGTTGTTTCCTGACTTTTTAATGATCGCCATTCTAACTGGTGTGAGATGGTATCTCATTGTGGTTTTGATTTGCATTTCTCTGACGGCCAGTGATGATGAGCATTTTTTCATGTGTCTGTTGGCTGCATAAATGTCTTCTTTTGAGAAGTGTCTGTTCATATCCTTCGCCCACTTTTTGATGGGGTTGTTTGATTTTTTCTTGTAAATTTGTTTAAGTTCTTTGTAGATTCTGGATATTAGCCCTTTGTCAGATGGGTTGATTGTAAAAATTTTCTCCCATTCTGTAGGTTGCCTGTTCACTCTGATGGTAGTTTCTTTTGCTGTGCAGAAGCTCTTTAGTTTAATTAGATCCCCTTTGTCAATTTTGGCTTTTGCTGCCATTGCTTTTGGTGTTTTAGTCATGAAGCCCTTGCCCATGCCTATGTCCTGAATGGTATTGCCTAGGTTTTCTTCTAGGGTTTTTATGGTTTTAGGTCTAACATTTAAGTCTTTAATCCATCTTGAATTGATTTTTGTATAAGGTGTAAGGAAGGGACACAGTTTCAGCTTTCTACATATGGCTAGCCAGTTTTCCCAGCACCATTAAATAGGGAATCCTTTCCCCATTTCTTGTTTTTGTCAGGTTTGTTAAAGATCATATGGTTGTAGATGTGTGGTATTATTTCTGAGATGGTACTGGTACCAAAACAGAGATATAGACCAATGGAACGGAACAGAGCCCTAAGAAAAAATTGTTTAAGAAAGCTAGAATGTGGTTTATATATGATGCCTTGGGTGTGGTCCTGCTAAATATTTAACTATGATTGAATGAATGATAGATGAATGAGAAGAAAACAGTCACCTTCCCAGCCTCCCTTGCATCTTGGCATGGCTATGTGGCCTAGTTCTGGTCAATGAAATATAAGTAGACTTCTACTAGGTTGGATTCAAGGAAAGCTGTTGTTTTCCTGATGAAAAGGAATAGACTAACACAAGCCTTTTGCTCCGTGTCCTTCTTCCTGCTGGAACACAGATGCGATGCCCAGAGCCATCAGGCCCAGAGCCTGATGCCTGATGTCAGCCATCAGGCAAGCCTGATGAAGAAAGTTACATGCTGAGGATGGTAGATTGGAAAGGCAGGAAACATGTGGATCCTTGGTGGAATTATGGAATTGTAGACTGCTTTTAGTCATCTTGTTTTATAAGCAAAAGTAACCCTTTCTATGGTCAAGTTTTCTGTTACTTTCAGCCAGAAATATTCCCAAGTGACAGAAAAAAAAAAGGTCAATCAAAACAAAAATGAATGTAAACAATGATCATTAACAAAAACCAGTCTCAATGATGTTAACAGAATGTGCATATGAGACAAATAGCAAATAGTGCTTAGTTTATTTTACAACTGCAAGTAAAAACAAACATTTTATGTCAATTAAATTAGCAAAATAAATCAAAGTACTAAAAGTACCGATTAGATATCTGCAGAGAAACAGTGCTTTTTTTTTTTGTTTTTTTTTTTTTTTTTGAGACAGAGTCTTGCTCTGTCACCCAGGCTGGAGTGCAATGGTGTGATCTCGGCTCACTGCAACCTCCGTCTCCCGGGTTCAAGCGATTCTCCTACCTCAGCCTCCCAAGTAGCTGGGATTACAGGCGCCCACCACCATGCCTGGCTAATTTTTGCATTTTTAGTAGAGACGGAGTTTCACCACGTTGGCCAGGCTGGTCTCCTCCTGACCTCAGGCGATCCACCTGCCTCGGCCTCCCAAAGTGCTGGGATTACAGCCATGAGCCACCACACCCAGCCTTGCTTATTAGTTAGTAAATTAGTTTATTCTTCCAAGGACAATCTGCTATTACCAGGACCGTCACCTTAAGTGTATGCCAACGGCACTCCTGGCATGTGCCACCTATAGCTCTGGATACCATCTGTGATCATTTCCCCCTACCTCCTCAGTCTGCTTTCTTGCCTTTTCCTCCTAAGGCCAATCTCTAAAAGTAAGAGTACCTCAGGTCTTGGTCCTTGACACTCTTTATTCTTTCTCTGGATTCACTCAGCTAGCCCTGTGTCTTTAAATACTATCCCTGATATGGTTTGGATATTTGTCCTCTCCAAATCTCATGTTGAAATGTGATCCCCATTGTTAGAGGTGGGATGAAGATGGTAAGAGGTGTTTGGGTCATGGGGGTAGATTCCTCATGAATAGCTTGGTGCCCTCCCCATCTCTGTTAGTTCACACGGTTGTTTAAAAGAGCCTGGCACTTCCTCCCTCTCTCTCTTGCTCCTGCTCTCCCCATGTGACATGCCTGCTTCCCCTTTGCCTTCTGCCATGATTAGAAGCTTCCTGAGGCCTTCACTGGAAGCAGATTCTGGTGCCATGCTTTCTGTACAGCCTGCAGTACCTTAAGTCAATTAAACCTCTTTTTCTTTATAAATTACCCAGCCTCAGGTATTGACTTGAGCAATGAAAACAGACTGATACAGTCTCAAATTATACTTTTAGCCCTGACCTGAATTTCCGCACACAAATATCCAATAAGGTTTTTTCCTCTGAATTCTATGGTGCGTGCTTGTAATATATTTTCCCATCCTGTTATTATACTTTTAACCAAACTTGTCTATTTAAGTGTATCTCTTCTAAACAGTAATAAACATCTTAAACCCTAACAGGTCCAAAACTCTTGATTCCGCCTTTCCAAAGCTGTTAAATCCCCAGTCTTTCTAACTTCAAGTCAACAACACCACTACCTACCTAGTTGCTCAAGCCAAAAGTCAAAGAGTCAGCAGGGCATGGTGGTGCACGTCTGTAGTCTCAGCTACTCAGAAGGCTGAGGCAGGAGGATGGCTTAAGCCCAAGAGTTTGAGACCAGCCTGGACAAAGAGCAAGACCCGCATCTCTAAAAAAACTAACAATCATTTTCTTTAAAAAGCCAAGGAGTCAGGCCGGGCGCGGTGGCTCAAGCCTGTAATCCTAGCACTTTGGGAGGCCAAGGTGGATGGATCACGAGGTCAAGAGTTCGAGACCAGCCTGGCCAACATGGTGAAACCCCATCTCTACTAAAGCTACAAAAACTTAGCTGGGCGTGGTGGCACACACCTGGAATCCCAGCTACTTGGGAGGCTGGGGCAGGAGAATCGCTTGAACCCAGGAGGCAGAGGTTGCAGTGAGCTGAGACCGTGCCATTGCACTCCAGCCTGGGCGACAGGGCGAGACTCCATCTCAAAAAAAAAAAAAAAGAAAAAAAGAAGGCCAAGGAGTCATATTTAATTCCTCTTTCCTTCACAGCCTTTAAATCTATCAATTAGTCCTATGGTGCCCTCCCTCACACTGTTTCCCATACCTAGCCTTTTTCTTCATCACTACCCTCATCTAAGAACTCATTTCTTGGTCGGGCACCGTGGCTCACGCCTGTAATCCCAGCACTTTGGGAGACCAAAGCAGGCAGATCACTTGAGGCCAGGAATTCAAGACCAGCCTGGCCAACATGGTGAAACCCCCATCTCTACTAAAAATATGAAAATTAACCAGGCGTGCTGGTGCATGCCTGTAATCCCAGCTACTCAGGAGGCTGAGGCAGGAGAGTCGCTTGAACCCAGGAGGCAGAAATTGCAGTGAGCCAAGATTGTACCACTGCACTCCAGCCAGGGTGACAGAGCAAGACTCCATCTCCAAAAAAAAAAAAAGAAGAACTAATTTCTCACATAGACTCCTATAGTTGCCTTCTAGTGGTCTCCTTGCTTCTACTCTTGCCCCTTATATCTCAATTTTATAAGTGCCAAAATGATCTTTTAAAAATACAATTCAGATTACGTATACAACCCTCCAGTGGTTTTCTATACGATTAGAATGAAATCCAAACTTCTACTCTCGCCCCTCTTGAGCCTGTGAGGTCAAGGCTGCAGTGAGCAATAATGCTGCCACTGCACTCCAGCTTGGGCAACAAAGTGGGACCCCGTCTCAAAACAAACAAACAAGCAAACAAACAAAGTATTTCTTATGTGTAAGGAAAAGGGAGAACAGTCACTGAGCACTTACTTTGCATGCATGTCTTATGTAAACCCCACAAAAATCTAATAGGAATCATGTTACTGTCCTTATTTTACATGTTAGAAACTGAGACTGAGAGGGGTAGGTAGCCAATCCAGAGTTAAAATTGACCTCCAACTTCATTGTGCCGTACTGTCTCTAAAGACAAAGAAGCAGGAACACACTTTGAAACTTCCTTTTTTTTAATGTTTTAATTCTACTTATTTTAGGATGCTCATAGGTAGAAAAATCTATGAAGGCCCGGCTATAGTCATTAAGTTACTGGCCGGGCGCAGTGGCTAACGCCTGCAATCTCAGCACTTTGAGAGACTGAAGTGGGTGGATCACCTGAGGTCGGGATCCAGCCTGGCCAACATGGAGAAACCCCGTCTCTACTAAAAATACAAAATTAACCGGGTGTGGTGGTGCATGCCTGTAGTCCCAGCTACTTGGGAGGCTGAGGCAGGAGAATTGCTTGAATCTGGGAGGCGGAAGTTGCCGTCAACCGAGATCACGCCACTGCACTCCAGCCTGGGCAACGAGCGAAACTCCGTCTCACACACACACAAAAAAGTAAGTTACTATTGTGACATATAGCTATAAAACATACCCCGCCGCAAAGCCGGGCGCGGTGCCCCACGCCTGTAATCCCAGCACTTTGGGAGGCCAAGGCGGATGGATCACGAGGTCAAGAGATCGAGACCATCCTGGCCAACATGGTGAAACCCAGTCTCTACTAAAAAAAATACAAAAAATTAGCCGGGTGTGGTGGCGGGCGCCTGTAGTCCCAGCTACTCGGGAGGCTGAGGCAGGAGAATGGCATGAACCCGGGAGGCGGAGCTTGCAGTGAGCCGAGATCACGCCACTGCACTCCAGCCTGGGTGACAGAGCAAGACTCCGTCTCAAAAAACAAACAAACAAACAAACAAACAAAAATACCCCCCCGCAATATCATCTCCAGTTGATAAATTAAGGGCAGTACAAAATCTAGTAAAATCTGTCATTTTTCTTTTGAGTCTCCACACTTTTAAACATAGAATTCTTGTCCCTCTGCATACTTTTTCCCCCTTTTTCCTCTACATACTTTTGTACATACTAGCTTATAGTCTATTGGGAAAGTTATCTGTGTAAACCTCTAAAATAATAACTGCATTAACATACTTAATGGTTTGCACTTATTATTGAAATCTTCTACTTGTGGATTTGAAATGCAGACCAGGGAGTAGAATCGATCTTTCTTTCTTTCTTCTCTTTCTTCTCTTTCTCTTTCTTTCTTTCTTTCTTGCTTGCTTGCTTGCTTGCTTTCTTTCCTTCCTTCTTTCTTTCTTTCTTTCTTTCATGACGGAGCCTCGCTATGTCGCCCAGGCTGGAGGGCAGTGGCGCGATCTCTGCTCACTGCAAGCTCCGCCTCCCGGGTTCACGCCATTCTCCTGCCTCAGCCTCCCGTGTAGCTGGGACTACAGTTGCCCGCCACCACGCCCAGCTAATTTTTTGCCTTTTTAGTAGAGACGGGGTTTCACTGTGTTAGCCAGGATGGTCTCGATCTCCTGACCTCATGATCCGCCCGCCTCGGCCTCGCAAAGTGCTGGGATTACAGGCGTGAGCCACCGCACCCGGCGAATTTATGTTTCTTTTCCTTGTTTTCTTTCTCATTTCCTTGTTATTGGAAAAGATATAGAAGTATACTTTAGAATATTGGCATTTAATTCTGGAAATTGAGTCAATTTCTTAGTAGATGATCTTGGAAACACCCTATTTTTAAAGGTCTCTCTTAAGCTATAAAACAAGGCCTAGCCCCCTAGTCTGGGAAGCAGAAATGATTAGTACTTTTTCAGCTCCATCATCATTTAACAATCTGAAGTGATTCCATAGTAACTCAGCTTCTCCTTTTAGCAATAATGATAGAAGCCTTCGTGTAGTGCTTATGATGTGCCCAGCCCTTTCCTAAGTGCTTTGCATATATTAAATGATTTCATCCTTCCAACAACCCCATGCAATCATTATGCCTATTTTACAGATGGGGAAATTGAGATACAATGTCTGCGTCCATTCTAGCTGCTATAACAAAATACCACAGACTGGGTAGCTTATAAACAACAGAAATTTATTTCTCACAATACTGGGGGCTGGGAACTCTGAGCTCAAGGCAGATTCGGTGTCTGGTGAGGGTCCATTTCCTGGTTTGTAGATGCTGCCTACTCATTGTGTCCTCACATTGTAGAAGAGGCAAGGCAGCTCTCTGGGGACTCTTTCGTAAGGGCACTCATTCCATACATGAGGACTATGCTCTTATACCTAATTACCTTGCAAAGGCCTTACCTCCATCTCCTTGGGAATTATTAATAGGTTTCCACATATTAACTTTATGAAGACACAAACATTCAGACCACAGCACACATAGGTAAGGTATAATTGCCCAAAGTCATAAACCAGTAAGTGCAGAACTGAAATTTAGACCCAGGCAGGCTAGCTCCGGAATCCTTGCTTTCAGCCACCAGGGCAATACTGCCTTTATACCCTTGAGTGAGTGGGAGGTCAGTTGCTGACCACTGGTGTAACAGCGATCAGTAGAAATGTGCACAATGAAAACACTAAATAAAAGCCATTATGGCACCACAAAATCTGTTTTTAAGAGGACACCAATACTACATAACCAACTTCTGGTTATTGCATGTTTCTTTTTCTTTTTTTTTTTTGAGACAAAGAGTCTTGCTCTGTTGCCCAGGCTGGTGTGCAGTGGTGTAATCTCAGCTCACTGCAAGCTCTACCTCCCGGGTTCATGCCGTTCTCCTGCCTCAGCCTCCCGAATAGCTGGGACTACAGGCGCCCGCCACCACACCTGACTAATTTTTTGTATTTTTAGTAGAGACGGGGTTTCACCATGTTAGCCAGGATGGTCTCGATCTCCTGACCTCGTGATCTGCCCACCTCAGCCTCCCAAAGTGCTGGGATTACAGGCGTGAGCCACCGCACCCAGCCTATTGCATGTTTCATAGTTCCAGAAACGATGTCATGCTCAGTAGTGGATACGGGACTTTTCTGTCTAGGTGAGGTAACCTTGATATATGAATTAAGTCATATGAACTTTTGATGCTGTAGGAACTCCCCAAACTAATATCATACTTTAATTTCCATAATTAGAACCTTAATTGTAGTACTTCAGCAACATTTATCTGACTTACCCATCTAAACAATCTAGTTGTAATTTTGGAAAATATGCTTCACAACCTTGAACAAGGCACTTTACCTCCCATGGACTTTTTTTCTTGCCTAGTAAAATAAAGCCAAAAAATGATGTTACCTCTAAGGTCCTTTCCATATCTAACACTGAATGAATTTCTGTCTTGACCTGTAAGCTTGACAGGAGGAAGCCTGAACTTTTTTAATCAATCATTTCTTACTGCTTCAAAATCCACCAAATAAAGCAACTCCACAGCTTCCTGAATCTGTGTGCTTTCAAATTACAGTCATGTTAAGTTTGGCACTTAAAGTTCAAATAAACAGCTACCAGGTCAGCAGTGGGAGGCAGATATTAGGAAAAAGGGGTGATAAAGGAAGATCCGTTCTTTCCTTTGTTGTACACCTAGCCTGCCAGCCTAAGGCCACTTGGCCAAGTTTACAGTTGATAGAATCTGGTGTCCTGTGGGGCCTTCAGCAAGTTTCTTAACCTCTCTGTGCCTTCATTTCTCAACTGTGAAGTAGTCTGCCTTGCAGGTTGTGGCAGAAAAGTGAGTTAGTATATGTAAGGCTATAGAAGAGTGCCCTGCACATAGGAAGTGTTATGCAATGTTGTTTTGTTGTTATTTCCTATATTAAGAAACACAGGCCGGGTGCAGTGGCTCAAGACTCTAATCCCAGCGCTTTGGGAGGCGGAGGCATGTGGATCACCTGAGGTCAGAAGTTCAAGACCAGGCAGGTCAACATGGTGAAACCCCGTCTCTACTAAATATACAAAAGTTAGCTGGGCGTGGTGGCGGGCGCCTGTAATCCCAGTTACTTGGAAAGCTGAGGCAGGAGAATCGCTTGAACCCAGGAGGTGGAGGTTGTAGTGAGCTGAGATCACGCCATTGCACTCCACCCTGGGCAACAAGAGCGAAACGAAGGAAGGAAGGAATGAAGGAAGGGAGGGAGGGAGGGAGGGAGGGAAGGAGGGAGGGAGGGAGGGAGGGAGAAAAGAAAAGAAAAACAAAGTGAGAACCAGAAGAAAGCAAACCCTATGAGTTTGGATGGGCCTGTCAGAAGAGCTCAGGTGATGGCCCACTAAATGCATCCACCAAGTCAACTTTAATGCCAGGCCAACATGAAACTAATGCCCTCATATTGTGAAAATGACCCCATTTCAGTTCTTCCATTTAGACACATGTTGAAATTTCAGGCTCCCAAGTCAAGATAGGGCTTCCTTATTTTTCCTCCAATTACAAAATAAAACAGACCACTAATTGAAAAAGGAGTGCCTTAGGTAAGGACTGATTTGTCTATCCTCCTAAAATCTCCCTTTCTCTTCAAGGACTAATCAATAATAGGAGCAAACATTTACATAGGCAGAGGTTAAGTAACTTCCCAAGGTCACAGATCTAAGCAGTGGAGCCAGGATTCAAACCTGGCAGTCTGACTCCAAAGTGTGTGCTTGTGTGCTACTAACCAAGACATCTTGAGCCAATGACAGACTAAATTCAGTGTGTGTGTGTGTGTGTGTGTGTGTGTGAAGAAGAGAACAAAAGTCCACCCTAAGTGGTTTGAGAGGAACGCCTGCTGGATGGTTGAAGAGGCCCCTCACAGCATACAGAACCTGACAGTTGACTCCACATCAGTGTGAGCGCAGACCTCCCTCTACCCTTCCCTCAGGAAAGAAGCTGCAGAACATGATCAGAGGGGGCCTCCACCAGCAAAGAAAATTGGTTCCATGCGAATCACAGTCCTCACACCCTGGCTGGCCGTGGCAGACACACAGAGAGCAGGGTCTGTCAGCTCAGGAAGAGAAACCAGGCAGGAGGCAAACGGGCCGGGCCGTGGAGAACACGACCCAAAGCAAGTCAACTGCCAACAGTAGCTTCTCGGAAACAGCAGGACGCAGCCCAGACGAGCGAATGCAGCTCTCAGAGGCGCGAGGACTCCAGGCCGCCAGAGCCAAGGGGCAGAATCACAATCAGCGGGTGTGTGAACCTCATGCAGTGGCCCTGGCGGCTGCTGCCAGAGGGCTGCAGAGAAAGGCTACGGCATCGCCCAGCAGCCCTGCTGAGACGTCGGAACTCCCAGAAAGTAGTGAGAAGGGCAAGATGTAGGAGAAAGGACGCTGGCTGAGGATCTGGAGACTTAGATTCCAGTGTGAGCTGCCTGCGGCCCTTGTCCCCTCCCTAGGGCCGCACGTCCTCTGTGAGCACATCAAACTGGAAATTGTGTGGTAGATGACTTGGAGAGCTGAAGCTGGAAGTTTGGTGAATTGGTTAAGAGACTTGGGCAATCATCTGTGCGTGAGGAAATAAGTATCTAGACTAGAGGGTGGCAGCGCGTTACTGCACAGCAATCCAGGGTTTTCTCTCTGCAAGGTGGAGGCCAGTTCTGAGTTTGCCCAATACATTTGAAGGAATGACCTACCCCACCCTCCTTTGAAATTATTTTCCCTTTATGTTAAAGATTGGTTCAGAGCTGAAATTTTATACTGATAGATCAGCCTCACTGCAAAATGTAAATTAAGTTAACTGTAGTATCATTTTATAATAATAAAGAACAACAATAAAAGTGACTTGTTATAAAACCCAGTTTTGGAAATAACTCAAAGAAGCCCACTCTTCTAGTGCCAAGGACGTGATGAGTTGGTACTTTTTTGTTGTTTTGACCACAGGTGGCACATGCCAGCATGCCCAGCTTTTTTTTCTTTTTCTTTTTCTTTTTTTTTTAATAGAGACAGGGTCTCATTATGTTGCCCAGGCTGGTCTTGAACTTCTGGCCTCAAGTGATCCTTCTGCCTCAGCCTTCCAAAGCACTAGGATTACAGGCCCGAGCCACCACGCTGGCAGTATGTTTTCTTGAAGGCAACCCGAATACAGAATAACAGCCATAAAAATGACTATACCCAGCCGGGCGCGGTGACTCATGTCTGTAATCCAAGCACTTTGGGAGGCCGAGGCGGGCGGATCACTTGAGGTCAGGAGTTCAAGACCAGCCTGGCAAACATGGCAAAGCCCTGTCTCTACTAAAAAGACGAAAATTAGCCAGGTGTGGCGGTGGGCGACTGTAACCCCAGCTACTCAGGAGGATGAGGCAGGAGAATCGCTTGAACCTGGGAGGCAGAGATTGTAGTGAGCCGAGACTGTGCCACTGCACTCCTACCTGGGTGGCAGAATGAGACTCCATCTCAAAAAAAAAAAAAAAAGACTATACCCTTTGCCACAACGGTATTCTTAGAAATTTATTTTGAGAAAATAATTTTAAATGAAAAATATTTTACCAGATATTTATGGCAAGGTTATCTGTAATAACTCCAAACTGGAAACACCCAAAATAAATCCAGTAACATGGAAATGGCAAAGAATACTACAATAACTTCAGTAAGAAACTACTCAAGACAATGACAAAGGATTTTTAAAATATTGTAAAGAGAAAAAAGCATAAAAGAATGTTATACACACACAGGAGGTTGGAGTAGAAGGGACTTGGAGGCTGTAAAGTTGAGTAAGAGTGGAGGAAAGCATTTCCCACATGAGCAGGATGTGGGGTTGGGGAGGCAGATCGATACAGTTCCACTTGCAAGGTGTGTGAGTGCTAGGATCAACGCTAATGACGATTGTCCACCTAAACACAAACCGAGAACCAAAAACCTTCGGATGCTGTGGTCATAAGCAATTTGTTAGTTTATGTATTTTTCTATCAAAAGATTTTTAATTTTCAATGGAAAGTGGGGAAAACTTGTGTGTGGTTTAATGGGATACAAACTGGAAGATTGTAGAGTGGGTCATCAAAGAGAAGTGATGGGTTGGGGCTGTGACCCAAATGGGAATGGAGTCAGCGACTGGACTCTTCTCACTAAAGGCATCTGTGGAGCAGGAAACTGGTACACAGGTCACTGGCTCGAAAGCAACAGGGCTCTGAAGAGGAAATGGCTAAGACAGTCTTTCTAGCTGTCAGAGGAAGTTGATGTAATGAAGACAGAACTCTGGAAAAATGTTGCTCAAATACTAAGACCAAATACTTCTGATCACCTCTGAAGAAGAAGCCCAAATCGTATATTAGAGTAAAAAGGTACAAGGTCGAGAGGATTCAATTAAATGTGTGTAGAAGCACTTTGCCAACAGAAAAATGCTTTATAAATCCTTGCCCTGAAAACTAGGGCTTCCCTCTACAAAAAGACTGCAGAGTTAGCCACAGTGTTCTTTAACTATACACTAAATCAGTTGATGGTTTTACAAAGTCTTTTTTTTTTTTTTTTGAGATGGAGTCTAGCACTGTCACCCGGGCTGGAGTGCAGTGGCGCGATCTCGGCTCACTGCAAGCTCCACCTCCCAGGTTCACACCATTTTCCTGTCTCAGCCTCCCGAGTAGCTGGGACTACAGGCACCTGCCACCACACCCAGCTAATTTTTTGTATTTTTAATAGAGACGGGGTTTCACTGTATTAGCCAGGATGGTCTCAATCTTCTGACCTTGTGATCCGCCACCTCAGCCTCCCAAAGTGCTGGGATTACAGGCGTGAGCCACCACACCCGGCCTTACAAAGTCTTATGGTTCTAATTTTGAACAATTAGATGGTATCTATTTGAACAATTAGATGGGATCATGATGGTAAAATCATGATCATCTTCCTATCTGAAGCTATGATATTATCTTGATTATTAAACCAGATTGACTTTTTAGTAGATTTTTGGTGACTTTAAGCCAGCCATAATTAAATTGATGATGTTGCAAATTAGTGAAATAGTATAAAAACACCAAATCAACCATGACTGCCTCAGTACTTTCATAGTTTGAATATTTTAAATAACATAATCACTAATTCATTCATTCAGGATAATCATGAGAGAAGTGCTGTGTCTATGTAAGTACAGTTGAAGTAGGAAACCATTAGAAAAGTACAGAACACTATAGACTTTAAGAAAAGAGAAGCCAGTGGGAGGCTGAGGCAGGTGGATCACTTGAGGCCAGGAGTTCAAGACCAGCCTAGACAACATGGTGAAATTCCAACTCTGCTAAAAATACAAAAAATTAGCTGGGCATGGTGGTGCACGCCTGTAGTCCCAGCTACTCAGGAGGCTGAGACAGGAGAATTGCTTGAACTGGGAGGCGGAGGTTGTAGTCAGCAGAATTTGCGCCACTGCACTCCACAGCGAGACTCTGTCTCAAAAAAAAAAAGAGAGAGAGAGAAGACAGGTGCAGTGGCTCACACCTACGGTTTCAGCACTTTCGCTTGAGCCCATGAGTTCGAGACCAGCCTAAGCAATGTAGTGAGACCCTGTCTCTACAATAAATAAAAATATTAGTCGAGCATTGTGTCCGTGCACCTGTGGTCCCAGGTACTTGGAAGGCTGGGACAGGAAGATCACTTGAGCCTAGGAAGTTGAGGCTGTAGTGAGCTGTGATTGCACCACTGCACTTCAGCCTGGGCTACAGAGCAAGACCCTGTCTCAAAAAGGAAAAAAAAAAAAAAAGAGAGAGATAGAGAGAGAGAGAGACATGAAAGCAAGACTACATTATATAAATCATTCTTTCTGCTAACCTCAATGTGCCAATAACTTACATCTTTTCAAAGGACAACGTTCAGTCTTTCTTGCCTAAGCTCAGCGTTTGGCTTCACAAAGCCTGCTGAATTATGCTAGCTTCATGCTTGCACTTACACGTGCTTACATGTTTCCTTAATGTTTGGCTCACCAGAGCCAAGAGTCCGTTTTTACCTCAAGCCTCAGGGATATCAGGTTTCAACTCATGTTGTTTGAATCTTGTATACATCCCTTTGTGCCTTATTAAAGTGAACATTTTCCATTTGACTTTCTGCTTGCCAATGGGTCTAGGGTTTTCTTTCTCTAATGTTGTTAAACATCCCCTGTAACATGAAGCCCAGATGTATGAGGGTATAGAGCCACGCTTCTAGCTGAGAAAAGTAGTGATCTCAACGAGATACCAATTTATCCATGTGATGAATGTACTGTTTCATTTTTGATGACCTTAATTTAGCATTTATCCCTGGGGCTGGGTTTTGTGTTGTCTTTATAAATACACTCTCTCACACACACAAAGAACCTAGTTCTTTTTAGGCACTTCTCCAGCTGTGAGTTTAGCATGGCTTCCTGCTAATGGGGAGACGGACAGAATTACGGCTCCAAACATTCCCCTGCCGCTGATCCAGAACATGTGTTATCATATCACACATTGTAAACTGATTCCAAATTCCTGCCATCCGGGCACAGCCTGCATTCCAAATTGTCAAGGCTCTGGGACAACGAACTGTAGAATAGAATTTGCCATGGTCCCCCCTTTAATTTGGTGTAAGCATGAATAAGTTTGTTAAAGATATTTTGCTTCTTTAGAATTTTTTTTTTCTGGAAAATAGCTATACCTTAGTGACAATGGGCTACCTAAAATTCCCCAGTCTCCTCAATTGTTAATGTCTCTTCCAATCTCTTGGTGAAGCTTGGTGATCAGGAAATAGGGCAAGATGAGGGGAGCTCACATTTAAGATAATAAAGTGACTCTCGTTCTACTGCTAAGAGACGTAAACAGTCTGACTATGGTAGTCTCATGGGAGTAAAAGTCTAGGATTTCAAATGCTGTATAAACAGTTGCAAAATCTCTGCAATTACTCTAACAAATGAACTCCTAGCACAGAAGACAGATAAGGAATAATATATTTTCAGCTCTGTGCCATTCCATATTGGAGACTGGAGTTTACTATCAATTTATTTATTTTTTTCCTTTTTTTAAGACACAGGGTCTTGTTTTTTTGCCCAGGCTGGAGTGCAGCGAGCAGCACAATCATGGCTCACTGCAGCTTCAAATTTCTGACCTCAAATGATCCTCCAGTCTCAGCCTCTCAAGTAGCTGGAACTACAAGTGTGTGCCACCACACCCAGCTAATTTTTTTTTTTTTTTCAGTAGGGACGAGGTCTCACTATGTTGCCCAGGCTGGTCTTGAACTCTAGGCCTGAAGGAGTCCTCCTGCCTTGGCCTCCCAAAGTGTTGGGATTAGAGGCATGAGCCACCGTGCCTGGCCTATCAATTTATTCTTTCCTTGAAGTAAGTGTGTAGATTAACAGAGTAACATGGCTAAAACTTGTCTTCATGTTTGTGACTTGAGAACTGGAAGTGGAAAGGGGGAGGAGAGGGACCAAATGTCACTAGCAACCTGCCATCGAGAATATGTTAAGGAGAAGCAGGAGGTTGATGGAATCTTCTCAGAGGTCCCTGGTCCCACAGTGTCTGAGGAGCCTCAATTTGGTGCCCATGGTGATACTATTTCATTCCAATAATTTCACTCCACAAGGTCTCTAATGTTTCTTTATGTGGTGAACATTTAGCTCATTCCTTTAAAAACACTAATTAATCATTTTAAATGGACATAAAATTGTATATATTTATCATGTACAACAGGTTTTGAAATATGTATACATTGTGGAATGGCTAAATGAAGGGAATTAACACAGATGTCACCACATATACTTGTTTTTTGTAGTGAGAACCCTTAAACTCCACTCAGCCATTTTTGAGAATACAAAGCCCATTCCTTTTGATCCAACTCTTCCTCATTAATCCTAAGAAATAGCTACATACGCACACACAGAAACACGGAGGTAATTAATACTTTATGATAAATTGGCTAAAGCCAGAGGGTAAACTGCCAGAGCATGCACTCAAAATTTATAGAAGAGGGTTCTGCATATTTTCAAATTAAATCTCATTACATATGTAAGAGTGCTAGTGTTATGCTGTAATAGTGGCTTGGTCTGATTTTCCCCAAATTTATTAGCTAGTGTTAGCTAATAAATAAATACAATCTGGCTAACAGAACAACTACGCCCAAACTATTTTGAAGGTGGTCTGGGATAACAGAGATATGATTCTAGTAGCCTTCACATGGCCTGGCTCCCAGGATTAGCTTATGGTCAACCAGTTGAGTGACTTCAGGCAGGCCACTGACGCTCTCCAGGTCTTTAGTTCTTTGATAGAAAAAATGGAGACATTGAAACATTTTAATGTCTATTTCTAGGTTGATCTCTTTGATCTTGATAAAACCTTTAGAGAATGAAAATAATAATATTTGAAGAAGAAGTATATATTATCAAAATAAACGAACTCTAACCTTATTCTATAATTTTTTTTTTTTTTTGAGATGAAGTCTCGCTCTGTCGCCTAGGCTAGAGTGCAGTGGCGCAATCTCGGCTCACTGCAATCTCTGCCTCCCGGGTTCAAGCAATTCTCCTGCCTCAGCCTCCCTAGTAGCTGGGATTACAGGCACAAGCCACCATGCCCAGCTAATTTTTGTATTTTTAGTAGAGAGGGGGTTTCACTGTGCTGGTCAGGCTGGTCTCGAACTCCTGACCTCATGATCTGCCGACCTCGGCCTCCCAAAGTCCTGGGATTACATGTGTGAGCCACTGCACCCGGCCTAGTCTATAATTTTTTAAAGGTATAATTATATCTGTTTAGGAGTGGTAATACATAAGGTTTTATAGGAAGGAACAATTCAAGTCTTTTTTTTTTTTTTTGAGACAGAGTTTCGCTCTTGTCTCCCAGGCTAGAGTGCAATGGTGCGATCTCAGCCCACTGCAACCTCCGCCTCCCAGGTTCAAGCAATTCTCCTGCCTCAGCCTCCCGAGTAGCTGGGATTACAGGCGTCTGCCACGACGTCCGGCTAATTTTTGTATTTTTAGTAGAGAGGGGGTTTCGCCATGTTGGCCCAGCTGGTCTTGAACTCCTGATCTCAGGTATCCACCCACCTCAGCCTCCCAAAGTGCTGAGATTACAGGGATGAGCCACCGCTCCTGGCCCAATTCAAGTCTTTTTAGGTATAATAGGTGTTTTCATTTACTGAAAAGTCAAATTATGAACAATGGCTGTAACACTAGGTTTAAACTGTGTAATTGTATAGCAAAAAAGTGGATTCTTCTTAAATATCAAGAAGTAAGTCTATATGTTAAAAGGGCCTTTTGAGAAATGTTCTCTCATGTTTTTTCTATTTATTTTAGTAAACAGATATTACGGTCAGCATTTGACTGTAAAAACCAATTGGACAAGCATTAGGAGATATACCTAATGTAAATGACGAGTTAATGGGTGCAGCACACCAACATGGCACATGTATACATATGTAACAAACCTGCACGTTGTGCACATGTACCCTAGAACTCAAAGTATAATTAAAAAAAAAAATTGGACTCATGGACATGAGTCCCAAGCCAGAACGTTGGAACTCTCTGGAAGAAAAGAGGTCTGCTCTAGCTGGTTGTGAGATGAGAGTATTTTCACAACCCCTTTTAGAAGAGCTGGAGAAATTTCTCCCACATAACTTCAAGGAGGAGGTTACTTGGTGGTGGTGTAAGTTGCAGACAAGGACAGATACAATTTATTTATTTATTTATTTTTGAGCCGGAGTCACACTCTGTTGCCCGACTGGGGTGCAGTGGTGTGATCTTGGCTCACTGCAACCTCCACCTACTGGGTTCAAGTGATTCTCCTGCCTCAGCCTCCTGAGTAGCTGGGACTACAGGCATGTGCCACTATGCCCAGCTAATTTTTGTATTTTTAGTAGAGATGGGGTTTCACCATGTTGGCCAGGCTGGTCTCGAACCCCTGACCTCAGGTGATACGCCCACTTCAGCCTCCCAAAGTGCTGGGATTATAGGCATGAGCCAACACACCTGGCCTGGACAGATGCAATTTAAACTAAAGAGGCCAAGGTAGGCCTCATTAAAAAGATGACATTTGGGCAGGAGTTAACCTTGCAGCTATCTAGGAAGAGCACTCCAGGTGGAGCACAGCCGAGGCTTTTGTGGCAGGAGAGTGACTTGTATGAGGCCAGTGTGACTAGTGCAGGATGAGGCCGAGAGTACAGAAGATGAGATGAGAGAGGAATGGATAGAGAGGCCTCTCTCATTCACCTGGCCTGTGGTTCCCCGCAGTGGTCACCACCAGAAAATGCTTGAACCACTTGCCATCACAAAGTCTTCAGATATTTCAAGATAGCGAATAAGAAAAGGGATGTTGAGGCTGGGCAAGGTGGCTCACGTCTGTAATCCCAGCACTTTGGGAGGCTGAGGCAGGCAGATCACGTGGTCAGGAGTTCAAGACCAGCCTGGCCTTGAACATAGTGAAATCCCGTCTCTACTAAAAATACAAAAATTAGCTGGGCATGGTGGCAGGCGCCTGCAGTCCCAGCTACTCAGGAGGCTGAGGCAGGAGAATCACTTGAACCCGGGAAGTGGAGGTTGTGGTGAGCGGAGATCGTGCCACTGCACTCCAGCCTGGGCAACAGAGCAAAACTCCACTTCAACGGAAAAGAAAAAAAGAACAGGGATGTTGAAAGTTCCATTGTGTTGATGCTCTGACTCAAGCTTCTCCCTCTGCGCTGGGCTGGCTCCTGCACCTGGGGATTCATGTGCAGACATTTCAAGAGCTGTTGGTAGACTCCTGAATGAGCTGACTCCACCAAAGGCCTTGCATTACCTAAAGTTACACAGCTGTCAACTCCCAGACAAGCACTCCTGAATCTGAAAGTGCCAGCTCACCTCTTAGAGTGCCAGAAGTTAAAGAATTTCTGGGGGTAAAAATTGGCATTTCTACTTACTGTGATCTGTTGTTGGTTTTTAGATAATTTCTATAAAAGGGAGAAAGACATTGAACTTTCAAAAAGAACGGAGGGAATCTCAGTTTCCCCTGGGCTTGACTGTTTCTCTTCTCTCTCCATGTGATCTCTCTGGGTTCCTCACCCAATCAAATGGTTCCAACTACGGCAGCCCAAACTGTATCTCTGGCCCCAACCTGTCCTCCAGGCTACCAGCTGCATATACAATGGCTCTCCCTGGAATGTGCAGGCTCCTCAAACTCAAAGTATTCAAAATTGAATTAATCATCTCTCCTTCCTTCCCCCTTCTTGCTTCTCTTCTTATATGCTCAAATGTTCAAATTCAAACTAAAAACTTGATGTAATCTTCAACTCCTTCTATTCTCTTAATCCTAAGAGTGCTACTCTGAATTTTCTCTCAAATGTCTGTCCCTCCACTCCCCACTCACAAAAGGACTGCCGACTGTTGCCTCTAACCTCCCTTCACTCCTATCTCTCTCAATGTTGCTGCCAGTAATCCCTCTAAAACAGATTTGACCTAATTAATTCTCTGCTTTAAAACTGTGAATGGGTTCCTGTTGCAGAATGAAGTCCAAATTCTTAGCAGAGCCTATAAGGCCCTTCACACTGATCCTTGGCCACACTTCTAGCATTCCTCTATTCCAATCCCTATCCCCCAGTCACTCCAAACCCCAGAAATGAATTAATTGTGTTCCTAACAACCACACTGGATTTCCCAACTCCGTGATTTTGCTATGGTGTTCTCTCTCCACATGTGCTACCTTATCCTTTCTTTCCTATGCATTTCTACTCATCTTTCAAGACAAAAGATGTCAACTCTTTCAAAAATAATTACAGCTGGGCACAGTGGCTCACTCCTATAGTCCCAGATACTTGGAAGGCTAAGGTGGGAGGATCACTTGAGCCCCCAAGAGTTCAAGGCCAGCCTGGGCAACATAGGGAAACCATGTCTCTAAAAATAAATACGTAAATAATAAATTTAAAAATAGTAATTATAGCAATGATTATGCTATACCAAGTAGTACATTAATCTACCCTAAACCTTGGAACAAGCAATCTCTGCCCTCAAGGAGCAGCAGAGTAGTAAAGCCAGATTTATAAAAAGATTTTATTTTATTTTATTTATTTTTTTTTTGAGACAGAGTCTCATTCTGTCACCCAGGCTGGACGGCAGTGGCGTGATCTCAGCTCACTGCAACATCCGCCCCCTGGGTTCAAGCAATACTCCTGCCTCAGCCTCTCTAGTAGCTGGGATTACAGGCATGTACTACCACACCCAGCTAATTTTTGTATGGCCAGGCTGGTCTTGAACTCCTGACCTCAGGTGACCCACCCACCTTGGCCTCCCAAAGTGTTGGGATTACAGGCGTGAGCCACTGCGCCCGGCAAAAAGATTTTATAACTACATGAGAACAAGATGGCAAGTGCTGTGAGGCTCAGTCCTTTCTATTTGGTGAAGCCTTCTGCAGCTTTCTCAAGTGGAGTGGATGACCTTCTTGTCTACATTTTCTCAAAGTAGACTTGGTTACTTGTCGCCTCTATTCCCTCAGGCAGAGTTGGTCACCCTCTCTTCTGTGCTCCCCTCAGGTAGACTTGATCACCCTTTTTCTATCTCACTTACTTTGTATCCCCAACCCCTAGTACATCCTAAGTGTTTGGTGCATGTTTCAGAACCAGGTAGCACTCCTCAGGATCACTAAGCTCAGAATCTACCTACTTTCCTCCACTGGACTCAGCCTAAATGGCAATGAGCACCAGGACCAGCAGCAGTAGAAATCACCTGGTAGAGTCCTCCTGGAACTCTAGACTAAACTTTACTGCTCTAGTAAACTTTGTTTTTTCTTTCTTTCTTTTTTTTTTTTTTTTTTTTTGAGACAGAGTCTTGCACTGTCTCCCACTCTGGAGTGCAGTGGCACAATCTCGGCTCATTGCAACCTCCACCTCCCAGGTTCAAGCAATTCTCCTGCCTCAGCCTCCTGAGCCAAGTAGCTGGAATTAACAGGCGCGTGCCACCACACCAGGCTAATTTTTTCTTTTTTTTGTATTTTTAGTAGAGACAGGGTTTCACCATGTTGGCCAGGCTGGTCTCGAACTCCTGACCTCAGGTGATTCACCCACTTTGGCCTCCCAAAGTGCTGGGATTATGGGAGTGAGCCACCGCACCCGGCCTGCTCTAGTAAACTTTCTAAAATGTTTGTATTATGCCTTTTCCCCTACTGATGTACAATGGCTTCCCACAGACTATAACAGGATAAAACTGGGATACCAAGTCACTGACAGCTCTATTTCCAGCCTGACAGTAGACAGAGAACATTGCCCACAATTGTCACAGAAGGGTCCTAATATATTTTATCAATTAGATTCATTTAGGCTAATGAAATTTAGAAAACATAGATGTTCCCTGGGAGAATGAAGCCTATCAGTCATTCAGACTTACAGTATTTTAATCAAGTAATTGGAGACACGTATTGATCACTAAGTACCTGATGAGTATGGCTTAAGTATGCATATAACAAGGCAATCGAACAGTTTCCCAACTCTGAGGAACTGAAAACTTTATTTGAAGTGTGTTTTTAAAAGGAATAGTTTTAGGACAAAGTGTAGTTTGGAGGAAGACATTTGGTTCTTCCTGATACGTTTGGCTGTATCAGTGTAAAGTGAGAGCCATGGGGCATCAGGGGGACAGGACGCTGAACAGTGAGGATGGCATCCATGAGGGGTGACAGGCATGCAAAGATGTGGGTAGGAGGGACAAAAGAGAATTCTTTTTTCTTGCTCCTTTTTTTTCTTGTTGAGGATTCGGATGATACACTTTTTTTTTTTTTTTTTTTTTTTAATGAGCCATTTGTAAATCATTTAGGGTTGTCACAGCCAGCACGATATGATCAAATTCAAACCTATTCAGGTTTTCATTTTCTTCCCCACCTGCGTTAGGTCAAAAATTACTCTCACTCTAACTTGCCGAACTTGCCCCTGCTTCCCCTTTTGGGTCACTCTGCTTACCAGGGGCTGTTATGTCTCTAAAACCTGTCCATCCCCCACTCTTTTTTTTTTTTGAGATGGAGTTTCACTTTTGTTGCCCAAACTGGAGTGCAGTGGCACGATCTCAGCTCACTGCAACCTCCACCTCCTGGGTTCAAGCGATTCTCCTGCCTCAGCCTCCTGAGTAGCTGGGACTACAGGAGCCCACCACCGCACCCAGTTAATTTTTTGTATTTTTAGTAGAGATGGGGTTTCATCATGTTGGCCAGGCTGGTCTTGAACTTCTGACCTCAGGTGATCCACCCGCCTCGGCCTCCCAAAGTGCTGGAATTACAGGCGTGAGCCACCGCACCTGGCCATCCCCCACTCATTTATTCAGTCAACAAATATTCATCAAGGACCAACGTTAAAGGAACCGTGTTGGGAGGGGCACGAGTGAGCACTAAGATGGTCTCGAGGCGCATCTTATTCTTGGGGTGCTTGGGTAACTTCTCCTCCATTTAGTCTCCATTGATAGTTTGGACGTTTTCTGAATAAGCAAATCAACTGCCTGACATGAGGTATGACAATGGCTCAGGGTATTTGAAATCAGGTCTGCTCTGGAAAACGTAGTTTAACATCTCCATTGTTTATCCTACTGTCATACTGTTTCAACTATAAGGAACTGAAGAAAGCAATGCTTTTCTTCATCTGGGCGGTTGCTTTTAAGGTGAGACCAGCCTGGGCACGGTGGCTAATGCCTGGAATCCCAGCACTTTGGGAGGCCGAGGCGGGAGGATTTCTTGAGCCCAAGAGTTCTAGATTAGCCTGGGCAATATAGTGAGACCTCATCTCTACAAAAAAAAAAAAAAAAAAAAAAAAATTAGCCAGGCATGGTGGCATGTGCCTGTAGTCTTAACTGCTCAGGAGGTTGAGGTGGGAGGATTTCTTGAGCCAGGTAGTGAGCCGAGATCATGCCACTGTACTGCAGCCTGGGCACTGGGTGGCAGAGCAAGACCCTGTCTCAAAAAAAAAAAAAAAAAAAAAGACCAGCCAGACCAAGTGGCAGGAAGCGGTGGGACTGACAGTGAGAAAATCGCAGTGGGGGAGTGGGTGACACTCAGCAGCCCCACTGGGACAGAGCTCCTGCTCACACCAGCGATTCTTCTCCAGAAACCTATTCTGGCAAACCCTTGGTGAGTTTTATTTTAAGCGGCGTTTACAGACACTACTACTAGACTTTTAAATTAACAGGATATAAATAACCTTGGGCAAGGTATCAGAGAAGAACCACTGTGAGAACTCCACGACTAAAGTGTGGGCAAAGGTATCTATTAATAGATAATGAAACTGAAATCACTTAGTCTGAGCGAGAGAAAGTTTAAGATCTACCTAAGAGGGATCTTTAGTGAATAAAAAGTCACAGACGAGCAATAAACCAGTAAGAAAGACATAGTCCTTCATCCACTCCACTTTAGAATCGCTTTTTTGAAAAAATAAAGGTGGAGTTTCACCATGTTGCCCAAGCTGATCTGGAATTCCTGGCCTCAAGGGATCTGACTGCCTTGGCCTCCCAAATTGCTGGGATTACAGGCGTGCACCACTGTTCCCGGCCTAGAATCCCGATTTTTAAAAAGAGGTAATAGAATTACTCCTAATTTTGTCAAAACAAAGTTGAGAAATGAAGGGTTCCTAAATACTATCTGCTGGATATGACTTATAGAGAAAGCAGGAAGGAACCTCTGCACTGAGAGTAGGAAGAGATTTTAAAATGCCCCTAAAATGTACTTAATGCCGCACAGCTATACACCTAAAAATGATCAAAGTGGTAAATTTAATTTTGTATATTATAACCACAGAAAAGTACCCATAAAAGAAAGTTAGAGCTAACACATTTCCAATTGCTAAATAATGTCAGTTTTAGAAAAATTAATATTTCATAGCACTCAAAATATATGAAGCCACATGCTTTTGTAAGACTGGTAATATCTTTCATTTTCCTGCAAAAGCAAAGGGCTCTTTAAAGGAGACATGGAAACTGTCATAAAACAGACTTGAAGTCAGATGCAGAATGATAGGCATAGAATGGATCATCAATACACCATCTTCTTGTAGAATTTTATTCAAGGTTTGGGAGCAGTAAACCAGCGAGTGTGGTTGGGCAGGACAGTGTATTTTTTTTTGAGATGGAGTTTTGCTCTTGTTGCCCAGGCTGGAGTGCAGTGGTGTGATCTTGGCTCACCACAACCTCTGCCTCCTGGGTTCAAGCAGTTCTCCTGCCTCAGCCTCCTGAGTAGCTGGGATTACAAGCATGCGCCACCATGCCTGGCTAATTTTGTATTTTTGGTAGTGATGGGATTTCTCCGTGTTGGTCAGGCTGGTCTCCAACTCCCGATCTCAGGTGATCTGCCCGCCTCAGCTTCCCAAAGTGCTGGGATTACAGGCGTGAGCCACTGCACCTGGCCAGGACAATGTTTTTTCACATCAGGCAAAAATGTCCATGAGATCTGAGTCTAGAAATATGAATCTCTGGGACTGTATTCTCCAATTTTTCTCTTTCAGATCTTCTTTTTTTTTTTTTTTTTTGAGACGGAGTCTCGCTCTGTCGCCCAGGCTGCAGTGCAGTGGCGCGATCTCGGCTCACTGCAAGCTCCGTCTCCCGTATTCACGCCGTTCTCCTGCCTCAGCCTCTCGAGTAGCTGGGACTACAGGCGCCCACCACCGCGCCCGGCTAATTTTTTTTTTTTTTTTTTTTTTTTTGTATTTTTAGTAGAGACGAGGTTTCACTGTGGTCTCGATCTTCTGACCTTGTGATCCGCCCGCCTCGGCCTCCCAAAGTGCTGGGATTACAGGCGTGAGCCACCGCGCCCGGCCGCAGATCCTCTTTCCTTCACTCCCAAACTTAGATCTTCCAGCTTTATTCATGAAGCAATCAGTGCGCAACTAACTTTTAAACTGCAGGGAGCTATACAGTTTCCTTTCCTTCAGCTATCTTGAAGAGGCAGAACACTTGCCCTCCTGGAATACAGAGGTCTTCACTGTTTCAATCTGCTGGAAAATAACTTTACATTAAAACAACTCACGATGAGTTGTGAGAAATGTGAAAGGATTGCCTCAAAAAAAAAAATCTAAAATCTTTTAAAAATTAAAAAGGAACTGGGTGTGGTAGCACACACCTATAATCTCAGTACTTTGGGAGGCCAAGGCAGGAAGGTTGTTTGAAGCCAGGAGTTCGAGACCAGCCTGGGCAGCAAAATGAGACCCTGTCACTACAAAAATAAAAAATAAATTAGCCAGGCATAGTGGCCCACACCTGTAGTCCCAGCTACTCAGGAAGCTGAGGTCGGAGGGATCCCTTGAGCCCAGGAGTTCAAGGATGCAGTGAGCTATGATCAAGCCACTGCATTCCAGCCTGGGCAACAGCAGAGCAAGATGCCATCTCAAAAAAAAAAAAAAAAAAAAAAATTAAAAGGCTTAAAAACTATAGTGTCTACTATTTCCCTTTTGTAATTTCTGAGTTATATCCATGGGAGACAGATCTGTGTATTGGCTGTAAGTATATGCTGATATTTTCTTAGGTTCCTGCTCTGGGCATTACTAGATGGGCCACTGTGTTATTGATAAATCTTGGTGATGCCTGGTTGCTGTGTTTAACAGAAATTTCATAGCTCAATGAGTTTTGGAAACTATTTTCAGGGCCAGCTGATCATTTAAAAACCAAGGTGAGACTGATCATGCAGCCTCCCCAGCTGCCATTACAGCAGGTGCCCTGCAGCAAAAGGACATTTTGTGGCCGAGCGCCATGGCCCAAGCCTGTATTCCCAGCACTTTGGGAGACTGAGGCAGAAGGATCACTTGAGGTCAGCAGTTCGAGACTAGCCTGGTCAATATCGTGAAACCCCATCTCTACCAAAAATACAAAAATTAGCCAGGTGTGGTGGCGGGCACCTGTAGTCGCAGCTACTCAGGAGGCTGAGGCAGGAGAATTGCTTGAACCCAGGAGGCGAAGGTTGCAGTGAACCAAGATTGCACCACTGCACTCCAGTCTGAGTGACAGAGTGGGACTCTGTCTCGAAAGAAGGAAAGAGAGAAAGAGAGAAAGAGAAAGAAGGAAGGGAGGGAGGGAGAAAATTTTGGTTTGGGGGAATAAGGTCAAAAGACGCCATTATGGCGAGGAGAATGTTATTTTAGTAAAAGTCACAGACTTTTGAGATTAAGGATAGAGCCGAGAGGAAGAAAGTTATTAATCTGTTTCTCTTTCTCTAAAGACCAGAACCCAGTTCAACACACACAATAAAAGTGTTCAAAATTTGGGTCCAGGAGAGGAATTCCTGTCTAAAGAATTCCATTTGAGAGGACTGCTTGAGTCCAGCAGACTGAGGTTGCAGTGAGCCAAGATCGCGCCACTGCACTCCAGCCTGGGCGACAGAGTTAGACTCTGTCTCAAAAATAAATAAATAAATAAATAAAACAAAACAAAATAAAATAAAATGTTAGGCAGGGACCTGGCTACAGTGACTGCGGGGCTGATGAGAAACTACTGAAGTTTTGGGGGAAGCAAAGCAGAATTTCATAAGAACAGTGTATGGAGAGGAGAAACCCTGTGGTGGCTGAGGAGGCCCCGAGGCCATGGATGTCAAATTGATATCTTCCAATGGTGATAACTTTATTGTAATGGTAAATTCCACTTGAAAGCACAGACGCATGCCTCCTCCTAGTTTTGTTACCGTGTATTCCAAACAGAAAACCATTGTGGGGGTAAAGGTTCGGAGAGGGGAGGGAAACGGGGATCAAAGGGATAGAGGATTTAGTTGAATGCTCAGTTTCATCCACTAACTGAGGGAAGTGTCTAAATTTGGTCTCTTGCCTGTGAGATTAAGAATAACTCACCCTAAACTGGGTGCAGTGGCACACACCTGTAGTCTCAGCTACTTTGGAGGCTGACGCAGGAGGATCACTTGAGGCCAGGAGTTCCAGGCTGCCGTGCGCCGTGATTGCACCTGTGAATAGCCACTGCACTCTTGCCTGGGCGACACAGGGAGAGCCCTCTCTAAAAAACAACAGGCCGGGAGCGGTGGCTCACGCCTGTAATCCCAGCACTTTGGAAGGCCAAGGTGGGCGGATCACCTGAGGTCAGGAGTTCGAGACCATCCTGGCCAACATGGCGAAACCCTGTCTTTACTAAAAGTACAAAAATTAGCCGAGTGTGGTGGCGGGCGCTTGTAATCCCAGCTACTCAGGGGGCTGAGGCAGGAGAAGCTTGAACCCGGGAGGAGGAGGTTGCAGTGAGCCGAGATCGCACCACTGCACTCCAGCCTGGACGACAAGAGTGAGACTCCCTCTCAAAAAACAAAACAAAAGGAAACACAACAACAACAACAACAACAAAAATCCCACCCTAGAAAGTAAGAGGACTTTGAACAATGCTACCTTGAAGCCCAGCTCCAGCCTCCTTTTGCAACCTAATGAATGCTAAAAAGCCTATTCAATGCTGTGGCAGTTTTTTTGTTTTGTTTTGTTTTTTTGAGATGGAGTCTTGCTCTTGTCACACAGGCTGGAGTGCAAGTGGCGCGATCTCGGCTCACTGCAACCTCCACCTTCCTGGGTTCAAGCGATTGTCCTGCCTCAGCCTCCCAAGTAGCTGGGATTACAGGAGCCCGCCACCAAGCCCAGCTGATTTTTTTTTTTTTTTGTATTTTTAGTAGAGACGGGGTTTCGCCATGTTGGCTAGGCTGGTCTCAAACTCCTGACCTCGTGATCTGCCTGCCTCGGCCTCCCAAAGTGCTGGGATTACAGGTGTGAGCCACCGTGCCCGGCCGTGCTGTGGCAGTTTTAAAAAAATGATGTGGATATGCAATTTTTTTAGAAAATGATTTTTAATATCATGTCTCCCTTTAAAAAGTGTAGGCGCATTCAGCCTAAAAAAGGAAATTCTGACACCTGCTACATCATGGGTGAACATTATGCATTATTGAATAATCACAAGGGCCAAATTCTGTATGATTCCAATCATTCGAGGTACCTACAGTAGTCAGTTCATGTGACAGAAAGTAGAATGGTGGTTGCCACGGGCTGGGGAGAGGGGGGAATGGGGAGTTATTGTTAATGGGTACAGAGTTTCAGTTTGGGAAGAGGAAAATAGTTGTGGAGATGGATGGTGGGATGGCTGCACAATGTGAATGTACTTGATGCCATTGAACCGCACACTTAAAAATGGTTAAAATGGTAGATTTTACTCATATATATTTAACCACAAAGTAAAACATTTTTTTAAAGTGTAGGCCTTCATCTGGTGACAGTTCATTTGCTGGCTCATTTCTAGATATTTTAACTGGGTGGTAATTTATGTCTGGTTCTTATAACATAATGTAAGACCCATAATTTGGTTTAGCTCTTAGTTAATATCTTTTGAATTGCAACTGGGGACTTGACAGTGGCTTTCTTGAAACACACCTGCAGTTTGCAAGCTGCCTGCAGCAGGTAAAAATGCGCAGTTTATTTTTATGATTAGCCTTGAGCAAGAGCTGATTAAATGCTTGATAAAATAAGTTCTTGGAAGACTTGATTTACATGGTGCTTTCCTCCTGCTTTCCCACCCCCTTTCCTTCCCTCATGAATACCACATAAAAAGCGGCAGTTTGTAATTTTTTCTCCTTTTTCAAGTATTAGTATCAAAGTAGAATGGGACCTTCATGCTTCTTCTGAACACAGTCGGGCTGCATTCCACTCTGGGAACACTCCCTCCTACCGTTTCAACCTAGGCAATCCCCTATCAAGGAAAGGGCAACTTACCCAGTCTCAAAATCAGAGTCTAAGCACAAATAGGACATTTCCTTTGTACCTTTCCCCAAACATGATGGTTTCTTTTGGGGAAGGGGTGTTGGGGAGCACACTGGGAAATAAAGCCTTCTGGTCCCCAAGTTCCTCTTTCAATTTCTGTGGTTTTCACTTCCCCTCCCATAAGAAATCCCCACGTGGGAGTAATGCTTTCTCCTCTTCCTTCCCTGTCATTTCCCTTTCATTTCTCCCCGACACCTCTCCTGGGTTTGTCTACCTGCTACTGCTACTTTCTCTGCCTTCACATCTTTATTTTTCATTTGTTTATTTTTTAGAGGCAAGATCTCACTGTGTTGCCCAAGGTGGCCTCAAACTCCTGGGCTCAAGCAGTCCTCCTACCTCAACCTCCCAAGTAGCTGGGACTACAGGCACGCCATGCTTGGCTGTCTTCATGTCTTGAGTTCCATTTCAAAAAAGGCATTGGCAGGCTGTCTTTATACCAAACACAATGCTCTACTTTCAGTATTACTCTTCATATTTGCAGTTCTCATTGGTCATTCTTGGCACTTTTTCACACCACAGACCTTGGGCGAGAATTTCCGGTTTCCCTTCTGGCTGCTTTCATTTGCTCTCCACCACCAGAGTTCTCTGGCGCTCTCTGGCTACTCACAGAGGAATTTCACAGAGGAGGTTGTGCCTCCCGCTGTTTCTCTGGAGCTACGGGTCCCCATTTCACCTCAACGGTGGCTTTTCGAAAAGTAAAAATGAAATAGAGCTTTATTGCGTAAGTTACCTCTGAAGCCAAAAACCTCATTAGGGCCTTCAAAAATTCCTGTCAAAAATTCCAATCCTGTGGCTCATACCTGTAATCCCAGCTACCCAGGAGGCTGAGTCAGGAGAATTGCTTGAGGCCAGGAGTTCAAGACCAGCCCGGTCAACCTAGTGAGATTCTGTCTCTATAATTTTTTTTTTTTTAATTAGCCAGGCATGGTGCAGCTGGCCTGTAGTCCTATGTACTTGGGAGGCTGAGGTGGAAGGATCCCTTGAGCCCAGGAGTTGGAGGCTGCAGTGAGCCATGCCAGTGCCACAGCATTCCAGCCTGGGTGAAAGAGTGAGATGCTGGCTCAAAAAAATAAAAATAAATAAAAATAAAAACATAAAAAAATTCCAGCACTTTGGGAGGCCGAGGTATGCAGATCATCTAAGGTCAGGAGTTTGAGACCAGCCTGGCCAACATGTAAAACCCCTTCTCTACCAAAAAATACAAAATTAGCCAGGTGTAGTGGTATGCCCTTGTAGTACCAGCTACTCAGGAGGCCAAGGCAGGAGAATCGCCTGAACCCAGGAAGTGGAGGTTGCAGTGAGTCAACATCATACCACTGAACTCCAGCCTAGGTGATACAGTGAGACTCTGTCTCAAAAAAAAAAAAAAAAAAATTCCAAACCTATCCCCTACATGAGCTTCTAAGCCTCATCTCAGTTGACTCTGTTTAAATGACTCTGACTTGGACTGAAAACCCACCCCTCCTGTATCTTTTCATTATAGGGTGGTGGCATGGTTAACCCTCATTCATTCACACCCCGCTATTCCAAAGTGTGTAGAATTGCCTGGACATGCTACACTAAAGTTTATTTCTGCACTTTGTTTTTCTTTTTTGCTTGCTTGTTCGAGACAGGTTCTTGGTCACCACAGCCTCAACCTCTTGGGCTCAAGTGACCCTCCTTCCTCAGCACCCCCAGTAGCTGGGACTACAAGCCCATGCTACCATGCTCAGCTAATTTTTTTTTTTTTTTTTTGTAAAGACAGGGTTTTATTATGTTGCCAAGGCTGGTCTCGAACTCCTGGGCTCAAGCAATCCTCCTGCCTCAGCCTCCTAAAGTGCTGGGATTACAGGTGTGAACCACTATGCCTGGCTTGCATTTTCTGTGTTTTGTTTTGTTTTGTTTTTTTGAGACGCAGTCTTGCTCTGTCACCCAGGCTGGAGTGCAGTGGCATGATCTTGGCTCACTGCAACCTCTGCCCCCTGGGTTTAAGTGATTCTCCTGCCTCAGCCTCTCAAGTAGCTGGGACTACAGGCGCGTGCTACCACGCCCAGCTAATTTTGGCATTTTTAGTAGAGACGGGGTTTCATCATGTTGGCCAGGATGGTCTCAGTCTCTTGACCTTGTGATCTGCCTGCCTTGGCCTCCCAAAGTGCTGGGATTACAGGTGTAAACCACGGCGGCTGGACTTAATTATTTATTTATTTATTTATTTTTTCTTTTTGACATGGAGTCTCACTTTGTCACCGAGACTGGAGTACGGCAGCACGATCTCGGCTCACTGCAACCTCTGCTTTCCCGGGTTGAAGTGATTCTCGTGCATCAGCCTCCTGAGTAGCTGGGATTATGGGCGTATGCCACCATACCCAGCTGATTTTTGTATTTTTAGTAGAGACAAGGTTTCGCCATGTTGGCCAGGCTGGTTTTGAACTCCTGGCCTCAAGTGGTCCGCCCACCTTGGCCTCCCAAAGTGTTGGGATTACAGGCGTGAGCCACTACGTCCAGCCCAGGGTGATTTTAAAAATACAGATCCTAAACCACTCAATGGTTTCCCATTATGTACAAAGTCCAAAATCTGTGGCAGTTCCTACAAGCCTTGAAGGATGCGTCTAATTCTCCGGATCTCCCTACAACCTACTCCTTTTTCTGTGCACAGGGCTCTGACTTTTCTGTCCTTTCAAAGTCAGGTTTTTCCCATGGGAAATGTTCACAGATGCTGTTCCCTCTGCCTCCATAAAGCTTTAGGTCTCGGTTTAAATGTCATTTTCTTCTCTGAACTTCCTCCGATCCCATGCCACTCCAATCCTCAGTTAAACTCTGTTCTAGCACCCTGCTTTTCCCATCAGGGCACATATTACAAGTGCTATTTATAGATTTTTGTCCAATGTCTTCCAAACTAGGCCACAATCTTCATGAGAATTTGATCACCATTGTAACCTCCAACACCTACTAAGTGCCCAGTAAATACTCATTGAGTGAAAGAATGAATGAAAGTACCAATATTCATCACACTCTTACTTCCTGAAAGAATCCTCAAATTATCACCTCATAGAATATCTGATCTTTCTTGTACTCTTCTACCCTACTACAGGAAAACACTTTACCTTTTAAAGAAAATTTAATTGACAAATAATAATCATACACGTTTATGGAGAACGTGATGCTTTGTGAACACTGTACCCTTAAAGCTCAGCCCTGATGGTGGATCTCTTCCTCTGCAAGGCAAATTAAGATGCCCCTGGACAGTTGCTGTCTTTCTCCTGACCTCCCCAGTATCCTCTGAAAATCTTTATTACAGTGCTTATTGACATGCACTACCAATTCGATTTCTGTTTCTGCACCAAGACCGATTATCTTTCGGACTCAGACCTTGCCATTCCTCTTTGTGAATGGTATAAAGTAGGCATTTCAAAAGTGACTGGAGAAGCTCTGGTGTTCCAAGAATCTCTTTTGTAGAAAAAAAAAGTTTCAGCTTGTTTAATTTCCATAGTTCTCAAAAAGTTACAACTATCCCTTAGAACAAGGCAAATACTCCAGGAGAGATTTCTTCTTAAGCTTTACAGTAATATATTAAATAATGCTTACATCCAACCCTTCTTGAGAGCTGGCTTTGACAAGTGAGTGGAAAAAGAATGAATGCTCTGCTTAATTCTGCTTTTTATCTTCTCTCTCTCTTAGAGAAACTGATCTAAAAAGAGAGGGTGGGCCAAGCACAGTGGCTCACGCCTGTAATCCCAGCACTTTGGGAGGCCGAGGTGGGCAGATCACCTGAGGTCAGGAGTTCGAGACCAGCTTCAACATGGAGAAACCCTGTCTCTACTAAAAATACAAAATTAGCTGGGCATGGTGGTGCATGCCTGTAATCCCAGCTACTAGGGAGGCTGAGGCAGGAGAATTGCTTGAACTGGGGAGGTGGAGGTTGCAGTGAGCTGAGATCACGCCATTGCACTGCAGCCTGGGCAACAAGAGCGAAACTTCATCTCAAAAAAAAAAAAAAAAGAGGGTGAGTAACTGGGGCACTGAATGTAAGCCTGTAATAAACAGCTAAGAGTACATGGAAGTTGCTTTTGTCCATATACACTAGGACATAAAAAAGAGAAGAGAAAGGAAATGCAAGACATTTCTGATTCTCTTCATGGTAATCACACAAAAGTGGAAACAAAAGAGTTAGAAAAATGCTTTCTTGGGACTTAGGAGAAATTTAAAACAGGGCAACTGATTGGTTTATTGCTAGGACACCAATCTCATACAGATCAAAATTCATACATTTTTCTTTCTCTTTGAATAACTGTCCTAAACCTAATTTTGTGGATCCATAGGGTATCTGCAGGATTCTACACATGAAAGATTCTCACTCTTAGCTCCAAAACTGTTTGACTTTTAAGCTTGGATCCTAATAAGGATTCTACTTGCTTACTTCAGTACCAAAAACTGTTGTGGAACAGTTACCATACATGGGCAGAGAAGCTCTGAGGAGGAAAAGGGGGAGGGAGAACATCACTGCAGCACAGCAGTTATATAACACACGAGGAGCGCTGCAAAAGCAAAAGGCTCCTTCTGCCTTCCTTCAAAGTATTAAATTCTAAAAATGTCTAAAAGACACCTAATATGCACATCTTAGATGCTGGGGAGTTAGTAGCTGAAATATAATAACATGCAGATATCAATTAAATCTGATAGGGTTATGTTGCTGTTTTAAATAACTTTAGATACTTGGTGTCCACAAGGAACAGTTACAGAAATACATGTGCAGTATGTTTCAGTAATGGCAGAGCAAATGTCATTTCCTTTTTCACTGACAATGAGTTATGAATGTTGACCTACAGACTGTCCCCAAATAAGATGCATTCCAATAGTTCATTTCTAAGTCAGTTACTAGGAACTCAGAACATAGTTTCCCATAGAAACAATTTTAGACGTGGTGGTTTAGATTTCCAGATATGGCCAAAGAAGCCTATTTAGTCCTAAGTAATTTTACTAAAGATAACCACCATGTATAACGATACTTTTTTATAAGAAAATATTTCCCAACTTCTAAGTTACAATTGCAATTTCTGTAACTCCTCTTCCCTTGCCCTGGAAGGTGTGCAGAATGCCCTGACTTCCAGTAAAGACGTACAGAGGCAGGTTGGGAGGTGGTAGTGGGGTGGGCAGGGAAAAGTAGGCTCTTCCAGTGCAAAAGTAAGGACTCTGAGATGGAAGTGAACTCTGGTGGAGTCTGGGCCCTGCAGGGCTGTGCGCCTGTGCCAGTAACCTCCGCAACTATACATTGAGGATGTATCTCTTTCTAGTAGGAACTCCCTAAATGTTCAGAATGATGTAACTACCTTCTATTGATCACATACTCTATATACTAGAGCACAGAGTTAATTGCTGTATCTACCTTATTTCTCTTAATTCTCCAAGCATGCTCAACGTCTGTGAGGCCAATTGTTATCTGCCTTCAAGAAAGAGGACACGAGCTGGGCGTGGTGGCTCATGCCTGTAATCCCAGCACTTTGGGAGGCCGAGGCGGGAGGATCACTTGAGTCTAGGAGTTTGAGACCAGCCTGGGCAATGTGGTGAAATCCCATCTCCAAAGAAAAAATACAAAAGTTAGCCGGGCATGGTGTCATGTGCCTGTAGTCCCAGCTACTCAGGAGGCTGAGGTGGGAGGATTGCTGGAGCCTGGGAAGTCGAGACTGCAGTGAGCTGTGATTTTACCACTGCACTCCAGCCTGGGCAACAGAATGAGACCTTGTCTCAAAAAGAAAAAAAAAAAGGACATGAATGAAGGCTTAGGAATGTTAAGTAACTTGCCTAACTTTATATAGTTAGAGCCAGAACTGGAACCCAAGCTGGCTTTACTCCAAATCCACTTATTCTATACTCAAATCCAGAGATTTGAGGAACATTTCCAACAGCTTATTTAGTTTCCCAGTTAACAGCTTTAACTGAGGCAATAATCATCACCCGCAATGAATGGACTGGATTAACTCATTCAAGAAATATTAAGTGCCTTCTATGTGGACCATTCAAGGAGGAAGGTGCTAGAAATGTAGTGGATACAAGACATCCAAACATGAACATTTGGGTAACTTTATGAAGATGACCAGTGCCAGAGGAATGTACATACCTTACATTGTTATTTAGTTCAGAGTAAGAGCTGAAGGGTGGTTTCTGTGACCTGGAATTATCACAGAAGGCCTCATCAAGGAGGTTGGACTTAAGCTGTGCCTTGAAGAAATGGGTTTAGATAGAGGGCATGCCTGATGGAGGGCTCACGGAAGCACACTTGCATGCTAATGATTTTTAAAATTTAGAGTGGAAGTTGAAAATACTGGGGCCAGAAGGTGCAGGTGTGATCGTGCCACTGCACTCCAGCCTGGATGACAGAGTAAGACTCTGTCTCAAAAAAAAAGTTAACTTTTCACATATTTCAACAGAATATTTAGAAGCAGTGACAACTATATCGCAATGTTAACAATGTTATAATAAGGTCACTTTAGGAGTAAGGTGGTATGTTGGAATTAAATATATTTTGAAGGGACAGATGGCCTTGAAAAGAAGGTGATCCTCCCACCTCAGCCTCCCAAGTAGCTGGGACTACAGGCGCACACCACCACACCAGGCTAATTTTTATATTTTTAGTAGAGACTGGGTTTCACCATGTTGGCCAGGCTGGTCTCACATTCCTAGGCTCCTCCTGCCTCAGTCTCCCAGAGTGCTGGGATTATAGGTGTGAGCCACTGTGCCTGGCCCATACTGTCTTTTTAAAAAATTTTGTTCTAAACAAAAATTTATTTATCCTACCTTCCTGCTGAAGATATAGCACTTTCAATTATGGTTATGCAAAATAATTTTATTCCCTGAAGCTGTGTTACATCAAAGATTGACACTTTTCCAAAAAAGAAGTTATTTTTCTGGATCTTATTAACGTAAGCATCGTTATAAAAACTATATTTTTATCTGTAACAAACAGACAGACAGGCCTTTTTGATCCTTGTACATATAAACATTTTGTTAGGGTACTTAAAGGCAAAATAATTGTTCCAGTTGACCTAAGAATCAAATCAAATCTAAGCAAGTTAAATTCAGTCAGGTGTGAGTTTCCAGAGCTCACAGGAAACACATGCAAGCAAGAAGTACATTTACTTAAACACAGCAACAACCACAACTGAACAGAGAAAAAACCGCACATCTGTTCAATTTAAATGAGTTAAAAGTTCCTATAGTTACTTTTCAAAATGTTGTGAGAAACATGATGCCTTCCAAGTTCAGGCTTGCAAAACAGCTCACCCTTTCTGCATCAGATTCAGCCTCCAAACTGGTAACTTATATTCTAAAGAGGTTTTCCAGAAAGCATTTGGGATTTAACTTTAGAAAGCCAATTTTTTTTCTTTCATGAAACAGTGTCTCGCTCTGTCACCCAGGCTGGAGTACAGTGGTGCGATCATTGTTAACTACATCCTTGACCTCCTAGGCTCAAGCGGTCCTCCCACTTCAGCCTCCTGAGTGGCTGGGATTATTATAGGCATGGGCCACCATGCCTAGCTAATTTTTGTATTTTTTGTACAGATGGGGTTTCACCATGTTGGCCAGGCTTGTCTTGAACTGCTGAGCTCAAGTGATCTGCCAGCCTTGGGTTACCAAAGTGCTGAAATTACAGGTGTGAGCCACTGCGCCCAGCCTAGAAAGCCAATTTTTAACCTAAAGACATATAAATATTCATTAGAAATTTTCTTCTGCATTAATTAATTCCAACTAAAAGGCAGGTTTTTTTTTTTTTTTTTTGAGACAGAGTCTCGCTCTGTCGCCCAGGATGGAGTGCAGTAGCGTGATCTCGGCTCACTGCAAGCTCCGCCTCCTGGATTCACACCATTCTCCTGCCTCAGCCTCCCGAGTAGCTGGGACTACAGGCACCCGCCACCACACCTGGCTAATTTTTTGTATTTTTAGTAGAGACAGGGTTTCACCGTTTTAGCCAGGATGGTCTCAATCTCCTGACCTTGTGATCCGCCCGTCTCAGCCTCCCGAAGTGCTGGGATTACAGGCATGAGCCACTGCGTCTGGCCAAAAGGCAGGTTTTTTTTGTTTCTGTTTTTGTTTTTTCTTTTTTGAGACAGAGTCTTATTCTGTCACTCAGGAGTGCAGTGGCATAATCATGGCTCACTGCAGCATTATACTCCTGGGTTTAAATGATCCTCTTGCCTCCCGAGTAGCTAGAACTACAGGCACACACCAGTACACCCACATAAATCCTTTTAATTTTTTGTAGAGACAGGGTCTCATTTTGTTGCCCAGGCTGGTCTTTAACTCCTGGGCTCAAGCGATCCACTTGCCTTGGCCTTCTAAAGTGCTGGGATTACAGGCGTAATCCTCCGCACAGGACCCTAAAAGGTAGTATTTTTAACAAATTTTATTTTTTTATTTATTTATTTTTTTTGAGACGGAGTCTCACTCTGTTGCCCAGGCTTGAGTGCAGTGGCGTGATCTCGGCTCACTGCAACCTCCGCTTCCCAGGTTCAAGTGATTCTCCTGCCTCAGCCTCTGGAGTAGCTGGGACTATAGATGCCTGCCACCACACCCGGCTAATTTTTGTATTTTTAGTAGAGACAGGGTTTCACCATATTGGCCAGGCTGGTCTCGAACTCCTGACCTTGTGATCCGCTCGCCTCGTCCTTCCAAAATGCTGGGATTACAGGCATGAGCCACCGCGCCTGGCCAATAAATATGTTTTTTATAATAGATACCCAGCTCATTTTATATAAATCTTTTTTTTTTTTTTTTTTTAAGGAGTCTTGCTCTGATACCAAGGCTGGAGTGCAGTGGCACGATCTCAGCTCACGGCAACCTCTGCCTCCCGGGTTCAAGTGATTCTCCTGCCTCAGCCTCCGGAGTAGCTGGGAGTACAGACATGCACTACCAGGCCCGGCTAATTTTTGTATTTTTAGTAGAGATAGAGTTTTGCTGTGTTGGCCAGGCTGATCTCAAACTCCTGACCTCAGGTATCTGACCACCTCGGCTTCCCAAAGTGCTGGTATTACAGTCATGAGCCACTGTGCCCAACCCACAAATCTTTTTAATAAAAAACTTACTTAAGAGTTCATTTCTGAAACCCGTTGGAAAAAGCAATTTTAGAAGTCCTCAAAGCCATTACCTTTCCTCTTCTTTTCTATAAAATTCAGCTCTATCTTACATCTCACATTCCTTTTCGAGGATCAATTCTTTCTGAATATGAACTCTTTTCTTCTTTTTTGTCAAGGAATTCATCCTTAGATTTCCCACAAATGTGCAAACAGATATATTTAGAAATGTTCTCTGAGGCCAGACAAGGTGGCTTACGCCTCTAATCCCAGCTCTTTGGGAGGCTGAGGTAGGAGGATCACCTGAGCCCAGAAGTTCAGGACTGGCCTGGGCAAGATAGGGAGATCCCCATCTCCACAAATAATTTAAAAATTAGCCAGGTGTGGTGGCATGAGCTGTGATCATGTCACTGCACCTCAGCCTGGACAACAGAGCAAGACCATATCAAAAAAAAAAAAAAAAGAAAAAAAAAGTTCTTGAAAATATTGTCTGAAATACCATGAAACTGAAAACACACCAAATGTTCATCAATTTTGGTTTAATAAACTACAGTATATCTTTTTTTTTTTTTGAGACAGAGTCTCGCTCTGTCCTCCAGGCTGGAGTGCAGTGCTGTGATCTCAGCTCACTGCAAGCTCCACCTCCCAGGTTCACGCCATTCTTCTGCCTCAGCCTCCCGAGTAGCTGGGACTACAGGCACCCACCACCACGCCCGGCTAATTTTTTTTTGTATTTTTAGTAGAGACGGGGTTTCACCGTGTTAGCCAGGATGGTCTCGATCTCCTGACCTCGTGATCTGCCCGTCTCGGCCTCCCAAAGTGCTGGGATTACAGGCATGAGCCACTGCGCCTGGCCAATAAACTATATCATTATGAAGAAATACTATATAGCAAGTAAGACAAACGAGGTAAATCTATGACTAATATGTGAAGATGTCCAATAATCATTTTATTGACTGTTTTTTGAATCAGGGTCATTAATTTATTTCTTATATTTTGAATGGAAGTCTCTGTTGCCCTGGCTGGAGTGCAGTGGCGTGGTCATGGCTCACCGCAGTCTTGAACTCCTGGGTTCAACTGATCATCCCACTTTGGCCTCCCAAAGCTGCGATTACAGGCATGAGCCACTGTAACTGGCTCAGTAACAGTTTTAAATGAAAGATAAAACAATGTTGACCAATATGTACAGAATTATCTAATTTTTGTTTTTGTTCTTGTTTTAAAATTATAGTTAAGTATCTTTTTTTTTTTTTTTCCCTGAGATGGAGTCTCACTCTGTTGCCCAGGCTGGAGTGCAGTGGCGTGATCTCGGCTCACTGCAACCTCTGCCCTCCAAGTTCAAGCGATTCTCCTGCCTCAGCCTCCTGAGTAGCTGATATTACAGGCGCCTGCCACCGTGCCTGGCTAATTTTTTGTATTTTTAGTAGAGACAGGGTTTCACCATCTTGGCCAGGCTGGTCTTGAACTCCTGACCTCGTGATCCACCTGCCTCGGCCTCCCAAAGTGCTGGGATTACAGGTGTGAGCCACCGTGCCTGGCCTATAGTTGAGTATCTTTAGAGACCAAATAGTCCCAATGCTACATAAATTGTTTTGGGACCTATGAAAGGAAAGAAAACTTCTAATAAATATATATATATATATATGTGTGTGTGTGTGTGTGTGTGTTTGTGTATTTTAGATGGAGTCTCACTCTGTTGCCCAGGCTGGAGTGCAGTGATATGATCTTGGCTCACTGCCACCTCCACCTCCCTAGTTCAAGCAATTCTCCTACCTCAGTCTCCCTAATAGCTGGGATTACAGGTTCACACCACCACGCCCGGCTAATATTTGTATTTTTAGTAGAGACAGGGTTTCACCATGTTGGCCAGGCTGGTCTTGAACTCCTGACCTCAGGAGATCTGCCCGCCTTGGCCTCCCAAAGTGCTGGGATTACAGGCTTGAGCCACCGCGCCCGGGCTCCACTACAGTTTTATGAGTAATATTAGCCAATGCAAATGAATAAGAGAAAACAATTAGAAGGATAAGATTGAAAGAGAACTAAAACTATGTCCATTTGAAGATTATGCCTGGAAAAAGATTATACCTGGAAAAAGACAATATACCTGAAAATTTTCAGAGAATTAATTATAAAATAAACAAGAATTTAACAAGAAGCAGAGTATAAAAGTAATGTGCAAAATCAATAGGCTTCAGATACATAAATAAGGCTAAATAGGAGGAAAAATGGAAGAGAACACCCCATTTAGAATGGCAACAACAACAACAACAAAATACTTAGGAATATATATGAGAAATGTGAAAAATCTACGTGAAGAAAACGACAAAACTGCCAGAAAAAACAAAAATGTACTTGAGCAAATAGAAAGGCATCCTTTTTTCTTGGATAGAATGTTTCATCATCATCAAGATATCAGTTCTGCTTAATTTATAAATGTAATACAATCTCAATAAAAATAGAGCCAATTTTTTTTTTTTTTTAAGAGGAGAAGAGGAGACTTTATTTCTTAGGATTACAGCCTCAAGGCAGGTATTTTTCCTGGAATTAGAAAGTTGAAACTAAAGTTTGAGCTCAAGTCAGTTTGTCAACTCAGAACGAAACTGTGACTTAAAGGAGAAAGCATGCTCGCGTCCCTCTAATACATGAACTCACTACCTTATAATCCTATTGAGACAGTCCCACTTACCTCTAGCTGATTTGCTGCCATATGGAATGAAGACTTAGGGTTGCCAAATCATCCAGTTTCCAAAAGAAGCTGAACATCTCAATTTGCAAGTGACATTTTACAGTCTGAATATATTTGCAACTAATTTAAATGAAAAATAAAATACATTTTGGGAAAAATAAAATACATCTTGCAGATCATATCTACTTCACAGGCTGTTTTTGACCTTTCAGGGATTGGTAAACTTTTTCTGGAAAGGGTCAAATAGCAAACATTTTAGGCTTTGCAGGCCACTACCAGTCTCTGTCCCATATTCCTGTTTATTTTTATACTATTAAAAAATGTAAAAAGACAGTAAAAATAGACCTTGGGTTTGGCCCTCAGTGTGGTAATTTACTAATCTTGGTTAACAGAAACCATTAGCCTTGAGATTCAACAATGAGTACCTTGGAAGGAGACAGCAAGCCACTTCCATCTCTGACCTCTATCTCTCAGTTATTTTATTTTTTTTTTGGAGTCTCGCTTTGCCACCCAGGCTATAGTACAATGGCATGACCTTGGCTCACTGCAACCTCTGCCTCCTGGGTTCGAGGATTCTCCTGACTCAGCCTCCCGAATAGCTGGGATTACAGGCGCCCACTACTACACCCAGCTAATGTTTGGATTTTTAGTGGAGATGGGGTTTCACCATGTTGGCCAGGCTGGTCTTGAACTCCTGACCTCAGGTGATCCGCCTGCCTTGGCCTCCCAAAGTGCTGGGATTACAGGTGTGAGCCACCGCGCCCGGCCTTCTCTCACAATTTTTTTTTTAAACTTATGCTGGGATAAGTATAATATATAGATTCACTGCAGTGGGTCATTTTGTAATGCAGTGCTTTTTCTTTCTGGCAAATAAACAATATCCAGAAGCATATCCTGAAAGGGAGTTTATGCATAATATTGCGATGTCATCCCACCATCTGTCACATTTTAACTGCTCTTACAGATGGTACCATATCAACTGAAAAATGTTTTCTAGATACTTTACTTCAGTCATGGCTCTCAAAAAACAGTATTATCAGATTTACAATTTAGACTTTTCTGCTCAAGAATTATTAGGGTGGTTCTTGCTTCTTGACTGGCAGCTATACTCATTTCCTTTTTTAACCCTTTAAAGAGAATCATGTTTCTGTTTTTCTTTAGAGACAGGATCTCATTCTATTGCCCAGGTTGGAGTGCAGTGGGGCAATCACAGCTCAGTGTGGCCTCAAACTCCTGGGCTCAGGTGATGCTCCTGCCTTAGCCTCCTGTTAGCTGGGACTACAAGTGTGCGCCACCACAACTGGCTAATTTTTTTTTTTTCATAGAGATGGGGTCTCGCTATGTTGCCCAGGCTGGTCTCGAACTCCTGGCCTCAAGGGATCCTCCCACCTGGCCCTCACAAAGCACTGGGAATTATAGGTGTGAGCCACTGTGCATGTCTGAAAATCATGTTTGATAAAGTAAAGAACAATAGCATATATTTCTGAGACAGGCCAAGAACTGTATAATCCCACTAGATTAATGATGTGGTCAACATCAGGAGAAAAGTCTTACCCAATTCGTCCTTACAGAGTGCTTTGGTCCTGGTCTAACCTCAGAACAGACATTTCACAGATTTGATCTGGCCTTGGACAATTGTGAAACTTACCAGGAGACTGTAAAAACTTTTTTAGAATCCCTTAAGAATAGGACAGATATTATTTGAGATTTAAAAAAAAAAAACACATAAAAGAGGTTGATAGGATGCCTTTTAAACTTCACAATTCATTGAAAAGACACTGGGATTATCATTTATAGCATGATTTACTGAATCAAATTTGGTCCTGGATAACTTGTAATATGATTCTAGGTCTACCCAAGTTGTCCTAAATCTTCAAATCAGTAACAAAACCAACCCAAGACTAAGGATTACCTTGAGCTTAGCTAGACTCACGCCCCTGGGCTGCTGTTTTCTTTCTTTTTTAAATTTATTTAAAAGACAGGGTCTCACTATGCTGCCCAGGCTGGCCTCGAACTTCTGGGCTCAAGCAATCCTCCCACCTCTACCTCCTCCGTAGCTGGGTGATATGGTTTGGCTGTGTCCCCACCCAAACCTCATCTTGAATTGTAGTTCCTATACTCCCCACTTATCATGAGAGGGACCCGGTGAAAGGTCATTGAATCATGGGTCAGTTACCCCCATGCTGCTGTTCTCGGGATAGTGGGTGAGTTCTCACAAGATCTGATGGTTTTACAAGGGGCTTTCCCCTCTTTTGCTTGGCACTTCTCCTTGCTGCTGTCACGTGAAGGACATGTTTGCTTCCCCCTCCGCTGTGATTGTAAGTTTCCTGAGAACCTCCCCTGCCATGCTGAACTGTGAGTCAATTAAACCTCTTTCCTTTATAAATTTCCCAGACTGGGGTATGTCTTTATTAGCAGCGTGAGAACGGACTAATACACTGGGACTACTGGCACAGGCTACCATGCCTGGCTTCCTGCCTTCTTAACTAGTATCTCGAACTTCAGGTGAGAATAAACTCAAATACCGCTCTTAAAGATTAACAACAGTGATGGACAGGAGCAGGTAAGTCAGCTGTTAAACAGAGAGCCAGTGGTTAAACGCAGCCAGCATTAAAGATGAAGTTATGTAAAGGATGATGAACTGTATATTAAAAACAAAGACGCCAAATACTGAAGAGTGATAACTCCCTAAGTACTTCACTACATTTTACCGTTCCCTGTGCTGTTGAGTTTTATTATCTACCTCATCTTTATGGTGGAGGTACTACATAATGGTGTGCTGCCGAGCATCTCTTCCCCTTCTCTACTGGCATTGCACTGGTAACCTCAAATCGGCTATGCTGGCAGTACTTACACCACGCAAGTAGGCAAACACTATAAGTCAGCTTCCCTCTTCCAGACAGCCAGCTATTAAACTTAGCAGCACACTGCTGGCTAAAGATGCTACAGCCTCTGGTTAGCTCATGTATAGACCCCCATCTCACTCACTCTCGTGCTAGCCCTATAGAGAACTAAATTCTTAAAAGTTAACTAAATATTAAACAGCATCTTTTAGAGATCATTAGAAATGGTTTCTTTTTTGAACACACATACTTCCTTTCTAAACAAGTATCTTTTATAATAATGGCAATTGGGCCTGAGAAGTTTTGGAATTCCCACGATTAGTTTTAGAAAAATTGGTTATTTTTATTTTTTGTCCTCTGTCTCTTACATCAAATACTTTCTCTTGTCAGAAGAGCTGTTGCCTAAGGCAACATAAACTGGCCTCATGAACAAAGATAGGCCAATTTGCTCCCCACCAACCTCCAGGAAGTGATTAAGTAGGCCCAGAGCAACTCCATGCAATACAAAGGCCAGATTCACTAACAAATGGTTTGGATGCCATTTGGGTCATTTCAGACATATGGAGTATTTCACTCGAGTTACTTAAAAGAATATCAAAATTGGACAATGTAAAAAAAATAAGCCTGTGTGTAAAGGGCATTACATACGTTTTGATTTTATTTCTTTAGATGTGGAGTGCCTGCAAATTATCTAAATAGCCAAGCTGAACTATAAAAAGATATATACGTGGGATATGTCATTTTTAACCTACTCTTTTTTAGATAGCTGAAAAAAACCCTAAAATTCTATATAGCTGGTGATGTGTGCTATACAAAGACAACTACAGTCATCCACTGTTTAACAACAGTGTCAAGAACAGACTACATACATCATGGTGGTCCTATGAGATTATAATGGAACTGAAAAATTCCTACCACTTAGTGACATCGTAGCTGCGGCAATGTCTTAGTGCAACACATGACTCGTGTTTGTGGTGATGATGGTGTAAACAAACCTACTGCACTGCCAGCTGAATAAAAGTGTGGCAATACAAGTATGTATAGTACGTAATACTTGACAATGATAATGACGATGTTACTGGTTTATGTATTTTCCATGTTTTTAGAGTGTACTCCTTTTACTTATTAAAAGAAGTTCGGCCGAGTGCAGGGCTCATGCCTGTAATCCTCGCACTTTGGGAGGCCAAGGTGGGCGGATCATCTGAGGTCAGGAGTTCGAGACCAGCCTGACCAACATGGAGAAACCCCATCTCTACTAAAAATACAAAATTAGCTGAGCATGGTGGTGCATGCCTGTAATCCCAGCTACTCAGGAGGCTGAGACAGAAGAATCGTTTGAACCCAGGGGTCGGAGGTTGCAGTGAGCTGAGATCGTGCCATTGCACTCCAGCCTGGGCGACAGAGCGAAACTCCGTCTCAAGGAAAACAAAAACAAAACAAAACAAAACAAAAAGCTCACTGTAAAACAGCCCCAGGCAGGTCCTTCGGGAGGTTTTCCAGAAGAAATTCTCTTCATAGGAGATGGCAGCTCCATGCATGTTGTTGCTCCTGAAGACCTTCCTGTGGGACAGATTGTGGAGGTGGAAACAGTGATATTGGTGATCCTGAACCTGTGTAGGCCTACGCTAATGTGTGTGTTTGCCTTGGTTTTTAACAAAAAGTTTTTAATTTTTTTTTTTTTTTTTAGTCAGGGTTTCACTCTGTCATTCATGCTGGAGTCAGTGGCATGATCTCACTCAATGCAACTTCTGACTTCCAGGATCAAGCGATCCTCCCACCTCAGCCTCCCGAGTAGCTGGGACTACAGGTACGTACCACCACATCCAGCTAATTTTTATATTTTTTTGTATAGGCAGGGTTTCATCATGTTTCCCAGGCTGGTCTCGAATTCCTGGGCTCAAGAGATCCGCCTGCCTCGGCCTCCCAAAGTGTTGGGATTACAAGTGTAAGCCACCACACACAGATAATTTTTTTTTTTTTTTGAGACGGAGTTTCGCTCTTGTTGCTGACTGGAGTGCAGTGGTGTGATCTCGGCCCACGCAACCTCTGCATCCCAGGTTCAAGCGATTCTCCTGCCTCAGCCTTCCCAAGTAGCTGGAATTATAGGCCCCCACCACCATGCCTGACTAATTTTTTCTTTTTTTTTAGTAGAGATGGAGTTTCACCAGGTTGGCCAGGCTGGTTTCGAATCCCTGACCTCAGGTGATCCACCTGCCTTGGCCTCCCAAAGTGCTGAGATTACAGGCGTGAGCCACCACACCTGGCCTCAAAAATTTTAAAATTTATTATTTTTAATATTTAATTTTTTTAATAAAAATATTTTTGTACAGCTGTACGTTTTAAATTAAATGTTTTACAAGAGTCAAAACATTTAAAAAATTTAAATTTATAAAGTAAAAAATTGTAGTAAGCTAAGGTTATTACAGGAAAAAAGTTTTATAAATTTAGTGTAGCCCAAGTGTACAGTGTTTACAAAGTCTAGAGTAGTATGTAGTCATGTCCTAGGCCTTCACATTCACCCACCACTCACTCACTCAGAGAAACTGTTTTTTTTTTTTTTTTTTGAGATGGAGTCTCACTCTGTCGCCCAGGCTGGAGTGCAGTTGCGCAATCTAGGCTCACTGCAACCTCTGCCTCCCGGGTTCAAGCAATTCTCCTGTCTCATCCTCCTTAGTGGCTGGGACTGTCGGCGCTTACCAACACGGCTGGCTAATTTTTGTATTTTCTTTTTTAGCAGACAGGGTTTCACCATGTTGGCCAGGATGGTCTTGATCTCTTGACCTTGTGATCCGCCCTTCTCGGCCTCCCAAAGTGCTGGGATTACAGGCATGAGCCACGACACCTGGCCACTCAGAGCAACTTCTTGTCCTGCAAGCTCCATTTATGGTAAGTGCCCTTGACAGGTGTGCTACTTTTATCTTTTATACTGTATTTTTTTTTTTTTTTTGAGACAGAGTCTCGCTCTATTGCCCAGGATGGAGTGCAGTGGTGCAATCTCAGCTCACTGCAACCTCTGCCTCCTGGGTTCAAGCAATTCTCGTGCCTCAGCTTACCTGAGTAGCTGGGACTACAGGTGCGCACCACCACACCTTGCTAACTTTTTTTATTTTTAGTAGAGACAGGGTTTTGCTATGTTGGCCTGGCTGGTCTCGAAGTCCTGACCTCACGTCATGCACCTGCCTTGGCCTCCCAAAGTGCTGGGATTACAGGGCGGTCCTATACTGTGTTTTTACTATATTTTTTCTATGTTTAGATATGCAAATACTTACCATTGTGTTACAATTGCCTACAGTCTCCAGTACCATAATATGCTGTATAGGCTTGCAGCCTAGGAGCAGTAGGCTATACCATCTAGTCTAGGTGTGTAGTAGGCTATACCATCTAGCTTTATGTAAGTACACTTTGTAATGTTAGCACAATGACGAAATGGCTTAATGATGCATTCCTTAAAACATATCCCCATTGATAAGTAACACATGACTGTATATCATCTTATAAAAAGTACATAAATCAGGACAAATGGCCATGCACTTGTTCTTTCCAATAGAAAGTTATCAAAAACTCAAAAGAAAAAAGTAGTTTTCATGTCTGAGGAATTACTACTTAACTAAATTTGAGGAATACCAACTTTCTGTATTTTTTTTTGTGGGAAATTTGCAAAGATAATGCAGAATACTGAGTTCAGTCACTGTTGGGAAATAGGAGAGCAGCCATTAGGATTTCAAAGGTTATTTCCAAGCATTTAGGTGTGTGTATATGTATGATGGATCCTTCAAATACACTTTTTTTTTTTTGAGACAGAGTCTTGCTCTGTTGCCCAGGCTAAAGTACAGTGGCACAATCTCAGCTCACTGCAACCTCCACCTCCTGGGTTCAAGCAATTCTCCTGCCTCAGTCTCTCAAGTAGTTGAAATTACTTTTTGTATTTTTAAGAGAGACGGGGTTTTGCCATGTTGGCCAGGCTGGTCTTGAACTCCTGAGCTCAAGTGACTGCTCCTGAGCTCAAGTGAAGCTGCCTGCCTCGGCTTCCCAAAGCGCTGGGATTACAGGTGCGAGCCACCATGCCCAGCCCAAATATACCCTTAATAGTTAATATTAATATTTAAACAAAACTAAAGCATTATCACGTCATGGTTTTGATCTTAAAAAAAAAATCATTTGTAAATCTGCCTGGACTGAGATGGATGGATTTTTATTGTCCTACTTTGATGAGCACTGGGGGGATATGGTTATCATCCTGCTTTTGTTCTACCAAAAGGGGTGAAGAACATCTGCATTTTACACTTTATTTAACATTAATAAAATGATAAACACAGTTACAGGCAAACGACAATTCAGTACACTTAGTTAGATAATAGTTTAAAATTTACATATTCACAAGCTTGTACATCCTTCACCACCATGGAATATTTTAGTCTATGTAGTCAAAGTCTTCTGGAATTCCAAAAGTTCTATCAATTTTATTTTCTTCAAACCCAAATTTTCTTTTGGCCCAAGATTTTATTGCGAATATGTTATCTATAAAGAAAATTGAGAAATAATTTTGAGAAAAACACAATCATAAAACATTTCAAGTATAATTATCTTCATTGTTCTTTTACTTCCTTCTATTAACTTTCAGATATATCAAAATAAGGAGTTTTCTGTATTTTTAAGAGTAATGGCAACTAATTAAAAAGTACTTAAGGCCAGGTGCGGTGGCTCATGCCTGTAATTCCAGCACTTTGGGAGGCCGAGGCAGGGTGATCATGAGGTCAGGAGTTTGAGACCAGCCTGGCCAATATGGTGAAACCCATCTCTACTAAAAATACAAAAATTAGCCAGGCATGGTTGGTGGCGGGCACCTGTAATCCCAGCTACTCGGGAGGCTGAGGCAGGAGAATCGTTTGAACCTGGGAGGCGGAGGTTGTGGTGAGCCGAGATCACACCATTGCACTCCAGCCTGGGCAACAGGAGTGACACTCCGTATCAAAAAAAAAAAAAGTATTTAAATACTATTTTGAACAAGTTAATAGATCTCATATTTAAAAATTCTGTAAGCTGCTTGCTGCTAAATACCAGACTTAAGAATAATAGAAAAACAGGGACAGGTTAATGGTGTCTCTTCTACATTTCCACAGCAGAGGCCAGGACTGTTGCCTCAGGAATTAAAGTTGCTCCTATTCCCAAAGGGAACACATTCTCTCCAGACTCTTCTTCCTGTCCTACAGACAGTAATGGCTTCCAGACAATCAGGCCAGTACTAGGGAGAGGGGGTGGGGAGCAGGGAAAGGGGTTCTCTTAAGACTAAGAACAGAAATGTCCTCAGCATCTCCTGGGGGGATTTAAAATGCATTAACAACTGAAAAAAAGTGGTATGTCTACTTCAAGGGATTTATCCCAAGGAAATAAAACAAACTGTGTACAAGGACTTTTGGTCAAGGGTCTTTATCCCAGTGCCATAATAGAAAAAATAAAAGCAATCTAAATGTCTACTCATCAGGAAGCTAGTGAGGGAGGCAGGACCGTGACAGTGTGCTCACAGTGGCTGCACTGGGGAGGGTGGGAGGAACAGTGGATTTTTTTTCCTTTTTTTTTTTTTCCCCTTGAGACAGGATCTTGCTTTGTCTCCCAGGCTGGAGGGCAGTGAGTGGTATAATCTCAGCTCACTGCAGTCTCCACCTTCTAGGCTCAGGCAACCCTCCAACCTCAGCCCCACGAGTGGCAGAGACAACAGGCGTGCACCACCATACCCGGCAACTTTTGTATTTTTTGTAGGGATGAGGTTTCACCATGTTGCCCAGGCTGGTCTTGAACTCCAAGCCCAAGAAATCCACCCACCTCGGCCTCCCAAAATGCTGGGATTACAAGTGTGAGCCACCGTGTCCAGCCTTTCTTTTCTTAATTTCATACATTTCTTTAATGTACATACACAACCTTTATGATGAAAATGTATTACACTCACAGAAAAAATAATGGTATAAGATTTTATAGCTTGTCGGAGTATTCTGTAAAATGTTAAACACTCTGTTAGTAGTGATAATGAAGTAAAGGGTTAGAATAGGTTCTTCTGGAATGTTATGGGCTGAATCATTTCCCCCCAAATTTGTATGTTGAAGTCCTAGCCCCTACTACCTCAGAATGTGACTATATTGAAACAGATCTTTAAAGAGGTGATCAAGTTAAAATGAGGTCATTGGGGTGGGCCCTAATCCAGTAGGATTGGTATCTTTATAAGAAAAGGATCATGAGGTCAAGAGATCGAGACCATCCTGGCCGACATAGTAAAATCCTGTCTCTACTAACAATACAAAAAGATTAGCTGGACATGGTGGTGTGCGCCTGTAGTCCCAGCTATTCCAGAGGCTGAGGCAGGGGAATCGCTTGAACCCGGGAGGCAGAGGGTGAAGTGAGCAAAGATTGCACCACTACACTCCAGCCTGGCGACAAAGCAAGACTCCGTCTCAAAAAAAAAAAAAAGAAAAAAAAGAAGAAAAGGATTGGCTGGTTGCGGTGGCTCACGCCTGTAATGCCAGCACTTTGTGGGGCCGAGGCAGGCAGATTGCCTGAGGTCAGGAGTTCGAGAGACCAGTCTGGCCAACATGGTGAAACCCCGTCTCTACTAAAAATACAAAAAAAATTAGCCGGGCATGGTGGTGTGCGCCTATAATCCCAGCTACTCGGAAGGCTGAGGCAGGGAAATTGCTTGAACCAGGGAGGTGGAGGTTGCGATGAGCTGAGATTGCACCACTGCACTCCAGCCTGGGCGACACATCAAGACTCCATTTCAAAAAAAAAAAAAAAAGGAAATTTGGACACATGGAGAGACACAGGAAAAACTGTGAGAGGACACAGGGAGAAGGAAGACCTGGAGAAACCAAACCTGCCAACATCTTGATCTTGAAATTTGATCCTCCAGGATGGTGAGAAAAATTTCTGTTGTTTAAGCCACCCTATCTGTGATGTTTTGTTGCGGCATCTCTAGCAAACTAATACATGGAGTTTCATCACTTTTTAAAATATTTTTTCTATGGAAGTTTATTTCCAAGTATCAAATATTGATAAACACATTTCTGGAATGAATTTTATGGAGAATACTACTGCATCAAATAGAATAATGTTAACAAAATTAACTTCTTTCAATCAAAGTGTTATGGAATGTCAACAGATATTAAAATGATCTTTACTCTTTGTAACAATCTAAAATGAATCTTTACTTTTCCTAACAACCTAAGAGAGAATGTTAAAATAACACCATAAGATATTCTAGGATAATTTTTACCAGTCTCTGCCCAACCAGTACATTCTTGCTAATCACATCCAAATGTTATGTCTGCTGCTACATAAGACAAGTATCAGGTGCACTGCAGGTATTACAGAATGTGAAAAACCTATGCCTTCAAGTTGACATAAGAGTGAAAAAAAATAATTTATTACTAAACAATTACAAAGTGATAGGTGTCTCAGAGAGAAAAGGCCAAGTCTTATGTGTATAGCTTACAGGATAGGCTTCATGAATACAGAAAGATTTCTAGGAAATGAGAGAACAGATACAACAATGTAGGAAGCTTGTAGGGAACAAACTTCAAACCTGGATCAGAAATGAGAATGAGGCACCAGGGTAAGACTATTGAACAGCCTCTACAGGAAGGATTTCCTGATTCATAGGAGGATAAGAAACCATTTCATTATAAACATTTAAAGGTTAAAAGCAAGAAAAAGAACAAATAAAAACCTCTCCACAACAATGCCTAATGGACCAATTCAAAGAAGACTCTGATTAAACATTTCTTTGAGCCACTGGATGTCGGCCTTCAAGATAAAATGCCACTGAGAATCTTGATAGTTCATTCTCTGTCAAATAATTTCCCTATTTAATGTAGAAATTTTTATGAATGGATATAGAATAATTTTTTTCTTTTAAAGAAACAACCTTAAGACGGGCAGAATTTCTGTTTGATTTATACGGTGACACAGCAAAGATACCTATAGGAATAGGATGGGCAATATCATTTGCAATGAATCTAGGTTGGGCCCTCATAACACCTGTCCCTCTTCACTCATTAAGATTCCTCTCATATGTGTTTACAAAAACCTCACCATCTTAATTATTAAGCAAGGTTTCATATGATATAATTGAAGTCACACTTAAAGTGTATTTAATATCATAAAACATTTAGATGTGGCATTTCTATACTTAGACTCTGAGGTAATCTCATCCTATAGAACTGAGATACTGAATTGTTGAACAGTATATATTCTCAATTCTAGCTACATTTTTAAGGACTTTTTTATTTTCTTGAGACAGTGTCTCACTCTTGCTCAGGCTGGAGTGCAGTGGCACCATCTCAGCTCACTGCAACCTCCGCCTCCTGGGTTCAAGCAATTCTCCTACCTCAGCCTCCTGAGTAGCTGGTATTACAGGTGTGCGCCACCATGCCTGGCTAATTTTTGTATTTTTAGTAGAGACAGTGTTTCATCATGTTGGCCAGGCTGGTCTTGAACTCCTGACCTCAAGTGATCCTCCTGCCTCGGCCTCCCAAAGTGCTGGGATTACGGGCATGAGCCACCACGCCCGGCCAGGACTTTTTTAAGTAAAAATAAAGCAAACTTTCTTTCTATATGATAATTTTAATATGAATATTAAAACAAACTTTAAAAGCTATATGATAAGTAAGACTGCAATTTCATTAAAAAACAAACTAAAGGCCAATTATATTGATTTTACCAATCTACCTAATTCTAAAATAGACTAGGAAAAAAATAATTCTTATTACTGTTTTCTTTTTGTTTGTTGTGAAGGTGGCGGTTTTCTGAGGTGTGATGCTTTCTCTCTTATCTCTGTCTTTGCATAACACATGTTTAAGCTGGAAGGAGTAAGTTGTAACTTTAAATGGAAATATGGTTCTTAACAGCTGTTTCTGCTGTTCTAAAAATATCTTTCTTCCTCATGGTTTTAAAAGTCCCAGGTTCTTCTGCAGCTAATAGGATAGGAAAAAAAAAAAGCCATTCCAAATGTTTTTCCAATTATAATTTTGGAAGTTTATGATCAATTGGAAAACATGAACTTTTTTAAGAGAAGAAAAGGAAAAGGGGAGTATTTATCTACGTGTCCAACATGGTGCTGAAGGGCTTACAAACTGTCTTATTTAATCCTCCCAAAATGGGAGGTAGGTATTATTTATCCACATTGAACAGATGAGGAAGTAGGCTGAGAGAGGGTCAAGAGGTCACACAGCAAGTAAGGAGAATAGCTTGGATTCTCTTCAAAGCCACGTTCCTCCCACTACACACACATGCTGCCTGTGCCTACTGTGTGCTGAGCCTCTTTGTTGAAAATACTGGGGGAAATCACCTTGGATTCGTATCTTATTTTTAACCTAAAAATCCACATTTATTTATACTTTGTGGGACACTTACTTCATGTCAGTTTGCTGTTTCACCCTCTGTTCTTATCACTAAAGCATTACCTTACTTAAGAAATAACTTTGTAATAAATAAAACTGCAATTTCAGAAAAAAAAAATCCGAAAGGCCAATTATATTGATTTTACCAGTCTATTTAATTCTAAAATAGAGTAGGAAAAAAAATTATTATATTTTTTGTGTGAAACAGAGGCCTGGACAGGGAGTCAGAGAAACCTGGCTCCAGCATCTGTTCTTGCAGTGACTAATCGCCTTTGACTAAACATAGTCATTTTAAGTCCAGCCAGAAAAGTTGGATTATAATTCCTGTTCTGCTGTCTGACACATGTGTGGCCTTGGACTCCTGAGGGTCTTAGTTTTGTCTCCTAAATTAGGGATAATAATCATATCTACCTCAAGATTATCATGGAGATAAAATGAGAATGAACCACAGACATTACAGTAACTGGCAAATAGTCCTCAACAAACCTTAGCTATTATTATTATTATTATTAGCAAGATGATAAATCTTTAAGATTTCATTATCTTAAAAGTGTATCTTACATTAATGTATATGAAAGTTAAGTGATTAGCCCAGGTGACTTATCTTGGGAAAAGTTGCACAAAAGTTAAACTGGAAGCAATCATTAGTTTTACAAAAATATCTTATGCTTTACAAAATGACTCATAAGATTATAAAAAAAACCTTAAATAACTGAAATGATTTAATATGTAAACATTTGAGTAATGCATACATTTTTCATTAACGTCCTTTCTTGAACAAAGCTAGCACAAGGTATCTGAATTTCACGTCGCAGTAAGTGTGAAGGGAATTTAGCTATAGTTTATCAGCATTATTATAGTACATACCAGTCCATCTGTTAGCAGCTTCTTTGGCTACTTTATTTGCTTGGCCTGAAAAAAAATTATATATATAAAATGAAATGTATTTATATATATATATATATATATACACACAAAATGATCTTTAGCTATGTATACATTTGTATTTTTTCATATGAACAAAATTTTTATAAAATTTATGTATAAAATGGCTATGAAAAAAGCTGAAATAGTGACATAATATTGTATTTTACAAACTCTTGCAAATTCCCAAGGAAATTTAGGGAGTTGCAGTAGTATTAGTAATTAATGGAAAGTCAAAGTGAACAATTTCCCTTTCCTAAGTGTCCATCATCATTGTACTTGCTCCTTTAAAGACAACATGTAAGTTTAAATGAGATGTTTTTCAAACAACTCACCATACCAAAATACAACAAAATAAGTTAAATTTAACGATAAGAATTTTACTATATAGGCATTATAAGACCACAATAAGTGTGACTCTAAAAAAAATTTTAGGGATAAGAAAGTAATCTCATAGCGGGAAGTATTTACTTTTACTTTAAATACACATCGTGCTATCAAATGTATCTGTATGTATATTATGTACTTCGAGTTACTCTGCACAGCATGTAACAATGCCATGATTAATGGGGCATTAACTATTACTTACAATGATGGCATTTTTAATTGAAAGATAATTTATATGTCACAAAATTCAGCATAGTAAACTATATAATTCAGTAATTTTTATTTATTTATTTACTTATTTAGGGACTGGGTCTCACTCTGTCTCCCAAGCTGGAGTACCATGGTGTGATCATAGCTCACTGCAGCCTCAAACTGGCGGGCTTAAGCAATCCTCCTGCCTCAGTTTTCTGAGCAGCTGAGACTACACGCATGCGCCACCATGCCCAGCTCATTTCTTGTAGAGATAGGGGTCTTGCTATGTTGCCCAGGTTGGCCTCCAACTCCTGGCCTCAAGTGATCCACCCCATCTTGGCCTCCTAAAGTGCTGGGATTACAGGTATGGGGCACCATGCCTGGCTTTCAGTGGTTTTTATGATAGTCACAAAATTGTACAACCATTACTACTATTTAATTCCAGAACATTTTTTCATCACCCAGAAAAAACCCTTGTGCCCCTTAGCACTCACTCCACATTCCTTCTCCCTCCGTCCCCTGGCAACTACTAACCTAGTTGCTGTCTTTTCTCTATGGATTTCCCTTTTGTGTACATTTCATATGAACGAAACATACGATATGTGGTCTTTTAGGTCTGGCCTCTCTCACTTAACACAATGTTTTCAAGGTTCATTCATGTATCAATACCTCATTCTTTTTTATGCGAAGTACTATTTTACAATTTGCTTATCCATTCATCAGCTGATGGACATTTGGGCTGTTTCTGCTAATACGAATAATTTTTGTGTGGACATATTTTCAATTATCTTGGGTATATATTTTGGCGAAGAGATAAATTGTTTGCCAAAGTGGTAGCACCACTTTATAATACCACCAGCAATCTAAGAGTTCCAGTCTCTCCACATTCTCATCACTTATTATTTTCTATTTTTTTTTGAGATGGAGTTTTGCTCATTGCCCAGGGTGGAGTGCAATAGCGCGGTCTTGGCTCACTGCAACTTCCACCTCCCAGGTTCAAGCAATTCTCCTGCCTCAGCCTCCTGAGTTGCTGGGATTACAGGCATGTGCCACCACACCCAGCTAATTTTGTATTTTTAGTAGAGATAGGGTTTCACCATGTTGGTCAGGCTGGTCTCCAAGTCCCAACCTCAGGTGATCCGCCTGCCTCGGCCTCCCAAAGTGCTGGGATTACAGGCGTGAGCCACCGTGCCCGGCCTCATTATTTTCTATTTTTACATTATAGCCATCCTAATGGGTGTTGATATGGTTTGGCTGTGTCCCCACTCAAATCTCATCTTGAATTGTAACACCCACAATTCCCACGTGTTGTGGGAGGACCCCAGTGGGAGGTGATTGAATTATGAGGGCGGGTCTTTCCTGCCCTGTTCCCATGATAGTGAATGAGTCTCACAAGATCTGATGGCTTTAAAAATGGGAGTTTCCCTGCACAAGCTCTCTTCTCGTCTGCCACCATGTGAGACGTACCTTTCACCTTCCACCATGATTGTGAGGTTTCCCCAAATACGTGGCACCGTAAGTCCAATAAACCTCTTTCTTTTGTAAATTGCCAAGTCTCAGGTATGTCTTTATTAGCAGTGTGAAAACAGACTAATAGAAGTGTGAAGTAGTATCTCACTGGGGTTCTGATTTGCATTTGCTAATGATTTTGTGCATCTTTTCATGTGCTTATTGGCCATCTGTGTATCTTCTTGGGGGAAGTGTCCGTTCATATCCTTTGCTCATTTTTCAACTGGGTTGTCTTTTTATTGTTGTATTATGAGTTCTTTATATATTTTGGATACTAGACACTTGTCAGATACAGGACTTGTGACTATTTTCTTCCATCCTGAGTTCACTTTTTACTTTCTTTTTTTCTTTTTGTGATGGAGTCTCTGTCACCCAGGCTGGAGTGCAGTGGTACAATCTTGGCTCACTGCAACCTCTGCCTTCCTGGTTCAAGCGATTCTCCTGCCTCAGCCTCCCGAGTAGCTGGGATTACAGGTGTGTGCCACCACACCCGGCTAATTTTTGTATTTTTAGTAGAGATGGGGTTTCACCATGTTGGCCAGGCTGGTCTCAAACTCCTGGCTTCACATGATCCACCTGCCTTGGCCTCCCAAAGTGCTGGGATCACAGGCATGAGACACCGCGCCCAGCCTCTTTTTACTTTCTTGATATTGTACAAAACTTTTTAACTTTGATGAAGTCCATTTAACTACTTTTTCTGTGGTTGTTTCTGCTTTTGGTGTCATATTCAAGGAATTGTTGCTTAACCCAAGGATAAAGAAATATAAATCCGGCCTGGCACAGTGGCTCACGCCTGTAATCCCAGCACTTTGGGAGGCCGAGACGGGCAGATCACGAGGTCAGATCAAGACCATCCTGGCTAACACGGTGAAACTCCCTCTCTACTAAAAATGTAAAAAATTAGCCTGGCGTGGTGGTGGGCGCCTGTAGTCCCAGGTACTCGGAGGTTGAGGCAGGAGAATGGCCTGAACCCGGGAGGCAGAGCCTGCAGTGAGCCAAGATCATGCCACTGTACTCCAGCCTGGGTGACAGAGTGAGACTCCGTCTCAAAAAAAAGAAATATAAATCTGTTTTCTTCTAAGAGTTTCATAGTTTCAGCTCTTCCATGTAGGTCTTTGATCCATTTGAGTTAATTTTTTTGATGTAAGGTGGGGGTTCAGATTAATTCATTTGCATGTGGATATCCAGTTGTGCCCAATACCATGAGCTAAAAACATGATTTCTTTCCTGATTCCATGGTCTTGGCACCTTTGTTGAAAATCAATTGGGTTTATTTCTGGACTCTTGATTCCATTCCATTAATCTATATGTCTATTCTTTTTTTTTTTTCTTTTTGAGACAGAGTCTTGCTCTGTCGTCCAGGCTGGAGTGCAGTGGCATGATCTCGGCTCACTGCAAGCTCCGCCTCCTGGGTTCACACTATTCTCCTGCCTCAGCCTCCCAAGTAGCTGGGACTACAGGCACCCACCACGCCTGGCTAATTTTTTATATTTTTAGTAGAGATGGGGTTTCACCGTGTTAGCCAGGATGGTCTCGATCTCCTGACCTCATGATCCACCCGCCTCAGCTTCCCGAAGTGTGCATGTCTATTCTCATACCACTACCATACTGTCTTGATAACTGCAGCCTTGTAGCGAGTTTTGAAATTGGGAAATTTGAGTCTGTAACTTTGTTCTTTTTCAAGATTCTTTTGACTATTCTGGATCTCTTGCATTTCCATATGAAACTTAAGATCAGCTTACCAATTTCTGCAAAAAAGCAGCTGAAATTTTGATAGGTTTAGCATTGAATCTGTAGATCAATTTGGGGAGTATTTCCTTAATAATATTGTCTTTCAGCCAGGTGCAATAGCTCACACCTGGATTCCTAGCACTTTGGGAGGCTGAGGCAGGAGGACTGCTTGAGCCCAGGAGTTCGAGACCAGTCTAGCTAACATAGTGGGACCCCGTCTCTACAAAAAAGATAATAAAAAAAAAATTAGCCAGGTGTAGAGGTGCACACTTCTAGTCCCAGCTACTAATTTTTTTCTATTTCTCTTTTGTCTAGCTAAAGGTTTGTCTACTTTGTGATCCGCTTAAAGAACGAATTTTTGGGCCAGGTGTGGTGGCTCATGCCTGTAATCCTAGCACTTTCAGAGGCCGAGGCGGGCAGATCACCGGAGGTCAGGAGTTCAAGACAAGCCTGGCCAACATGGCGAAACCCCGTTTCTACTAAAAATGCAAAAAAAAATTAGCCAGGCGTGGTGGTGAGCACCTGTAATCCCAGCTACTCAGGAGGCTGACGCAGGAGAATTGCTTGAACCAGGGAGGCGGAGGTTGTAGTGAGCCGAGATCGCACCACTGCACTCCCACAAGACTGAAACCCCGTTTCAAAAAAAAAAAGGCCGTGCACAGTGGCTCACACCTGTAATCGCAAACTTTGCGAGGCTGAGGCGGGCAGATCACGAAGTCAAGAGATCGAGACCATCCTGGCCAACATGGTGAAACCTCATCTCTACTAAAAATACAGAAAAAAAAAAAAAAAAAGCTGGGCGTGGTGGCACGTGCCTGTAGTCTCAGCTACTTAGGAGGCTGAGGCAGAAGAATTGCTTGAACCCAGGAGGCGGAGGTTGCAGTGAGCTGAGATCACGCCACTGCACTCCAGCCTGGTGACAGAGCAAGACTCCACCTCAAAAAAAAAAAAAAAAAAAAAAAAAAGAACCAATTTTTGGTTTTGATTTTCTCGTTTTTCATTTCTCTTTGAATATATTTAAAGTGTCTTTGTCTAGTAAGTCCAACACATGGGCTTTCTCGGGAACAGTTTCCATTGAAACATTTTCACTCCAGTGTGTGAGCCATAGTTTATTTCTTTGTATGTCTTGCAATCTTTTTGTTGCAAAACTGGACATTTAAAATAATGTTAGCCTGAGTAACATGGTGAAATCCTGTCTCTACAAAAATTAGCTCAGCATGGTAGCATGTGCTTGTAGTTCCAGCTACTCAGGGGACTGAGGCAGGAGGATTGCTTGAGCCCAAGAGGTTGAGGCTGCACTGAGTCATGATCATGCCACTGCACTCCAGCTGAGGTGACAGAGTGAGAGTGTCTCAAAAAAAAAAGTAATAATTAATTTAAAAAATAATATAAGGCACTGTAATCCCAGCTACTTGGGAGGCTGAGGCACGAGAATCACTTGAACCCGGCCGGGAAGCAGAGGTTGTAGTGAGCCAAGATTGTGCCACTGCACTCCAGCTTGGGTTACAGAGCAAGATTCTGTCTCATAGCAACCCTAGAAAGCAGATTCTTCCCCCTCCCCAGGATTGTTGCTCGTAGAGTTGTTACAATTTGTTTAGTAACTTTCCTGAACTCAATCTGTAAAGTCCGTGTTCTTAAGTGTGGCCACTTAAGTCTCTACTTGGTTAGCTTAGTGGTCAAGCTATTAATTGAACAGAGATTTCCTTAAACACTTGGACTAAACCTCTATGAAGAGGTTCTCTTTTCCAAAGGGCTCAGCCGTCTTTGCTAAGAGGGTTTGCATGTGCTGCGACATGCGTTCTCAGCAAGGCAGTTTATAACTCTGACTTAGTCTTTGCTTCTTGCTTGCACAGAGTATCAAGGTCAGCTAGATGTGGGGACTGTCCCAGGTCTTCACTGAGAATGTGAACAACCCTAAGCATGCATGTAGGCCTTCTATATTTCCAGGAATATGTTGCTCTTCAAGGCTCTCATGAACATATCATTTAGTTTCTCCTTTTTTTTTTAGAAGGTTCTCACTCTGTCACCCAAGCTGGAGCAGAGTGGCACGATCATGGCTCACTGCAGTCTTGATCTCCTCGGCTCAAGTGATCCTCCCACCTCAGCCTCCTGAGTAGCTAGTACTACAGGCACATGCCACCATGCCTAATTTTTAAATTTTTTACATAGATGGAGTTTTGCCATTTTCTTCAGACTGGTTTTGAACTCTTGGGCTCAAGCAATCTTCCCAAAGTGTTAGGATTACAAGCATAAACCACTGCATCTGGCCCTTTTAAGCTTTTTGATTAGTCTACTGTTTGCCTCAACTGTTATTCATCAACAATGGTTAACTGAGAAGTTAAAATTATTGTTTATAATTGTTATAGACAAACACTCCCCACAGAGAGGATTTTAGCATTGGGCATACCCGAGGCCAGATCAAATAAAGACAGTTTTTCCTATTGGTGTCCTCCAGGGAACCACCAAACATGTAAATAATGACAATTCTTTGGGATCAAGGCTCTTACAGAGTTCCAGGGGCATTTTGTTCCTCTAGACAGTAGGAATGCAGGGTTGTTATCCTTCAAGGTCACTGCTGCGGTGAGACTGGGAAATGAGTATAGGCAAATTCAATACCACAAAGCTCATTATTCTTACTCAGAGTCTGCTAATTTTCCTCAGTAGGCTCCTGTAAGCCTTTGGTTAATTTCCAGAGTTCTGAAAAAGTTGACTACAACAATTTTTGCAAGTTTTCTGAAAGGGCAAAGTTTCAGAAGTCCTTACTCCACCTTTTTACTGTCATCCTGGCATTTATTTCTAAGAAAATTACTTAAGTACCTCTAAGATATTTTCAAGTATTTTTGTGGGAATTTAATTTCTACTAACATGTTTTATCTGGTCACATTTGAATAATGGTCAGAATAGCTAAATTAAAAAATTGTTTAAAGAATTGTTGCTTTTAAATATCACTTCTTTGATATTGCAATTAATGTTTGTTGTTGTTGTTTTGAGACTGTTTCGCTCTGTCACCCAGGATGGAGTGCAGTGCATGATGTTGGCTCATTGCAGCCTTCGCCTCCCCAGTTCAAGCGATTCTCCTGCCTCAGCGTCCAGAGTAGCTGGGATTACAGGTGTGTGTCACCATGCCTGGCTAATTGTTGTATTTTTAATAGAAACAGCATTTCACCAAGTTGGCCAGGCTGGTCTCAAACTCCTGACCCCTAGTGATCCGCCTGCCTCTGCCTCCAAAGCAATTAGTCTTCTAAATACTTGCTTAATGATATCAATAATTCAACTGGCATAATTAAATATATGTATTTCTCATGGGTGTTAGTGAGAAATAAGAAAATACATAGCCATGCCCCATATGAACAAATGGTTATGGCTACAGTCACCAAATTGTTCTCTGAATAAATCATGACAGACTTAGAGATAAGCCTGAGCAATATAATATGGGGGGCAATAGCCATGCTACTAAGAACCAAATCCTATTAAAATCAATTTGTGAAACTCATAAGCCTTTAATCCAGTATAATCTGTTCTGCGTTAACATGATAGCTGAAATCCCATGAAACCCCTATCAAAAAGTGCACTTTAAAAACAATAATTTCATTGAGGAATGGAGATTTGGGGTGAGTAGAGGTTAAAGTCTTAAGAAGTTCTCTAAAGTTAGTGATAAGGGGATCACTGGCATCTACTACTTAAATATTTAAATTTCTTGGATTTGTGGGTTTATACTTTTCATCAAATTTGAAAAACTTTAGCTTTTATTTCTTTAGATATTTTTCTGGCTCAGCAACCTCTCCTCCCACCAAAACATACTCCATTTGGGACTGTAATTACACATATATTAGGTCCCTTGAAGTTGTCTTAAGGCTCAGATGCCATTTTCATATTTTTAAAATTTTTATTTTATTTATATGGGAGTCAAGGACTCCATATGCTGTCCAGGCTGGTCTCGAACTCCTGGGCTCAAGTGATCCACTCACCTTGGCCTCCCAAAGTGCTGGAATTACAGGCGTGAGCCACTGCGCCTGGCCCCATTTTCATATTTTTTAAATTCTTTATTTTCTGTGTTTCATTTTGGATATTTCTATTGCTATATCTTCAACTAACATCAATTCTTTCTTCTGCAAAATTTAATCTGCTGGTAATTTACCATAGTGTATTTTTCATGTCAGACATTGTAGTTTTCATGTTCAAAAGTTTGACCTGGGTCTTTTTTATATCTTCTCTATTTCCACTTAACTTTTTGAACATATGGAATACAGTTATAATAACTTTTTAAATGTTCTGGTCTTCTGATCCTAATTTCTGGGTCAATTTTGACTGATGGAGTATTCTGCTCATTATAGATAATGTTTTCCCACTTCTCTCCAGGCCTGGTAGTCTTTGCTTGTATGCCAGACATAATGAATTTTATCTTGCTAGATGTTAATCCTTTTTCAAGAAACAGGGTCTCACTCGGTTGCCCAGGCTGGAGTATAGTGGCACGACCATAGCTCACTACAGCCTTGAACTACTGGGTGCAAGGAATCCTCCCATCTCAGCCTCTCAAGTAGAAAGGTAATAAAACTGGAGGAAGAAAACTTGAATAAAGCGCATGCCAGCATGACCAGCTAATTTTAAATTGTTTGTAGAGATAGGGTCTCACTCTCTTGCCCAGGCTAATCTCAAACTCCTAGCCTAAAGCTATCTTCCTGCCTTGGCCTCCCAAAGTGCTGGGATTACAGGCATGAGCCACTGTGCCTGCAAAAAAGATGATAATCTTTAATAAATTTTTTAAAATGCACAAAGCCAGGAAGGAAGGATTCTTACTCTCTCATTCCCAAGTAAAAAATTAATATATCTCTAATAGACTCCATTACAAGTTCTCCAGGATCCATCTTTACATGGTTGCATAAATAACTATTAAAAGATAACCTAGTCTGATGGTGATGAAAAATGATAAAGGCCAAACATGGTGAATCACACCTGTAATCCCAGAACTTTGGGAGGCCAAGGGGAGAGAACTGCTTGAGGCCAGGAGTTCGAGACCAGCTGGGCAATATAGCGAGACACCATCTCTATAAAAAATAAAAGTAAAAGTAAACTAGCTGGGTGTAGTGACATGTGCCTGTAGTCCCAGCTATTTGGGAAGCTGAGGTGGGGGAATGACTTGAGCTTGCGGGGGTTGAGGCTACCGTGATCCCTGATCATGCACTGCACTTCAGTCTGGGAGACAGAGCAAGGCCCTGTCTCCAAAAAAAAAAAAAAAAAAAAAAAAAAAATCTCACTGAAAAAACAGAAAATTTCAGGTTTGTTCTCTCAGTGAGACCTCATATACTGTAATACTCATAATACTCATTCACAATGGCATGTTTTCCTTGGGTTGGGAAATAAATTACCAAAGTTATAAATTTAAGGGTTAAGATAGACAGCAGAATGCAGGCAACCAGTTTAAAATTTCAGTTGCCGCCTCCTCAACTGTGTTATTCCACCCTCCAGAAAGTTCACCGTCCTTTGTATACCCTGAACTTCTTTTCTGAAGTTTTATTACCTAAGAGGTGATGTGTTTGCCAAAAGTGCTACTCGAATCAGACCTACAAGGAATGGCAACATCTTAAATTACATGCCTAAAATACAAGTTTTCCCCACTTCATGAATTGGTCTGGCACAATTCCCTATCCCTGTTAATTTCCTGAACCTTAATGTGATCCACTGGCTCAGGGTCACTATCAGTGTAGGTTACAGTAGTTTAGTAAGCCTAAATAAGAGTTTTATTCATTCCTGAGTGGGCAGAATATATCAAAATTAAGAAAAGGACTGGGGAGTCAATTGGAGGTGATGTCAGTGAGGGTCACCTGCCCATGGAAATAGCTGTGGCAGTACAATAGGGACCATGGAGTGGAAAAGCTTACGTCTTTTTGGATATACCTAAGAGTTGTAGGTCCTAGACATATAAGAGAATGAAACAGGTAAGCAAAGAGGTAGCACACCAAGGAAAAAGTACAAGAATCACACAAAACTGAAATCAGGAAAAAAGGCAAGTAAGAGTAAATGAAGGGTCCGATTTGGTTATCGTGAAACTCAGATTTTTCATGATGAACTGCTAGAGGGCACAGTCATGCTATCCTGAAAATAAATCACCTGAAAGTATTCAACCTAGTTAAGAAAACTGTGCTTGAAGTTCTCTTGCAAGAGAATGAGAAGGTGCTCTAGATAAGGTACACAATGTTCTAAGTCCTCCTGAACAAGCAGTCTGTTTCCTTTTGAAGATGAATCATACGCAGGCCTAGCTTCCTAACAGTAACCTTCTACCTGTGAGGTACTCTCCTGTTGTGATGTGCTTGTGCTCACTGAGGATCACCTGGTATTAGTTAAAACTTTCCAACAGATTAAGGTATTTATTTTTGTAGGTGTAGATTTGATTAGCACTTTCTTCTGCAGGATGATGACAAATAAATCTGTGGTCAGCATAAAAGAGCTGACATTCTCCCCAAATACTTAATTTACAGACAATGACTGGCTCAGGGAGTTCTTCTGCCTCCACCTCTCTTTGAAAATCACCCTGGGTAATCAGCTGAACCAGTGGCACTACATATCACCACCTAGGCTATGTACTCCATATATGTGAATGGTGCCTCCTGGAGTTGCGCAAAGCAGCGACCTGTCTCTTAAATGAAGTTTAACTTTAGATTTACACTAACTGAACTGCTTACAATTCTTTAATTGTAAAGACCACTGCCAAGGACTAGGCCAGCTTAGTTGCAATCAAACTATCCTCAGGTTAATTTTAACATACCAAATATTTTCCATTTCTTTCAAAGCCTTCTATCACACACTATAATATCAGTTTTTCTATGAGTTTCACTTGGTAAAGTTTCCTAAATAAAAGACAGGCTAAGACAGAAAATTATTTAAAAAGTTATAAATATTTTCCCAAACAATTAAATGCTATGCCTTTATAATACACTCTTTTATCTCCTTAAATATTCACATTTCTATCTTTAAAAAAATATAAACATTATTCAAAACAAGGCTCTGGGGACTCTGGTCTAAAACAAGGAAAAAAAAATGACTGGTATATTTAAAAGGCAACTCAATGTACAGACTGATTTTCTGCAACTTGCAAACTCTTCTACTTATGGTATCATTTTTCCTAGAAGATAATGATGGATTTCTTTACAGAATCAAAGTTCTTGAGGCCAAATTAGCTCTTTTACTAACTCCTCAGTTCTCTAACCTTATATTTTATGTCTTTATCCTTCTATCCCACACTTCTTCCTTAATTTTAAAATGCTTATAATTTCAAAATTGTCGCTGTTCAATGCTCTAACATTAAGACTTCTCTCTTTTTTTTTGAGACAGAGTTCTACTGTGTCACCCTAGCTGGAGTGCAATGGCACGTATAGCACACTGCAGCTTCAACCTCCTGGGCTTGAGGGATTCTCCCACCCCAGCCTCCTGAGTAGCTGGGACTACTGGCATCTGTCACCATGCTTGGCTAATTTTGTGTTTTTTTTTTGTAGAGATGGGATTTCACCATGTTGGCCAGGCTGGTCTTGAACTCCTGAGCTCAAGCAATCCACCCACCTCAGCCTCCCAAAGTGCTGGAATTACAGGCATAAGCCAACGTGCCCGGCACATTAAGACTTTTTAATGGCAATACTAAAGCAATATTTTCCTACTATGTTACAAATACAAAATTAGAGTACTACAAACAGAATACTACCTTAACTAGTTTTATTTTCTCATATACATGGAGAATAGTTAGCAGGCAACTAGAAAAATAAAGTCTTCTTCATTATCAAAGTTAAAGATCCCTAAGGTATGACACAAACTTACGTATTTCTTCCACAACTTGCGGATCACAGTCTTTGTATTTTTCTACTTCTGCCTTTAGCTGTTCCCTTTGGTCTCGAAGTGAAGAAAGCTCTTTTGCTAGCCTGGTTCGCTCTTCCTGCATTCCAGATAGTTTTATGTTCAATTAAGACAAACAAAATTCTATATGTTGTAAGGTAATACATTTTATAACAATTTCATTTTATTTCTTATAAATGATGTGCATTAGACTTTTGACATTATATATATAAGTATACACACACAGATATTCACAGTATAAGAATAAGCTCAATTCTCATCTTTCCTGAAATCTCAAGTATCTTTTATATATATTGAATAACTAAATGGGAGTTAATATGTAGAATGGAATGCTCATAAATAGGTGGGAGGTTCATGTTAGAACTCTAAGATGACCATGTCGTTGTATGTTACAGAAAAAAATTATACTACTTTTTGAGTAGTTTCACAAGATTATGTCTATATGTGTAAGTAACATTTTAAGACATCGATCATTATACAATTATCTTTAAAAGTGTTCTAGACAATTTTTCAATTTTTAAGAATATTTTAATATATCCTTTATATTTTATATACATTTAAAGAAATAATACAATTGTAGTTTGAGGCCTCCCACCACCTATTCTTTAAAGGTAAACCAGAATAAAGCTTCAAAATACAATATGATCCAATAAAAACCATTTGAAATGTCTAGCCATATTTCTCACTAGCAGGTAGAAGTCATAGTGCTATACATATTCAATTTGTATTTCTGAAACCTGAAAAGTAAGCCCAAACAAAAACCAAATGTTGGCAAAGATTATAGTACAGAATCATAGGATAAATCCGAGGCAAAATCAAGTAAAGTTCAAACTGCCTAACACGACTCGTAAGGTTGCCAGCTACCTTGTATTTTTTATTTGTATTTTTCTACTTTGCTTTTAGCTGTTCCTTTTGGTTCCAAAGTGAAGAGAGTTCCTTTGCTAGCATTTGTACAAGAGACTCATATACAGAGCAGCACGCTCAGAAGCAGCACGGCCCAGCAGAATCTCAGCAGTGAGGAAAACTTTCTAGATCTGCACTCTTCACTGCAAGACCTACTAGCCACATGTGGCTACTCAATATATGCAATGTGGCCACTGGGACCGAGAAACTAAATTTAATTGTAGCTAATTTTTATTTAAATATAAATAGCCACACATGGTTAGTGTATATCGTATTAGCACAGCTCAGGAGAGATTTTAAAATAACTATAAGAAGATGGTCATTATTTGCCATCAATACCCAAATAAAAATGCTTCAAAAGGAACACTGTCACCAAGTGTGGTGGTGCCTGCCTGTAGTACCAGCTACTCAGGAGGTTGAGGCAGGGGGATCACTTGAGCCCAGGAGTTCAAGGGCAGCCTGGGCAATACAGAGATATTCCATCTCTAAAAAACAAACCAAAAAACAAAACAAAATCAAGAGGAGAAAAAAAGACAGGAGAAGCAGAGTGGTGAACATCCAATGTGAATATAATAATAGTTCTCCAGGTATCATGCATTGAAACAATCTTAGACAATCACTATCACTGAGATCTTTGCCAAAGTATTTAGCCTCTTTGTGCCTCCAGTTCCTTGAAAGCAAAATGGAGACAGTAACGGTAGCCACCGCCATAGACTGCTGGTAGGATTCAATAAATATACAAAATCCATTTAGAACAGCAGTTGCCTGGCTCAGAGTAAGGAGAATACACGTTAGCTATTTTTCTTCTTTACCAGCAGCAGGATCACCACCATCATCAAGAATAATTAGCAGATAGGGGCTAGGTAGCTCTGAAAAGTCCTGGCTGGTAAGATCAGGATGAGCACAAGACTTCATCTTTCTTAGGAACGTTTCTGAACCACTAAACTCTTCTGATATCTGCAGGCGGCAACTATGTTTGCTAGTGGGTTTTTCCCCGCAAGATGCACTTGTTCCAGTGGATTAACAGTAGACTGGCTGACAACTTCTGGGCAAGCATATGTCACCATTAGTTGAAGGTGGTTCTACAAGTTATTGCCAGTGTTTAAAAAAAACAAACAAAAGGAACAAATAAAGAAGTAGTAGTTGCTACTGTCAACTGAAGAGGAAATAGAACAGCTTCAGGTTATGCCCAGAGTTTACTTTTCCTTGAATATTCTTCAGAAATGACTATTCTCCAATTCCTATCTGTGACTGTGCTGATGATTCACATAAAAGAATATATGTGAAATAACTTTGAAAGCATAAAGCCACTGTAAAGCTTTGCTATATCCCTTTCTACTATGTGACAAGTTTTCCAGTTGCTTTCTTTCCCAATCAAGTGATACAAATAGAGACCCGGATGAAATGCTTAGTGGTTCATGTTGATCTTCAATATTTTTTAAAGTCATAAATCTATAGTTTAGATAATGATGAAAATAGAAAGTGAAATGACTTTTAAAATCTCTAACCTAATACTTAGAAAAATATTGTACTTTAAAAAATAAAATAGTAGGTCAATATTTATTTTTAATATTTTAAAATATTACAAGGCCAAAGATACTATGTTGATAGTTTTCAGTTTGTTCTATGCAAAAATTTTTTTTAAAAGAGTCTTAAAAATTTACATAAACATTTATATAGGGCTTACCATGTACCAGGTCCTCTTCTAGGTGCTTTGCAAATATTAACTAGTTTAATCCACACAATAACGCAATGAAGTATAACAGATTTTGTTATTCCCCATTTTGCAGCAGAGAGAAGTGAAAACAGAATTTAGGAGACTTTCAAATCCAGGCAGTCTGGCTCTAGGGTTTATGCTTCTATGCTATGCTGCCATATATAATAATAATAAAATCTAGACTCACAATTGGTGAATCCTACCAGGTCAAACGTTCCTATCCTTGGCTATGATCCCCTTCTCTTCTGGTAGAAATGCATCCTCCTCACAGGAAGCTCTGTGTCGCTTACTCTAATATTTAGAATTGCCATTATTAAAATAATCTATAGACACAAACTTACCGTTTCACATCGGCCAATTTTAGCTTTCTCAATGCTTTTCTGTAGGCTTGCATGCTTTTGACTTCCCTCAGACAACTAGAGAATCAAAAACAAATAAAACAGCTTGCTAAGATAAACTGACATGTAGTAGTTGATGAAAACAAAGTCCACCAGGTGCAGTGGCTCACGCCCCAGCACTCGCCCCAGGCCGAGGCAGGCAGATCACAAGGTCAAGAGATGGAGACCATCCTGGCCAACACGGTGAAACCTTATCTCTACTAAAAATACAAAAATGAGCTGGGTGTGGTGGCGCACACCTGTAGTCCCCGCTACTCGAGAGGCTGAGGTTGCAGTGAGCTGAGATTGCGCCTCTGCACTCCAGCCTGGCGACAGAGCAAGACCCCATCTCAAAAAAAAAAAAAAAAAAAAAAAAGAAAACAAAGTCAAACACTATACTGGGAACTAATTTCTCCAATTTGAAGAAAACCAAGGACCATGAATCATTAGGGTACATTGAAAAAAAAAAAGAGTTTAAAAAACATTTTCTTTTTATTCCATGCAGATAGATAAAACGAATAGCATGCCTTTAATCTTTTCCACATAGTCTCCATTTATTAGGTTCCCCACTCCTACTCCAAGTAACTTGAGGTCTATTATTTAGTTAGAAATTGAACTTGAAGGCCAAGCACGGTGACTCATGCCTGCAATCCCAGCACTTTGAGAGGCCAAGGCAGGCAGATCGCATGATCCCAGGAGCTGGAGACCAGCCTGGGCAACACGGCAAAACCCCATCTCAACAAATACAAAAAAATTTAGCCAAGCGTGATGGCATGAGCCTGTAGTCCCAGCTACTCGGGAAGCTGAGGTGTGAGGGTGTGAGGACTGCTTGAGCCTGGGAGCTTCAGGCTGCAGTGAACTGTGATAACCCCATTGCACTCCAGCCTGGGTGACAGAGTGAGACCCTGTTTCAAAAAAAAAAAAAAAAAAAAGAAAGAAATTGAATTTGAAAATCCAAAAAAATCTTTTATATAAATTCTCTCTGCAAATTTTATTTCACTTCTGACTAAAGTCTTTTCAAAATACCTGACTTATTTCACTAAGTCAATAATAAATTTGTCACTTATTAAAGTACTTTACAAAGAATTGCATAGTTACATATTATGTTCTCAAAGAAGAAAAAAATGTTAGCCTGTTGCCAATTTTAGCTATGTTTTATATCTTTTTCTCTTTTTTTTTCTTGAGACAGTGTCTCACTCTGGCACCCAGGCTGGAGTGCAGTGTCACGATCATGACTCCCTACAACTTTTGCCTCCCAGGCTCAAGCCATCTTCCAACCTCTACCTCCCAGTAGCTGGGACTGCAGGTGTGCACCACCACAATCAGCTATTTTAATAATTTTTTCTAGAGCTGGAGTTTCGCCATGTTGCCCAGGCTGGTCTTGAATCCCTAGGCTCAAGCAATCTTCCGACCTCAGCCTCCCAACATGCTGGGATCACAGGTGTGCACCCTGGTACTCAGCCTGTTTTATATATCTTAAAAGTCATCAGTTTAAACTTTTTACTCAGCTTAGAAAGTAGGTAAGTTATATGTGGAAATGGATTAAATAATACTAGCATAAGGAGACTATAGATATTGAATGTTGATTGGCATGTGGGTAGGCCTACACATCAAAAAGGACTGGTTAATTTCAGAGTGTTGGCTTCTTTTCTCAATTTTATTAATCTCACCTGGGTCTACAAGGGAACAAATAATCACAGGGAATTCCAAATACCAAATTCTCCACATCTTTTGCTATAAACTAGTTAGAAATTACAGATTCATGTGATTAGGTAAGGGCCTTCTTAAAAAATATTCCACTCCTCCCTCACTCTTGAATTATAAACACTTAGAAAATAATTAATAATTGGATAGATTTAATTTCTGTTGGCTGATTATAAAAAACTAACTGTTTACGGCCGGGCATGGTGGCTCACACCTGTAATCCCAGCACTTTGGGAGGCTGAGGCGGGCCGATCACGAGGTCAGGAGATCGAGACCATCCTGGCTAACATGGTGAAACCCCGTCTCTACTGAAAATATAAAAACAAAATTAGCTGGGTGTGGTGGCGTGCGCTTGTAGTCCCAGCTACTTGGGAGGCTGAGGTGGGAGAATGGCATGAACCCGGGAGGTGGAGCTTGCAGTGAGCCGAGATCGCGCCACTGCACTCCAGCCTGGGTGACAGAGCAAGACTCCATCTCAAAAAAAAAACTAAACTGCCCCCCACAAAAAAACAACAAAAACCTAACTGTTCACAATATGATCTAGTTATATGTAAAGAGTAGATAATAGATACCCTTTTTTTGCTTAAAATTCAGAAATACTATCTTCAAAAAGTTGGTAGGTTTACCCTTGCTTTGGGAAATCTTTCACTTCTCAGTACGCATAAAGGAACTGTTGCAAGCTTTCCTTTAACAGTTTTCCAGTCACTGATTCTAATCCATAGCATGAACAAGATCTATAGATAATGCCAGGCAGACACCACCACAAACCAGTTATACCTCTCCTTGCGAGTAATTATCTTCCTAAGTTAAAAAAAAAATCTGCTGTGTGATATATATATGTATGTATGTGTGTGTGTGTGTGTGTGTGTATGATGGAGTTTCACTCTTCTTGCCCAGGCTGGAGTGCAATGGCGCAATCTTGGCTCACTGTAACCTCCGCCTCCCAGGTTCGAGCGATTCTGCTGCCTCAGCCTCTGGAGTAGCTGGGATTACAGGCACCCACCACCACATCCGACGAATTTTTTGTATTTTTAGTAGAGATGGGGTTTCGCCATGTTGGTCAGGCTGGTCTCGAACTCCTGACCTCAAGCAATCCACCCACCTCAGCCTCCCAAAGTGCTGGGATCACAGGCGTAAGCCACCACACCCGGCCGGAGTCTAGTTCTTTTAAAAAAGAGTTCCCATTTATAAAATAAAGTCATAATTTAAAAGTTAATATTAGCCTGACCAACATGGGGAAACCCTGTCTCTACTAAAAATACAAAATTAGCCAGTCGTGGTGGCGCACACCTATAATCCCAGCTACTCGAGAGGCTGAGGCACAAGAATCGCTTGAACCTGGGAGGCAGAGGTTGCAATGAGTTGAGACCGCACCACTGTGCTCCAGCCTGGGCAACAGGGTGATACTCTATCTCAAAATAAAAAAAATTTAAAAAAAGAAGTTAATATTCCACCCTGAAGGACCTACCTGGACTAATTAAAATATATACATAACATTTAAATTTAGGAGTAAATAATTTTTTCCAATTAAAAAAATACATATTTTAGCATAACATTTTTCCATTAAAAGTGTTTTTAAAATAACCAGACAGGTAGACATTATCCAAAAAGTTACTAATTATATAAAAGCCAATAATTAAAGAACATTTTATATACACACACACACACACACACACATATACACACACACACACACACACACACACATATATATACCTTTTTTTTTGAGACGGGCTGGTTCTGTTTTTTTGTTTTGTTTTGTTTTTTGAGACAGGGGCTGGAATGCAGTGGCCCGAACTTGGCTCACTGCAACCTTTGCCTTCCAGGCTCAAACAATCCTCCCACCTCAGCCTCCCAAGTAGCTGGAACCACAGACACATGCTACCACGCCCGGCTAATTTTTGTATTTTTTTTGTAGAGATGAACTTTGTCATGTTGCCCAGGCTGGTCTTGAACTCCTGGGCTCGAGCAATTAGTGCACCTGGGCTTCCTAGAGCACTGGGATTGCAGGCATGAGTCACCACACCCAGCCAGGATATATACCTTAACTATATTAATTAAGAGTCTTTCAGGTACTATACATCTGTTTGGAATTATTTACAACTTAAAAGCATTTGAAAGAGAGCTCATTCAGAAATTCCTTAATTATGAAAATAATCTTACATATTTCAAATGTGAAGCATGGAATTCATGATTTGTCATTTTAAGTATCTTGGTAATACAGGGAGGCACAATCCAAATGATGTTATTAAAGGAAAAGCTTCTGCTAATTATCCTAAGTACTGAAATAATTTGGTTCAACTCAATAGTGAAGGATTCTTGGCTCACTGCGTAGTTCTTAAAATCCCAACCACTGGAAACAAACAATGAAAGCAACTCTTGTGGGGCTGCCCATGCTATCAGCTTTTCATCTATACAACTGCACTACTGCCATAGTTCCTAACCTACACCTTGGAAATAAACCAAATGTAGTCCTCATGTGATAAAAGCTGAGATTTCTAGTCGCCATATATAAACTATCTGAACCAGTAGTTATCAAACTTTAGCATATAAAAAAAAAAAAAAAGCCAAAGGGCTTTTTAAGGCACAGGTTGCTGGGCTCTACCTCCTGAGTTTCCGAATAGCACATCTGGGGTGGGGCCCAATAATGTGCATTTCTAGTATGTTCCCAGGTGATGCTGCTAGTTGGGGACACCACATTTCTGAGAATTAGTGAACTAAACAAGAATCTATTTTCTTACAGTAACAAACCCAACTAAAACACACAGGATATTTATATACAGAAAAATATTATCTAGCTCACAAGCAAAGATGAATTATTGCTAAATACTGTAGCCTGAAGTAGAAAACATCTTAATGTTTGTCTTTAAAAGAAATACAAAAGTCCACATTTACAAAAATAGAGAGGTGATAGCCTATACTTTTAAAAAGGCATGGGCTGGGCGCAGTGGCTTACACCAGTAATCCCAGCACTTTGAGAGGCCAAGGCAGGTGGATCACTTGAGGTCAGGTGTTCGAGACCAGCCTGACCAACATGGTGAAATCCCGTCACTACTAAAAATACAAAAATTAGCTGGGTGTGGTGGCATACGCCTGTAATCCCAGCTACTCAGGAGACTGAGGCAGGAGAATCGCTTGAACCCAGGAGGCAGAGGTTGCAGTGAGCCAAGATTGCACTACTGCACTCCAGCCTGGGTGAAAAAGCAAGACTTCATCTAAAATATAAATAAATAAATAAATAAATAAAAAGGTATTTACCATAATATTCCCTTAAAGAGCAAAGTCTTCAACATTCTATAATGCAATTGATAATGGCAGGAGGCAGAAAAATGCCTAGGCAGATAGAGGCGGGTCCCTGGTGAAACCTCGCCTCCAAGCTGAAGACAGTTTAAAGCCTGAAAGCCAAGCTACAAATTAAATCCAAGGACTAGATTGAGAACCCGTCTTCCCATTTGGTGGCTTTCCTCTGATCCGCACGCTTCACCTATTTTACATATACCTACCCTTTCCTAATTGGTTTTCTATATTGCTGTGCTCACCTCTGAGTGGTGCCTTTAGTCTTTCTTTGCATACTCACAAACCAATCAGTATGTACTCCCCTATTCTGTGCCCATAAAAGCCCCAGATTCAGCCACACTGGGAAAGAAACCATCGGACTATGGGGTAGGGGACCATCCCCTGAGTCCCCTCTCCACTGAGACCTGTTCTGTCGCTCAGTGAAATTCTTCTCTGTCCATCCTTACCCTTCAACTGTCAGTATATTCTTGTTCTTCTTGGAAGCAGAATAAGAGCTCGGGAACCGCCAATGGCAGTACAAGCTGTAACACAGGTGGGCTGAGTGGGCAGGGTACCTCCAGCAGCAGGCCTGGGGCTGAGCAAGGCCCGGGTTGGGGCTAGTGGGGTGCTGCTGGCTGTGGAGGTCTCCAGTTGGCAAAGTGGCTGGGAAAAATCTTGTGTCACAATTATATACTGTAACAAATCCACTTCCAAATTTCACTAAAGTAAATAATAATTTTTAAAAACTCAGTAACCCAGAACAAAACTGCAGCTGCAACAATAAAAACTACTTATAATTAGTAAAAACAGGATTTCATCTTTATTTATTTTTTTGAGACAGGGTCTTACTCTGTTGTTCAGGCTGGAATGCAGTGGCATGATCATGGCTCACTACAGCCTTGAAATGCAGGGTTCAGGCAATCCTCCTACCTGAGCCTCCTGAGTAGCTGGGACTACAGGCATGTACCACTATGCCTAATTTTTAATTTTTATTGTAGAGACAAGGTCTCACTATGTTGCCCAGGCTAGTCTCAAACTCCCGGGCTCAGGTGATCCTCCCGCCTTGTCCTCCCAAAGTGCTGGAATTACAGGCATGAGCCACCACGCCCAGCCTAGGATTTCATCTTTAGATCTGAGGAACTGACACAGTGCTTCTCTTTAAATGCATTCCAGGTCACCTATACAGATAATCAGGATTGAGAAACATAATGCCAATGTTTTCTAAAGGGCTAATTCATTGCCTGGAGGAACTGACTATTCATAAGACACAGAATAATTGATTCAAGCTGGCTGCATTGGAATTCTGATTTATTCTTTTTTAGAAATTAAAAAAATGTCGAAGCATTAAGGGAGGAATATAGAGACGGTCACAGATGGGAAAGAATGCCAAGGAACAGAGAATGAGAAAGAGATAATAGCAAAAGCAACTAGATCAGTCTACTGCTTTATCAAAATTCGTGCAGTATGTTGTGGAAAAAAAAAAGGTTATATTTCCATTCTGCTTTAAAAAGAAAAAAAAAGCCATACAATTTATTTATTTATTTGGGTTTTTTGTTTCCTTGTTTTGCTTTGTGACAGGGTCTCGTTCTGTCACCCAGGCTGGAGTGTAGTGGTGTGATCATGATCTCCCAGGCTCAAGCAATCTTCCCGCCTCAGCCTCCTGAGTAGCTACGACTACAGGTAGGCACCACCATGCCAGCTAATTTTTTTATTTTTCATTTTTTTGCAGAGATGGGGTCTCACTATGTTGTCCAGGCTGGTCTCCAATTCCTGAACTCAAGCAATCTTCCTGACTTGGCTTTCCAAGTGTTGGGATTACAGGTATGAGTGACTGAGCCTGGCCTTGTTTACGTTAAAATTTAAAATTTGTATCTTCTAATAAAGGTAATATTCCATTTAAAAATTAATCATAAGGAAACAATAAACACTGTAAAGATATATTTATATATAAAGATGGGAGCAATATACCTGTCTCAGCAATAGAGAAATGTTCATATTTCATGGTATAAATATGTCATAATTACACAACCAATGGAAGTGTTTTCAAAGTATTTTTAATGAAAAATTCCCGTGGGATACAACTGAGTTTTTTAAAAGCTAGAAGGAAAACTATAATACAATGACAGCCTATCTATGACCAAAAAAACAACAAACAAACAAAAACCACTGCAAGAAAATGCACTAAATCTAAGCAATGGTTATCTCTGTGTTGTGAAACATACTTTTAAGTTTTCTATATAATGAGCATATATAACTAGTATTTTAAAAATTATTTTCCTGTTATATGAATATATTCTCAAAAGATTAAAATGTGAGCATTCTCGTTTTAAAAGACTCAAAGCTAAATCCTCATTTGCCTTTCCACCTCCTCTGCACCATCCCTACAACACCCTCCCCAGAGTGACCCCTGTAAAGCCCAGTGTGCATCCTTCTTGTCTTATTTCTTTGCTTTACATCTAGATATAGATCAATATGGATAACATTAAAAACATGTAGGGGATTATACTTTACTTAGTGTCTTATGCCTTGCTATTTTCAGAGAAATTTCCACATCTGCATATATAGTTAGGTCTACTTTGATTTCTTTTTTGTTGTTGTTGTTGTTGAGATGGAGTCTTGCTCTGTCGCCCAAGCTGGAGTGCAGTGGTGTGATCTCAGCTCACTGCAACCTCCACCTCCCGGGTTCAAGTGGTTCTCCTGCCTCAGCCTCCTGAGTAGCTGGGATTACAGGGGTATGCCACCACGCCTGACTAATTTTTGTATTTTTAGTAGAGATAGGGTTTCACGATGTTGGTCAGGTTGGTCTCAAACTCCTGACCTCATGATCCACAGTCTCCCACTGTTGCTCAGGCTGGAATGCACTAGTGCAATCATAGCTCATTGTAGCCTCAAAACTCCTGGGCTCAAGTGATCCTCCTGCTCCAGCCTCCCGAGTAGCTAGGACTACAGGTATGCACCATCATACCCGGCTAATTAAATTTTTTTTTTTTTTTGTAGAGACGAGTTCTCACTATGTTGCCCAGGCTGGTCTCAGACTCCTGGTCTCATGCGATCCTCCTGCCACAGTCTCCCAAAGTCCTGGGATAACAGGCGTGAACACCAAGCCTGGACTCATTCATTAAAAAAAAACAAAAACAAAAAACAAAAAACAAAACACTTCAATGTTTTAGAGCAGTTTTAGGTTCAAAGTACAACTGAATGAAAGGTATAGAGATTTCCCATAGGTGACCTAATTCCACATATGTACAGCCTCCTCTGCTATCAAAATCCCACGCAAGATGGTACATTTGCTACAATCAGTGAACCTACATTGACATCATTATCATCCAAAGTCCACTGTCTACATGAGTTCAAAGTCTTTTGTTCAGTGGTTGTGGGAAACAACTCTCCCTGCCCTCTGGATTCTAAACTACATAGCTACAACGAGGCAAACAGCCCAAATTACTGCTGGCATCCACCTTGTCATCATGAAGAAAGCCAACCTGAGGACATGAGCATCACACAAAAGGCAAAGCCAAGATAAATGCAGAGAAATGGAGTCAGAGTCTTAAATGATGTCTGAAGCATGCTCTACCATTTTCTTTTCTTTTTTTTTTTTTTTTTTTGAGACAGGGTCTCACTCTGTCACCCAGGCTAGAGTGCGGTGGCATGATTGTGGCTCACTGCAACCCCGACCTCCTAAGCTCAAGCAATCCTCCCACCTCAGCCTCCTGAGCAGCTGGGAAAACAAGTGTGCACCACCACACTGGGCTAATTTTTGTATTTTTCGTAGAGGCAGTGTTTTACCATGTTGACCAGGCTGGTCCTGAACCCCTGGAGTCAAGCAGTCTTCTTGCATTGGCCTCCCAAAGTGTTGGTATTACAGGCATGAGCCACTGTGCCTGGACCATACTCTACTTTTGAAAAATTTGAACTTAAATGAGTCGTTAAATCAATCTCCCCTCTTAAACCTGGATTTTCTGCCTTTAACACAGTAAATATTTTAACTGTTACAATGCATAAAGCTTTAATAATAATCTCTTTCATATAGTGCTGGCCAACTATGAAGGTTGTGAAAAATTTCGGGAGATATCAAATTTAAAACATCCTATTCCTCTATTTTGGGACATACAACAAAGTGTCCAAGAATAAGAGTGGCTGGAATGAAGTAATGCATGCCAGGAAAGCTCTTCATTCAATAAGCATTTATAAAGTACCTACTACATATACAGTTACAGTATTATTGGCTCAGATCTTTTCACAAAATATAGCTGGGTAATGAACAACTTAAGGTATTGCTTTGCATGTAGTGAGTACTGGATGTTTGTTGAATATTTTTGGATTAACTTATTTTTCATTATATGCTGTAAGACAGTAGTCATTAAAAGAAAACACTCTGTGAAGCTAGCAAGAATACAGCATATTCATGTTCCACTTAACCAGAGGGTTAAATTTCCAGCAATCCAACCCTGAGGAACACATTAAGAACCTGGAAATAAGAAATGTAGTCCAGAAATCCTAAATAATGGACATAAAGAGTATGAAAATCCCATCAAGTAAGAAACATAAAGGACAAGTGAAGCCACTTAATAAGTACATGCTGAGACACACATAAAATAATGCCTGCTAAAGATAGGACCACAATCAATTACAATGTGAAAAAACGAACTGTCAGGCAGAGTCAGAGCCTAACAAGTGACTAGTACCTCAACTAGATTTAATAAGACTAAAGTAATAAAAGTAGAAATAGGCTGTGCATAGTGGCTCACGCCTGTAATCCCAACACTTTGGGAGGCCAAGGTGGGAAGATCGGTTGAGGCCAGGAGTTTGAGACCAGCCTGGCCAGGAGAGCAAGACCCTATCTCTGACAAAAAAAAAAAAAAAAAAAAAAAAAAAAATTAAACATTAGCTGGGCATGGTGGCATGCACCTGTAGTCCTAGCTACTCAAGAGGGTGAGGAATGAGGATCACTTGAGCCACAAAGTCAAGGCTACAGTGAGCCATGATTGCACCACTACACTCCAGCCTGTGCAACAGAGTGAGGCCCTGGCTCTTTAAAAAAAAAAAAAAAAAAAAAAAAAAAGCAGAAAGTAGAAATGGAAATATGGATGAAAAAAAGCAGGCAGATTTTAAAAGGAACCATTTTTAACTTCTAGGAAGGATTAAAAATATTAAGAAGTAGTTAAGAGATATGAAAGATCCAACAGAAGCCTAACAGTGTCAGGACAATGAACTTGGTCGTGGCTACAGTCAAAGGCTTACGCAGAATCCAGTTAGAAACCATTCAGATATTTTGAGAGTCAAAGACATGCAAAATCCAACTGATGCCATGAAGGAAGTTACATATAAACTTATGAATGTTTACAGACTGTTTAGACCTGAGAAATGGGTTCTCCTATAACAAATTCAGAGATGAGGGCTAAGTTGCAGAGGCCACTAATTGTCTACCAATATCCATTCTTTCTTAGTAACAGGACCTCAGACAATAGGTCTAGCTAAAAATAAAAAACAAGAAACTGTATTTCCCCGCCTACTTCAAATCAGATGTAGCCATATGACTAAGTTTTGTCCAATGAAATGGGATCAGATGTTGGAAGCGGATGTGCCCTTTACCCTTCCCTCTCTCCTTCATGCTACCTCTGTAATAAGGACATGATGGAGAGTGCTTCAGGAGTCACAACAGAAGTCTGCTAGGGAGGGCACGTAATCTTTGTCTCTTTTTTAGTCTAGAGTTCTACCAGTCCACTGACTGCAAGTTCAGCTTCCTGTCCCTTATCCCAACCAAGGCCTGGAGAAAAGGAGAGAAAGAGAGAGGAGGTAAACGAGACAGGAAATACACTTAACAAGTATTGTTGTTAAAATGCCTCAGTGTTCTCTGGGCCTAGGATATATTTAAGCTAAATCCTTTTAGGCCACACTTCTGGGTTCTTTGTGGGTGTCCCTGCTGGACACTCCCCAGCTGCAATCCACATGATGTAGAAAACACATTCTATTTTTCTGGCTGCTACCCAACATTCCACCTCTCACCATCCGGCTTCTCTGTTTGCCCCCAATTTCCTCCCAGCCTGGGTTTTCAGAGATTCATAGTACACAGACTCTCCGTTAGGTTTCAATGCCCTTCTCTGGGACAGAATTTAACACAGTTCGAGGTGAGCTCTTGTTCTCTCACTTTTGTGTGTGGGTCACATGCAGTCCATGGAAATACTCATATACTCAACAAATTTCAGGCTTGCTGGCCAAGGTCCTAATTTTATGTATTATAAAAACTGAAAGAACCTCCCAACAGATCTACATAGATGCTAAAGATCAGCAAAATTATTTTCACATATGGAATTGCTTTTTTCCTATTTTTTTTCCAAGAGCATTGGGAAAGAATGGGCCTAAAAGTTAGCCTATTCAGTAGTCTCCATCATGTCACTCAAGTTGTCTAGGCTGAAAGTTTCTCATACTTGATTCAGTTTTACTTCTGGCATTTCTGAATACTTATGAGAATTAAGATTGTCCACCATTGAAATTTCTAATGAAAATATTGTTTAATTACTATTTTAAATGTTTTAATGTAATGTTATTCAGTTCCTTTAATTTTGTTTATTAGAAGGCATCGATCTAAAATAAAACAAATTATTTGCTAAGAAACACCAGTTAAGAGTTTAAACTACAATTTCTACTTAAATAGAATTAACTTAAAGATTTAAATTTCTATTTAGATCAGGTTAAAATAAACTTCCCATTAAATTTATAAAGTCTGAGAAATATTCAGTGATTAGAGTACCTGGCCATAAAGGCTTTTATCTTTTTAAGAGAATAATACTCTTACTTTTCTACTTCTGCCTCTTACAGTAGAATGGTTCAAGAGGACTTGGATTTCAAAAAATTAAAAGGGCAAAGTAATGCCTTCCCTTCCATGGGCTATATAGCTAAAGAAGAGCGAAGAAAGCAAGCGAACACATTCTAATGGCAAACTAGCTCAAGAGTTGTGAGCAACCCACCAAACAAAGATTGATGGTAAACCAAAGTGTTAGAGGTTATCTGAAAGGTGAATGCATATAACTTTAAAAAATAACAATTAATATAATTTAAAACTGAGATTGCTTTCTTTAGAATCTAAAGTTAAGCTATTTTTTTTCAAAATAAGTTATCATATACAAAAGTTATGGTTAAGTAAATATAAATACTGAGGAACCTGAACAAGGCCCTGTATCTGAATGTGATGAAATACAGGCCTGGATGTTTAAACCATGCCCTTGAGTCAAGTAAGAGCTAGACTTTAAATGAAAAAAAGCACCCTCCTAACAAGGTTATTTTTATGAAACTTCTAAGTATATAGCCTGGTGTGGTGGTGTGCACCTGTAGTCCCAGCCACTTAGGAGGCTAAGGAGCGCTTAAGGCCAGGAGTTCTAGGCTGTTGTGTGCTATGCTGATCAGGTGTCTACACTAAGTTTGGCACCAATATGGTGACCTCCTGGGAGTGGGGACCACTGGATTGCCTAAGCAGGGGTGAACCAGCCCTGGTAGGAAACGGAACAGGTAAAAACTCCCATGCTGATCAGTAGTGGGATCATGGCCATGAATAGCTACTGCATTCCAGCCTGGGAAACACAGCAAGACTCTATCTCTTAAAAAAAAAAAAAAAAAAAAAAAAAAAAAAATATATATATATATATATATATATATTATATTATATATATTATATATATAGCAGCCAGAGATGTTATGAATACTGAAATTTTAAAATTTATGAAATATCGATATGCTTTGGGGGCAGCAAAACAGCCCAAACAATTTGAAATTAAGGCTATTTCAGGAAAGTAAGAATATATATAACTTTGACACTCTGCCACTACCTGGTAGCAGCATCAAAATTGTAGGCCCAGTTTTTTGTAGAATAAATCTTTTCAAGGTTGTCTGATTTGGGGGGAGTATATTTTTGAAGAATGGCTGCCACAAACCTGTATCTCATATGAAACACTGAGGGGTGTTTGGGAATGGGAATTCTATAGCTGTAGGGTCAGCCTTCTCAGGTTCATCTACCAAATAGCTTCAACAGCAAAGGAGAATCATTGCTGGAGGAAGGTTTGGAAGCCCAGCCCAAAGCTACCTACCACAAAAGCAAAACAGACAATAAATATAAAAATAAATCTCTGGCCGGGCGCAGTGGCTGATACCTGTAATCCCAGCACTTTGGGAGGCCGAGGCAGGCGGATCACAAGGTCAGGAGATCGAAACCATCCTGGCTAACACGTTGAAACCCTGTCTCTACTAAAAATACAAAAAATTAGCCGGGTGTGGTGGCAGGCGCCTATAGTCCCAGCTACTTGGGAGGCTGAGGCAGGAGAATGGCGTGAACCCAGGAGGCGGAGCTTGCAGTGAGCCGAGATCGCACCACTGTACTCCAGCCTGGGCAACAGAGCGACAGTCTGCCTTAAAAAAAAAAAACTCTGATGTCTTAAGTTATACCACACAAATTCATATAAGCTTCAGAGTTGTAATATTATACTTTTCAGCATTATTTAAAATAACTTACCAGTAAAAAAATCTTAGTTTATTTACCTTATTCCCCCCACAATCTTTGAGTCGTTTAATTTCAACAATTATATATCTAATTCTGGATTATCCAGGTCAACAGAGAAGTAATAAGACAATTCGGTTTAGAAAAAGTGGCTTTTAAGTGCACAGAGATATAATTTGGCAGATCCTGTTAGTTGCCTCTCCAAAGCCAGCCCTTCTTCGTTAAGAGAACTACAATTTCTGTTCAGACTGAGGTGGTAATGTGCTCAGAGGATGGTCCCTTCCCAGAGCATGAATTTTTTTCACTTAGATCCTTTCAGTGTGAGCAAGGAATTCAGATCTGGCCAATAAGACATAAAAGAAAGCCTACTTGGGACAGGAGACATTCTGGGATACTTCTCCTGGATAAAGAGAGATGTCCAAGAAGACAGTTCATCTTTCTTTCTGCTTTGGTGTTGTCATGGTAGGACACAGTAGCTGCAGTAACTACTTGCATGTAAAAAGGAAAATCCAAAAAATGCCAAAAAAAAAGAAATCTAGTCCAGACCTCTGATATCAATGTGTGGTGGGATTAACCAATCCTGAAAGAAGCTACCTCCAAATTTGTTACATAAGATAATCAACTCCTATTATTTAAGCCAACTTTGATCTACTTTTCTGTTATTTGTGGCTAAAAATATCCTGATTCATGCATATAAAAGAGAAAAAAAATTATATAAAAATGTCCACAGTAATTAGTTTTGAATGATACCACAGACCATTTAATTTTCTTTATTCTTTTCATCTACAGTGAATAATTTTTTTTGGTATGGGGGGATAGGGTCGTGCTTTGTTGCCCAGACTGAAATATGTGGAACAATCATAGATCACTGTAGCCTCAATCTCTTGGGCTCAAGCCATCCTCCTACCTCAGCCTCCTGAGTAGCTGGGACTACAGGTGTGCGCCACAACACCTGATTTTTTTTTTTTTTTTTTTTTTTTTTTGAGATGGAGTCTTGCTCTGTTGCACAGGCTGAAGTGCAGTGGTGTGGTCTCGGCTCACTGCAACCTCTGCCTCCCGGGTTCAAGCGATTCTCCTGCTTCAGTCTCCTGAGTAGCTGGGATTACAGGCACACATCACCATGCCCAGCTAATTTTTGTATTTTTAGTAGAGACGGGGTTTCACCATGCTGGTCAGGCTGGTTTCGAACTCCTGACCTCGTGATCCACCCATCTCAGCCTCCCAAAGTGCCGGGATTACAGGCGTGAGCCACCACGCCTGGCTAATTTTTCTTATTTATTTATTTATTTATTTTGCAGAGATGAGGCTTGCTATCACGGTCAAGCTGGTCTCAAACTCCTGGACTTAAGCCATCCTCATCTTGGCCTCCCAGAGCACTGGATTACAGGATTGAGCCACTGTTCCTGGCCTTTTAGAATGGCTCTGTCCAGTTCAGACTTACTTAAAAAATGGAAATATCAGTATTTTAAAATAGAATATGTAGCTTTTGTGGTTTCTTTTTTTTTTTCTTTTCTTCTTCTTCTTCTTCTTTTTTTTTTTTTTTGAGACAGAGTCTCGCTCTGTCGCCCAGGCTGGAGTGCAGTGGCAGGATCTCGGCTCACTGCAAGCTCCGTCTCCTGGGTTCACGCCATTCTCCTACCTCAGCCTTCCGAGTAGCTAGGACTACAGGCGCCTGCAACCACGCCCAGCTAATTTTTTTGGTACTTTTAGTAGAGACGGGGTTTCACCGTGTTAGCCAGGATGGTCTCAGTCCCCTGACCTTGTGATCCACCCACCTAGGCCTCCCAAAGTGCTGGGATTACAGACGTGAGTCACCGCGCGCAGCCCGCTTTTGTGGTTTCAAAAGTTCTCACTTGCTAATGTCATGTTAGAGATACAAATTTAAAGTATGCTAAATCAGTGGAGAGAACAGATGTTTAATCTATAGACACTTATACATGCACTAAGAAAGTTGACTACTATACTGAAGTCCCTTATAAGAAGGGAGTTGTTAAGGATAAGGAATGTGGATTGGGCTCTTTCAGAGACTCCATACAGGTATATTTAATTAGCAAAGGAGTCAAAAAACACCAGTTGTTATCAACAGCACTTTGCACATGTTGGGATATGATTTGCCAACTGGTGAGACTATTCCAGGTATCAACATAGAATATATGTCAGCTCTGGGGAGAAAAAGTAGTCTAGGACAGTAAATAGTCTTATTTGCTAAAATGAACCCATAAACTTAGGCAGCATTTCTCCAAAGTGTATTCCATGGATCACCAATCCCTCATAAAAATGGGTTGAATGAGATTCACAATGCATGCTGGCATATTAAAGCTTTAGAAAAGTCAAACTAGTTTATCTTTGTCAACCCAGGATTGCTCAAATTCCTTTGATTATAGAACCCCCTTTTATGTAACACTTATCATATATCCATTCCACAGAATTACTTTGGGTAATGCTGAGCTCAGGCCCAGCAAAATATAATTCAGGTAAGCTAGTAGAAAAAAAAGTTAAAAATTCACATTTAATTATTTCTATACAATATGTATTTCTGAAGCTGAGTTCTAGAAAAAAAATCAAGATTACTAAAATAACTATTTAATGGAAACCACCTTTTCTGCTGTATGTGTAGACTGGGAGTCAAAGAAAAGGTATGGGCCAGGGAGTAAGACTACTGGACCCAGTACACAATAGCTGGGACAGAAACAAGGCTGTGATATATTGATTTATGCATTCACTCAAAATTCATCATGTTTCTGTATGTTTCAGTGTGTCTCAGAGACTGCATTCCACGTGGGAGATAGAAAACGATTAAGATATAGACCCTGCCTTCAAAGAAAGTCTGCCATAGAAAACAAGGCACATAAGGACTTCACTTGAGAAAAGATATATATAAAAGACAGTCACAGCACAAAAAAGTATTATACTCTGCTGAGGAGGAAGGGATTAAAAAACTTCCAAGCAAAAAGAACAAGGCACATACAACTATAATTGGTCCATTATAGATAAAGAAAAAGAAAAAAGCCAGGCACAGCATGTAAATGGCGGAAGTTAAATCTGAATCTAGGGAGTCTAGGTCTAGAGTCTACTCCCTTAAATCACTGCGCTATAGTGCCCTTCACCCTTCAATTCCCTTATGAGCTCCCACAGATCTTTCTAGCACCAACTTACACGTCTCCTTAACTATAAAGCCTTTTCGGAAGCAGAACTGACTTTCACCCTCTTTTGTACTATCATTATTTTTCAGCATTGCATATATCACACCATATTGCAATGATTTGTTGACATGGCCATCTCTTCATTAGAGTGAGAGGTTCTAGAGAACAGAAACTACCTAATTCATTCTTATGTCCCTCTCATCAATCACAATGCCTGCCATAGCAAGCATTCACTAAACATTTACAGAACTGAATAAACTTCAGTAGAGATGCCTATTTTTATTCAAAAACATTTCAAGTTATCTACACAGCCCAATAATTAACCTACTCTTGATGCACTCAGTTTTAGCTATAAAGAACTGTATATATTCACTTCTAAAAATTGGTAACAAAACAAAACAAATACTTAAGTTGTCCTAAGAATATCTGTTAGTGTCCTCCCTAAACCAATACACAATATCTAAAATTCAGCTTAGTATGGATTTCAAAATGTAATCCTTATCATAAGCCAATCCCTAAAAAATATGTCCCCAAACTACCTTCCAGTGGCAACAAGTGGGGTATAAACCAGAACTTGGATGAAGAACTAAGGAAGAGGTCAGCAGGGGAAGAAAACAAAATAAAGATTTTGATTTTCATAATTCTGACCCATTAACTTTAAATAAAACTCAGTCAAAAACCACTACATAGACTTGCTGCCATATTAATAAAATTCTCCAAATTAGTATAAGGTTTTTGTTAAGAATAACTTCATACCCTTTATTTCCTTTAATTTTCATTCACTTGTCAAATACTTGAATCTACCACATGCCAAAAACGGTGCTAGGTACTGATACAAGTTGACTAAGACATGGGGTTGAGTAAGCCAACAATTGTAGCATAGTCCAGCAGATTAGAGTTATGCTCGGGGTACCACAGCACCAGAGAAAAGGAATATGTAAGTCAGAACAGGAAGTGTGGAAGGGACGGACAGGGGTACAAATACAAAAATAAATTTTGGAAATTCTATTCTTTTTGGAAAAAGACTAAAAAATGTGCATTTCAAGTCAGTAGTGGTCAGTTACTTCCTGTATTGCCAGGTGACTCCAGGGGAATAGCAGGTTAAACATAACAGTTACAACATTGCTCTTTCCTGGCTGTGTGCACATCACAGTACCCCATGCTATGTCCACTAACACAAGCCAAAGTAAAATGGAGGAAGTCATTCCCTTGAAGTTGAATTGTTCTTTCATTCTTAAGACCAAGTTATTTGGGAAGGGCAAAGAAGAGAACCAGAAGATGATGGGAAGAACCTATCCTTACACATTTTTACCTGGCTTTTCCTTAGAAAAAATATTCAGAAAGACCACAAACACACTCACTCCTTTTCTCTTTCAAGTGTGTGTGTGCACACACCCACAAACACACATCCACACACACAGTGACTAAATCATTACCACACGGGGGAAAATGAACAAGTTCCAGCTAAAATTCTAGAAATAGCTATCAAGAAGAAAAAGTCATCTCTTGACTTTTAATAATTTCTATATATTCTTCAGCATACAGAGAAATGTCATTTCAGTTGGAAGTTTCTACAACATAATTAATCTTTATAATTATTATCTGTCGAGCCAAAATAGCTGCTTCACTATCATCCAAATACTAAAAAAATTTACATATATTTCAGGAGAACTAGCAGATTAGAACATGCACTACCACTTTCATCACTTCCACATAAAGCTTTTCTTGCCCATTAAAATTATTAATTTATGTTAAAAGTCTTCAGAAATGCATCTGTGTCACAGCTAGAGATGTTAGTTTAACAATTATTTTTCCAAGCCAATACAAAGATTTATTTCAGCTTTTCAGAAATAAATCACTACACCTCAAATTATTTTCAGCAAAATTCAACCACATATACAGAGAAGGAAAATTTTTTGCTTAATATCAGAATATAACAGCTATTTTCTAAGCTTACATATAATCTAATTGTTTTAAGCAATTAGGTAAGCAAAAGAATATAAAAACATTCTGACAGGAAAATTTCCAGCTTCCTCTGCTTGGTGTACATGTACACAACAAAATTCAACCAAACATAAAACACCCCATATTATGGCCTCCATTTGATTTCCAACCTTATTTTCCCATTACTATATAACAAAAAATTGCATATCTTTTCCAAGCTGGTCACCAACTATCCACTAAATGTAATCTGCTTTAAAGCTTTGTTTATCTGTGGTTACAAACAAGGATTATGGAGTAAGAATGCCTGGATTTGAATCTTGCTTCATCATTTACTAATACTGTCACCTTGGGCAAATTATTCAATCTCTTAGTGCCTCCATTTTCTCTTACATAAAATAGAGTTAGCAGCAATACGTACTTCATGCAAGTGTAAGAATCAAAGGATACAAAACATGCAAAAGCTCTTAAAACTGTACCTAAGTGCTCAATAAATATTCCTTCTGTTTTCCCTTGGGAATTTCCTCCATCCCTCTAAACCTACCCAATTTTCAGCTCAAAATAATCATTTCTAAGAAGTCTCCCATAGCTATATAAATGTATAAAAATCCTGCCATCCTTTAAACTTGTATAACAATTAGGACCCATAGCAAAGACAGTATTTGGCACTGAGTATACATTAAACATTACACAGTTAAATAACTTTTTCCAATAAGTTAATTAACTATATCAGGAATTCATTTTGCCTTACCAATTAAAGTGTAAATTCTCTGGATGTGAACCTCATATTCTATTATTTTTTTATTGCCCAAAAAACTTAGCACAGCACATGCACGGAGCAGCCACACAGAAAATAACCGCCAAAGTTAACACAGCCAATGAGCAGTTGCTGGTTTGTCTGCTATCTTAGAAGACGTTAAAGAGAAACGTTAATTATAACCATGAGGCTTATAGACTGTATTTAATAATAATCAACACATACAACCTAAAGGCAAGAGAAAAAAATGTTTCCTGATTTTTCAGCTTATAAGAATGTCTGTTCTCAAGGGACAAGAACATTCCTGCACATAATTGGAATCACTGGCAGAAGAGTGATGAAAAAAAAAAAATTAAAGAGTCTCCCCCAACCCCCATCTGGAAGTAATTAACAAGAAACTCAAGGGAAGTTAACATTATAATTTGGCAATATGTAGAATAAGCTGATCTTTACTATAACCTTAAGTTTGGAACCTAGTTCAATCCAACATGAACTGAGTGGCTTCTATCTTTATGTGAATCCCACCATCTCTTGAAGCATTTTTCATCTCTAATGCTCATTTAGGCAGTCTGGCATGTATTACTTTTCACTCATTTTACTCTTCCAAGTGTATATATCTCATCTTCAGCACAGGTTACAAGTTCCTTCTTATGAAGTCTGGACCCTGACCTCTACTTTTATGAACTACCTTCAGTATCTGGTAAAATGTTTTACACACAGTAGACCCTCAAATATTTGTTCTAACTAAATGAAAAAGCTTACGGTATTTATTCCTGAGTCAATACTGATTTAGCTGATCTGCGGCCACCATATACTGACTGCCTAAAGTACCAGGCATCTTACACATACCACTTAATCCTCACTACAACCGCCTTGAAGTAGGTGTAAGCTTTCTTTCACAAACTAGGAAACCAAGGCTTTAAAAGGCTTAAGATATTTTTCTAATATTGTACAGCTGGTCAAGAAGTGAAGCTGTGATTTCCATCCATGTCTGCTTTCTAACTACTACTCTTTCCATGAAGCCATATTGCTTCTCTAAAATGATAAGTGATCTTCAGAACAATGGCTGAGGGGCACAGGGTGATACTCTCATGACTTCTCAACATCCAGTGAAAGATTAAAGTAGGTTTAGGTCTGCGAAATGGCATTAGGGTCATTTTATTTGAGTTAAAAAAATAGTTATCTATAGCAAATGCCAAGGGCTATCAACCTTTTAGAAATGACGTATCAAAACCTTGCTCTTCATTTATTTCTGGACTGCTTAGAACAGGAGGTATAGGATCTACCTATGTGTTAGCCTCTGATGTGACTTCAACTTATGAGCAGGTGTGTCAGATTAAGCTTTGATCTCCGGTACGTGAGAGTGGGGAAAGAGGGCCATGTCACAAAATACACTGGATGCCAATTCTCTCATTCAGAATTAATAAACACTGACATTAAGCTCAATTTTTTAAAAGCTAGATTCACTGTACTAACAAGAATTCCTTGCTTACTTCTATTAAGATTTGGCAAGCTTCCCCACTTTCTAAGTAGAAATTATGTGAAATCCAGAAGTAAAGAAATAAAAACCGTATATTTGACCTTTTCCCTCAAATGCAAAGAATTTCTCTGAAGTCAACCAAGAAATGCTGAATCAGCCCCCATTATGCCTAGTTTTAGGAAGAAATGATTGTCTGGTAAGAAGGTAAGTACTTGAGGCTCAATAATTATTTGTTGAATAAATAAAACACAGTTCTTGTCCTCAAGTAACTTTGAGACTAGTTGAGATAAGATGGCAGATTTAACATAACTACATAGGTAATCACACTAAATGTAAATGGTCTAGACACCCTAATTAAAAGGCAGAAATTGTCAGATTATACAAAAAAAGCAAGTCCCAACTATATGTAAGAAGCTTACTCTAAATATGAAAATACAAAAAGATTAAAAGTAAACAGAAAAAGATATGCCATGCTACTATTAAAAAAAAAAAAAGATTTCCTATAGAAAGAGTTACTCAAAAGAAAGAGTTCCTATGTAACACCAGAACAAAGAATATTACCTGGAATAAATAAGTCATTTCATAATGATAAATACATCAAGGGCACATAATCCTTAATGTCTATGCATTCAATAAAAGAGCTTAATACCTATATGTTCATCAATAAACTGTTGTATATTCATACACTGAAATTCCACTCAGCAACAGAAATGAATGAATACATAAAGCAACATGGGTAAATCTTAAAATAATTTTATTGAGTAAAAGAAGCTGGGGGTGGGGGAAAGTACACACTACGGCATGATGCCATCTATATAAAATTCTAGGAAATACAAACTAATGAATAGTGGCAGAAAGCAAAGCAAGTTTCCTGGGGATAGGAGGAGGGGAGCAGTGTAGGGAAGGAAGAGAATGATTTTACAAAGGGGAATTAAAAAAACTTTTAGGGTTGATTGGTATGTTCAATTACCTTGATTGTGGTGATAGTTTCGTGGACACATACATATGCCAAAGGTTATAAAAGAATACACTTTAAATATGAGCAGGTTTTTGTATGTCATTTATTTCTCATTAGAGCTGCTTTTAAAAAACTAAGAAGATATACACACATAAAAAGTTTTTTTTAAAAAAAATCCTATGATATCCTCTAAGATGGCCTGAACGATCCCTCTTTGCACAGGCATACCTCGTTTTTATTGTGCTTTGCTTTACTGCACTTCAGATAGCGTGTTTTCTACAAATTAAGTTTGTGGCTACCTTGAGTCAAGCAAGTCTATTGGTGTCATTTTTCCAATGGCATGTGCTCACTTCTTGTCTCTGTGTAATTCTTGCATTAAACTTTTTCATTATTATTATATCTGTCACGGTGATCTGTGATCTTGATGTTACTATTGTAATTGTTTTGGGGTGTCACAAACCATGCCCACATAAGACAGTGAACTTAATATATGCTGTGTGTATTCTGACTGCTCCAGTGACTCACCGTTCCCCCATCTCTCACCCTCCCTTGGCCTTCCCTATTCCTTGAGACAAAACAATATTGAAATTAGGCCAATTAATAACCCTACAGTGGCCTCTAAGCATTCAAGTGAAAAAACGTCACACATCTCTCATTTTCAATCAAAAGCCAGAAATGATTAAGCTTAGTTAGGAAGATACAGTCAAAAGCCAAAACAGGCGGAAAGCTAGGCCTCTTGTGCCAAAGAGCCAAGTTGTGAGTGCAAGGGAAAAGTTCCTGAAAGAAATTAAAAGTGCTAATCTAGTAAACACGCAAATGATGAGAAAGCAAAACAGCCGTATTGCTGAGATAGAGAAAGTTTTAGTGGTCTGGGTAGAGGATCGAGCCAACCACAACGTTCCCTTAAGCCAAAGCCTAATCCAGAGCAAAACCTCAACTCTCTTCAATTCTCTGTAGGCTGAGAGGTGAGGAAGCTGCACAGAAAAAGTTGGAAGCTAGAAGAGGTTGACTCATAAAGTTTAAGGAAAGAGGCCATCTCCATAATGTAAAAGTGCAAGACGAGGTTTCAAGTACTATGAAGTGAAGCAAGTTATCCAGAAGACCTAGCCAAGCTACACTAAACAAAAAATTTTCAGGGTAGACAAAACAGCCTTCTGTTGGAAAAAGATGCCATCTAGGACTTTCATAGCTAGAGAGGAGAAGTCCATGCCTGACTTTAAAGTTTCAAAGGCCAGGGTGACACTTGACACTCTTATTAGAGGCTAATGCAGCTGGTGACTTTAGTTGAAGCCAATGCTCAATGAAAACCCTAGGGCCCTTAAGAATTATTCTAAATCTACTCTGCCTGTGCCCTATAAGTGGAATAACAAAGCTCAGATGACAGCATATCGATTTACAGCATGGTTTACTGGGTATTTCAAGCCAACCGTTGAGACTTGCTGCTCAGAAAAAAGATTTCTTTCAAAATATTACTGCCCAATGACAATGTACCTAGTCACCCAAGAACTCTGAGGAAGATATACAAGGAGATTAACGTTTTCATGCCTAATAACACAATATCCATTCTGCAGCCTGTGGATCAAGGAGTAATTTCAACTTTCAAGTTTTATTATTTAAGAAAAACTTTCAGTAAGGCTATAACTGCCACAGTGACTCCTCTGACGGATCTGAGCAAAGTAAATTGAAAACCTTCTGGGAAGGATTCACCATTCTAGATGCCATTAAGAATATCTGTGGCCAGGCATGGTGGCTCCCGCCTGTAATCCCAGCACTTTGGGAGGCTGAGGTGGGCAGATCACTTAAGTCAAAAGTTCAAGGCCAGCCTGGCCAACATCGTGAAACCCTGTCTCTACTAAAAATACAAAAGTTAGCCAGGCGTGATGGTGCCTGCCCATAATCTCAGCTACTCAGGAGGCTGAGACCAGAGAATCACCTGAACCCGGGAGGCGGAGGTTGCAGTGAGCTAGGATCGCGCCACTGCACTCCAGCCTGGATGACAGAGTGAGACTCCATCTCAAAAAACAAAACAAAACAGAACATTTGTGATTAAGGGGAGGAGGTCAAAACATCAACATTAATAATAATTTGGAAGAAGTTGATTCCAGCCCCCATGTATGACTTTGAGGGGTTCAAGACTGCAGTGGAAGAAGTAACTGATGTGGTGGAAATGGCAAGAATAAGAATGAGAAGGAGAAGCAGAGAATAAAGATGTGACTGAATTGCTGCAATCTTATGGTAATACTTAAATGGATGAGAAATTGCTTCTTTTTTTGAGATGGAGTCCGGCTGTGTTACCCAGGCTGGAGCGCAGTGGTGTGATCTCAGCTCACTGCAACCTCCGCCTCCTAGGTTCAAGTGATTCTCCTGTCTCAGCCTCCTGAGTAGCTGGGATTCCAGGCGTATGCCACCACGTCCGGCTGATCTTTGTATTTTAAGTAGAGACAGGGTTTCACGATGTTGGCTAGGCTGGTCTTGAACTCCTATCCTCAAGTGATCCGCCTGCCTCAGCCTCCCGAAGTGCTGGGATTACAGGACTGAGCCACCGAGCCTGGTCCTAGGAATTGCTTCTTATAGATGAGCAAAGAAAGTGGTTTCTTGAGATGGAATCTATTCCTCATGCAGACGCTGTGAACATTGTTGAAATGGCAACAAAGGATTTAGAATATTCCTGAAACTTAATTGACAAAGTAGAGGCAGGGTTTGAGAGGACTGACTCTAATTTTCAAAGTTCTGTTGTGGGTAAAATGCTATCAAACAGCATCACATGCTACAGAGAAATCTTTTGTGAAATCAATCAATGGAGCAAACTTCACGGTTGTCTTATTTTTAAAAAACGACTATAGCCATCTACCCTTCAGCAACCATCACCCTGATCAGTCAGCAGCCATCAAGATCAAGGCAATACCCTCCACCTGCAAAAAGATTACAACTCACAGAAGGCTCAGATGCTCATCAGCATTTTTTAGCAATAAAGTATTTTTAAATTAATGTACATTAGTTTTTAAAAACATGTTATCACATATTTAATAGATTACAGTATAGTATAAATATAACTTTTAGGTGCACTGAGAAACCAAAAAGTTTCTGTCCTCACTTTATTGCATTATTCCCTTTATTGTGGTGGTATGGAACTGAACCTGCAATATCTGAGGTATGCCTGTATTTATGCTCATGTGTAATCTCCTCTCTTGAGTGTAAACTAAATTTAATGACTTGTTTCTAGGGAATAAAATGTGGCTGAGGTGATGGGATGTTGTTTCCTAGATTAAGATACAAAAAAACTACTGCTTCTGTCTTGGACTCTCACACATGAGCTTGCTTTGAGAGAAGCCAGCTGCCATACTGTGAGCTGTACTACGGAGAAAACCATGTGGTAAGGAGCTGAGGGAGGCCTTGGGCCAAAAGCCATCATAGAACTGAGATCTGCAGCCCAAGACCCTGCAAGGAACTAAATCCAATAACCACATGATTGGATTTGGAAGCAGATCCTCTCCCAGATAAACCTTCAGATGAGAATATGGCCCTGGCCAACAGTTTGACTATACCTCACATAAGGCCTTGAGCCAGATGTACCCAACTAAGCCATGCTGGGATTCACGAGTCACAAGAACTGTGAGATAGTAATGTCTATTTCTTAAAGTCACCCTGTTTTGGTATTTCTTAAAGTCACCCTGTTTTGGAGTACATATTTTTGTTACATAGCAATGGATAACTAATACAAAATCTAAATCACACTTTTTTTTTAAAGGCTACAAAACAGTAGTATTCATTTAGAATACACATTCGGCCACAAATAACAATATTTAACTAAAACTGGATTAAATAAGGCTAGTACAGTATCTCATGATGCCACCAGAGACCCAAGATCTTTTTTCCAGGCTCTGTCATTCTTTGAGAATGTGATATGGACATGAATGAACAGAACTTTCATCCTTATGCTTTTTATCTCAGTAATGCATATCACAGAAAAGAGGAGAAAGAAGCTTTGCCTTTTTCAGGAAAGTGAAAACTTTCCCAGGAAAGTCAAAGCTAGTCTTCTACTTACATCTCATTTATCAGACCTGCTTCCCATTGCCACCATTAGTTGCCAGGGAGTCTGGAAAGATGAGTATTTTTTAGTAAGACACACTATCCTTTAACAAAGTGTTTTGTTAGTGAAGAAGAGGAGGACAATGTTGACTAGCTAGGCAACCAGCAGTACATGCCAAAGCAATATATTTTACTTGTGATAAAAAATATTACAGGAGGTTAGAGAAGGGTAAGAATATTTTAAGCAATGAGAGCTTGAGGAGGTTTCTGAGAGGAGAGATGTTTAGAATTTGGCTAAATAGAGAGGAGAGAAAAGGGAATTCTCAAAAAGGATAAAAGCAAGAACAAAAAAACATGAAGACAGGGAAGTTCAGTAAGGCCCATAAGTAAATTACCTTGTATAAAGTTTCTAAATTCATAACTAAGATTTTAAAAATTTGCTGAGTGATGAATATGCACGTTGTTTCCTAGCAGGAAAGAAAAATACAGCATCACGTTTAAGAGAAGAGATATGGGCAAAGAATATAATAAAAATTTATTCAAGGAAGATATACAAATGGCCAAGAAGCACATGAAAAGATGCTCAACATCACCAGTCATCAGAGAAATGGAAGCCAAAACCACAATGAGATACCACTTCATACCCACAAGGATGGCTAGAATCAAAAATTCAAATAGGTTTTGGGAGGATGTGGAGAAATGAGTGCCCTAACACACTGTTATCAGAACTATAAAATGGCGCAGTTGCTCTGGCAAACAGTCTGGCAGTTCTTCACATAATTAAACACAGAGTTACCATATGACCTAGAAGTTCTACTCCTAGGTATACACCCAAGAGAAATGAAAACATATGTCCACACAAAAACTTGTACATCAAAGTTTAGAGCAGCATTATTCAGAATAGTCAAAAAGTGGAAAAAACTCACATGCCCATCAACAGATGAATGGATACATGAGATGTGGTGTATTTGTGAATGGATAAATTAGATGTGGTATATGTGTACAACAGAGTATTATTTGGCCATAAAAAGTAATGAAGTACTGAAACATACTACAACATAGATGAACTTTGAAAATACTATGACAAGGGAAAGAAGTCAGTCATGAAAGACTACATATTATATGATTCCATTCATATAGAATGTCCAGAACAGGGAAATCTACAGTGACAGAAAGTAGATTAGTGGTTGCCTAGATCTGTGTGGGAGGAGTGGGCTGAGAAGATTCAGAATAATAGCTAAAGAGTAGAGCGTTTCTGTTTGAGGTAATGAAAATGTTCTAAAATTGACTGTAGTGATGACTGTACATCTATCAATGAACATATTAAAAACTATTACATCATACACTTTAAATGGGTGAATTATATGGTATATAAACTATATCTCAGCAAGGCTGTTGAAAAAAAAGAGAGATAAGGTGAGCACTTTTAGAATATCTGCCCAGCCACCGCTCTTTTGAGACTTCCATTCCACCCAACTCTGGCAGCCAAGGGGAGAGGCGGGGAGAGTAAGAAGGGGAGAATGGAAAGACAGGCTACCTGTTTTGAGAAGCGGTGATTAAGAATGAGGACCCTGGAGTCAAAATACCTGAGACGGAATCCCAATTCCACACTTACTGTGAGACCTTGGACAAGCTCTTAATCTCTCTGTGTCTCAGTTTCTTCATCTATAAAACAAATATAATACTAACCTCATAATACTGTGGGGATTAAATGAGATAATATATTTAGGACCATGGTTCACTGCCAGGCACAAGTGCTCAATAAATACCAGTTATTATTCTTACATGTTTTCCCATTCCTATTTCTAGTTCCTTAAAACAAACCCACTAGTGTGAGTAATGTCCTAGTACTTGTAACCAATAACACTCTAAATATATAACTTCAAAGAAAATGTGGAACAACTTGAGAGTCAGGGTTCAGTGAGGACTCCCCCATCTGCAGTGAGATTAGTGAAGCCGTTGGTTAAATTATAAAGACTTGTCTCTGAACTACAGATTCATATATTTAATTGTCTACTTGATATTTCCACTTCTTTGTCTAACAGTCACTTCAAACTTAACATGGTCAAAGCTGAATTTCTGATTTTCCTTTAGGAAACTGCTCCTCTTGCAGTCTTCCCTATCTTAGTTGAATTTTTAAAAAATTCATCCACAACTGCTGTGGTAGGTTAAATAATGTCCCCCAAAGATAGGAGGTCCCAATCCTTGGAACCTGTGAATGGCACCTTATGTGGCAAAGACTTTGCAGATGGGATTCAAGATCTTGAGATGAGATTACTGATCTCAAGGATTACTATGACAGATCCTAAATGCAATCACATGTATCCTTATTAAAGGGAAATTTGACACATACAGCAGAGCAGAAAGCAATGTGACCAAGAGGCAGAAATTAGAGTGATGCAGCAACAAGTCAAAGAATGCTGGCAGCCCACAGAAATTGAAAGAGGCAAGGAAGATTATCCCAGAGAGCCTCTGGAGGAGCAACAGCTGTGCCAACACTTTGATTTTGGCCTAGTAACACTGATTTTTAACTTCTGGCCTCCAGAGCTGTGAGAATAAATTTTTGCATTTGCAGCCACCAAGTTTGCACTAATTTACTATGGCAGCCATAAAAAACTAATACAATTCCTTTCTTGACCTCACACTCTACATCCATTCCATAAGGAAATCCTACTGGCTCTAATTTCAAACTACGTCCAGAATCCAACAATTTTTTCACAAATCCACTGCCACTGCTTTGGTTTAAACCATCATTACCGTGGCCAGGCACAATGGCTCACACCAGTAATCCCAGAACTTTGCGAGGCTGAGATGGGAGGACTGCTTGAGCCCAGGAGTTGAAGGCTGCAGTGAGCTATGATTGTGCCCCTGCACTCCAGCCTGGGTGACAGAGCAAGACCCCATCTCTTAAAAAGAAAAAAAAAAAGATCCTCTCTTTTCTGAGGCCTTCTCTTTCCTTTTTCTTAAATAAAAAATATAAAATAAATAAAAAAACCACTGTAACTTTACAGTTGGATTATTCCAATAACCTATCTGATCTCCCTGCTTTCAACCTTTGTTAACTAATGGATCCCAAGTGCCTAGAACAGTATCTAACACACAACAGATAGTGGTATTCAATAAATTTGTTGTTATTTTGACTCCATGTCCTGTGTTCCTTTCTAGAGTTTTTTCTCTTATTTTATGAGTTATCTATCATGGGAGCAAGGGTGCTGCTCAGCATCTGAACCCTGCTTCTGTTTTGGGGAACTGTTTGTGCCAACAGGAAGCAGCTAACTCCTACTACAAAATCTAGAAACCCCAATTATTTACTTCGCCAGCTCTCCTGGCAACTAGAGTGTGGACACGTGACCCAGGCTTAGCCAATGACACATACCTTCCAGAATTGTCACTGGTAGCTTGGATAGTTTTTTTTTTTTTTTTGGTGGCAACAACATCTGGTTCTTCAGTCAGGGACAGGAGTGCCAGTGGAACTATCTTCCAAGGTCAGCAATGTCAGGCCTCATTCTATTTTTTATTTCTGTAAGTTTGACTACTCTAGATACCTCATATATGTGGAATCATAGAGTATTTGTCTTTTTATGACTGGCTTTTCACTTAGCATATTGCCCTCAAGGTTCATCCATTTTGTAGCATTCGTCAGAATTTCATTCCTTGTGGTGGGATGAGCCTGCAATCCTAGCTACTCAGGAGGCTAAGGCTGGAGAATTGCTTATGCCCAGGAGTTTGAGGCTGCAGTGAGCTATGACTGTGCCACTGCACTTCAGCCTGGGCAACAGGGTGAGACTCTATCTCTAAATAAATAAATAAAAGGAATTCCATTCCTTTTTAAGGCTGAATAATATTCCACTTTCACATTTTGTTTATTCATTCATTGAAAGTCATTTGGGTTGCTTCTACCTTTCAGCTACTGTAATGCTGCTATGAATGTGGGTGTACAAATAGCTCTTCAAGACCCTGCTTTCAAGTCTTGGATATGTACCAAAAATGGATTTTTTTTTTTTTTCTTAAACAGGGTCTGACTCTGTGGCCTAACCTGCAGTGCAGTGGCACGAATACAGCTCACTGCAACCTCAAACTCTTAGGCTCACGCGATCCTCCCACCTCAGCCTCTCGAATAGCCGGGACCACAGGAGCCTGCCACTATCCCCAGCTACTTTTACCATTTTTTTGTAGAGATGGAGTCTTGCCATGTTGCCAGGCTGGTCTTGAATTCCTAGGCTCAAGTGATCCTCCCACCTCAGGCCCCCCAAGTAGCTGAGACCACAGATGCACACCACAGAATTGTTGAATCATAGGGTAATTCTATTTATAACTCTTTGAGGAGCCACCATACTGTTTTCCACAGCAGCTGCACCATTTCACATTCCCATCAACAGTGCACAAGAGCTCCAATTTCTCCAAATCCTTGCTAACACTTATTATTCTCTTTTGAAAAAAATTTATTATTATTATTTTGTAATAAATCTTGCTGTGTTGCCCAGGCTGGCCGTGAACTCCTGGGCTCAAGTGATCCTCCCACTTCGACCTCCCAAAGTATTGGGATAACAGGCATAAGCCACCACACCTGGCCTTCTCTGTGTTTTTGATAGTAGCCATCCTAGTGAGTGTGCAGATACCTCAATATGGGTCCTCATTTGTTAACCATGCAATTACAATAGCCGCATAGCTGATTTCTCTGATCCTAGGCTCCATTTCCCTCAACCTGCTCTTCATACTGTCTTCAGAAAGGCATTTATCATCATGTAACTTCTCTGGTAAAAATTTCCATTGGCTTTCCATCCCTCTTAGGTAGGTCCGAACTCCTGATCATGCCACAGAGGAACCTATAAGACATGGCCTCTACCTATCTCTTCACCAATCCTTCTCTAGCCTCTTCCTTTTCTCCCACTGTCCTCCTACAACTGACTGAAAGCTCTCTGAGGGCATGTATTTCCAAAATCCAGCACATCTTCTGTTACTCAAAAAACATGCAAAAACATTTTTTGAATGATGAATAAAACAATAAAATAAGGCCGGGTGCAATGGCTCATGCCTGTAATCCTAGCACTTTGGGAGGCCGAGGCGGGTGGATCACCTGAGGTCGGGAGTTCGAGACCAGCCTGGCTAAAGCGGCAAAACCCTGTCTCTACCAAAAATACAAAAATTAGCCAGGTGTGGTGGCGGGCGCTTGTAATCCCAGCTACTTGGGAGGCTGAGGCAGGAGAATTGCTTGAACTCTGGAGACAGAGGTTGCAGTGAACTGAGTTTGTGCCTCTGCACTCCAGCCTGGGTGACAAGAGCGAAACTCCATCTCAAAAAAAAAAAAAAGAACTATCCCCAGGTGACAGAAATGAAAAAACAAAGAGCAACAACAGAAAAGTAACTAGGGGCTAGGAGTCTAACATGCACACCAGGAAAACAGGTGTGAAGGGTCATGAGACAAGGAGAGCTAGAACTGAGCTCCAGCATATAGCTCAAAGTACCAGCAAACTCCATGGAAAATAACAAGGAGCTTACCTCCATCTTGCACTTCATGTGGGGGTGGGGGAAAGTCACCTATAGGAAAACAAATCTCTCAATCCATGCCATGTATAGACATGCATACTAAATTTTATGCAGTACTCATCCTGTATAAAACATGAGGCGGTGGAACTGTAAGCCAAGAAATTAATATAAAAATTGGTCCATAACTACTAAAGTACCCAGAGACTAAAAAAAACAAGCCTAAACCACTATTTCACAGAGCATCTGTGGCTCCCACAGACTAAACATCACCAATTGAATGTGAGCTCATAAATAAAAACTAAAAAACATACAGGTTAAAAAAATACTACAAATGGTAGTAGCCAGCAGATACACAGATCAAATTAATAGCCCTCCCCAAATTTGACATATTTAAGTAATCTGAAAATATAAGTTAAGTATGTGTATTAGGCTGTTCTCACATGGCTATAAATACCTGAGACTGGGTAATTTATAAAGAAAAGAGGTTTAATTGGTTCATGCTTCTGCAGGCTCTACTTGGAAGCATGGTGGCTTCTGCTTCTGGGGAGGCCTCAGGGATCCTTTACTCAGGGCGAGCAGGCATTTTACATGGCAGAAGCAGGACTGAAAGCGGGGGAGGTGCTACACACTTAAACAGCCAGATCTCATGAGAACTCACTCACTATCACAAGAACAGCACTGAGGGAATGGTGCCAAACCATTCATGAGAAACCGCCCCCAAGATCCAATCACTTGCCATCAGGCCCCACCTCCAACACTGGGGATTACAATTTGACATGAGGTTTGGGAGTGGACACAGATCCAAGCCATATCAGTATGTTTAAAGTTATAAAAGAGATGAAAGCAATAGAAGCCATAATGAAATAGAACAGTATAGGAAAAACAGGATAGGCAGAACTGAAAAAGGACCAAATAGAATTTCTAGAGATAAAATCTAATTATTAAAATAAAGACTTAATGAACAGCTAAGTAGCAGATTAGAAATAGTTATGGAAAGAACTGTAAGTGAAAGAGAGCTGAGAAAATTAACTGCAATGAATCACAGACATGGAAAGACATGGAAAAAATAAAGAGTTCTTAAACAACATAGACGATAGAATGAGGATACAAATAGGAATCCCAGAAGGAAAGAACAGAGCTATTAGGGAACAGGAAACAGCTTAAGTAATACCACCTTAGAATTTTCTTTTTTTTTTCTTTTTTTTTGAGTCTTGCTCTGTTGCCCAGCCTGGAGTGCAGTGGCGCGATCTTGGCTCACTGCAAGCTCCACCTCCCGGGTTCATGCCATTCTCCTGCCCCAGCCTCCCCAGTAGCTGGGACTACAGGCACCCACCACCACGCCCGGCTATTTTTTTTGTATTTTTAGTGGACAGGGTTTCACCGTGTTAGCCAGGATGGTCTTGATCTCCTGACCTCGTGATCTGCCCGCCTCAGCCTCCCAAAGTGCTGGGATTACAGGCGTGAGCCACTGCGCCCAGCCAGAATTTTCTATAATAGGAGACTTTAATTATTTCATGGAAGCAGCAGCCAGGGTCCTAAAGAAGAGGAAATAAAAACATGCAAACTCGGATTCATGATAAAACATCAAAACATAACATCAAAGACTGAAGGAAATCTTAAAAGCAAACAGAAGAGAGATTACTAAGGAAAACAAGACAATCAGAATGATAGCAAAACATCTCATTAGCAACATATGCCACAAGACAATGAAGTAATATTTTCAAAATGCTGAGGAAAAATAACTAAGAATTCTATATTCGGGAAGCAATGATAAATTAGACATTTTCAAACAAAGATTGAGAGTTTACCACTCTTAAACTCTGGCTGAACAAATTACTAAAGGATGTCCTTCAGTACGGATTCCTTCTTGAAGTGTTTTTAAATCCATAAAGTGCACAGGGTTACAGGCCGGTCGCAGTGGCTCACCCACCAGCACTTTGGGAAGCTGAGGTAGGTGGATCACTTGAGTTCAGGAGTTCAAGACCAGCCTGGGCAACATGGCAATACCCTGTCTCTACAAAAAAGTGCAAAAATTAGCAGAGTTTGGTGGTGTGCCTATAATCCCAGCTACTCAGGAGGCTGAGGCGGGAGGATGGCTTGGGCCTGGGAGGTCGAGGCTGCAGTGAGCCATGTTTGCGACACTACACTCCAGACTGGGTGACAAAGCAAGACCCTGGGTACTTTAGTAGTTATATATACATGTGTATATATATGTGTATATATGTATATATGTGTATATATGAATATATGTGTATATATGTGTATATGTATATGTGTGTATATATGTGTATATACATATACACACAAAGCAAGACCCTGTCTCACACACACACAAAAATATTTATAGTATTTATTTATTTATTTATTTATATAAAAATATTTATATATTTTTGTGTATATATGTGTGTATTTTTATGTGTATATATATATACACACACACACACACACACACATACAGAAAAGAAGTAAATTATACTAAAATACAGTTACTTTGGACATGTATGTACAAAAAATTGAATTTAGACACACACTTTACACCTTTCCCAAAAATTAACTCAAAATGGATAATAAATCTAAGTGTAAAATGCAAAACTACAAAACTCCTAGAAGGTAACATAGGAGAAAATCTACATGCCCCTGGATTTGGCCACGACTATTTAGTTACAACACCAAAAGAATGTCCCAGGAAAGAAAAAAATTGACCAGTTGGACTTCATTAAAATTGAAAACTGCTCTGTGAAAGATGCTGTTGAGATAATGAAAAGATAAGTCACAGACTCAGAGGAAATCTTTGAAAAACACATATTTGATAAAGAACTGGTGTCCAAAATATACAAAGAACTCTTAAAACTCAATAACGAGAAAACAAAAACCCAATTGAAAAATGGGCAAAAGATCTAAACACCTCCTTTTACATAGATGACAAATAAGCATAAAAAAAGATGTTCCAGGGCTGGGTGTGGTGGCTCATGCCTGTAATCCCAGCACTTTGGGAGGCCAAGGTGGGTGGATCACCTGAGGTCAGGAGTTCAAGACCAGCTTGGCCATCATGGTGAAACCCCGTCTCTACTAAAAATACAAAATTAGTTGGGTGTGGTGGTGTGCACCTGTAACCCCAGCTACTTGGAAGGCTGAGGCAGGAGAATCACTTGAACCAGGGAGGCAGAAGTTACAGTGAGCTGAGATCGCACCATTGCACTCCAGCCTGGTCAAAAAAAGTGAAACTCCGTCTCACAAAAAAAAAAAAAAAAAAAAAAAGATCTTCCAAATCATATGTCATTAGAGAATGGCAATTTAAAACAACAATGAGATACCACTACACATCTATTAGAATGGCTAAAATACAAGACACTGACAACACCAAATCCTGGCAGTGATGTGAACCAATAGTAACTCTTACCCACTGTAGTTGGGAATGCAAAAACAGATACTTTGGCAGTTTCCTAGAAAGTAAACATAAACTTACCATACAATCCAGCAATCACGCTCCTTGGTACTAAATGTGTTGAAAATTTATGTGTACACAAAACCTACACATGAATGCTTATGGCAGCTTTATTTGTAACTGCCCAAACTTGGATGTGACCCAGATGTTCCTCAATAGCTCAATGGATAAACAAACTGTGGTATATTCATATAACGAAATATTATTCAGCAATAAAAAGAAATGAGCCATCAAGCCATTAATAGACATGGAGAAACCTCAAATGCATTTTGTTAAGGGAAGGAAGCCAATCTGAAAAGGTTACATACTGTATGATTCCAACTATATGGAAAAGGTAAAACTATAGAGACAGTAAAAAGATCAGTGGTTGCTACGGTTTCGGGAGAAGAGAGGGATGAACAAGTAGGAAACAGCGGATTTTTAGGGCAGTGAAACTATTCTGTACAATACTATAATTGTGGATACACGTCATCATGCATTTGTCAAAACTCACATAATGTATAACACCAAGACTGAACCCTAATGTAAGCTACGGAATTTAGTTAGTAATAAATCAATATTGACTCAATTGTGACAAACATATTACACTAGTATAGGATGTCAATAACAGGGAAAATTGTGTGCGTGGTGAGGGAGAAAGGGCACGTTTGGGAACTCTCTGTACTTTTCCATCAATATTTTTCTGTAAGTCTAAAACTGCTTCCAAAAAACCATCTATTGATAAAGAGAAAATTAAAAAACAATAAAAACAGCAACAACAAAAACAATATCTTGACATATGGGAAGATGAAAATTAAAACGTTCTAAGTTCCTCATATTGTTTAGGAGAAACAGATGTTAATTATCTTTAGACTTTCAGTCAAATAATGCATATCAAAAATTCAAAAGAAACTGCTAAACAAAAAGAGGATGAAGTAAAACAACTCTCCGTTATAAAGCAACTCTATTCTTTTTAACTGTGGCAGCTTACCTGAGATTCCAGAACCTCCAACTTATGTTTCCTTGCATGAAGAGCTTTACTTGGAAAAGCCCAATAATAATTAGAAGTTCCGATCCTCTCACAGTCAACCATACCATCATCAACTAAGCTTTGAAGGACTTCTTTTACTGACATAGCAGCTAAGAGACAATTTTTAAAGACTCTATGTTAGAAAAACACCATAAATAAAATTAAAGGACAAATAACTGGGGAAACACTTGCAAAACATATCACAAATCAAGAGTTAAAAAGTTAATAAGCTCTTAAAAATAACAACATGCACAACAATGAAACTGCCTAAGGAAACATTTCTTAGAATGTATCCCCATCCTTAAGCAAAGCATGACTTATACAGGAGCCTAGGGGAAAACAAGTAATATACAGGATTAAGAACAGGACCTGAGTTCTAATCCTAACTCTTAGCAGTAACACTGGATGACTCTAGGGCAAATTGTTCTTTATGCCTAATTTAAAAAATCTATTAGATATGATCATTTCCATACTTACTTTGGTGCATAGCAGTAATGTCAATAAAATGTTACTTGTGAGAAGCCTTTGAAAAAGCAAAACAAAACTACAGAAATGCAAGTTTTTCTCTCCCAATAGATTATCTAGTAATAGAAGATGCTAGCATCAGTGCTTAGTAAATAATTTTAATGGTGTTAACACTCATAGTCTGTTGCTATATGGTATCTTTTCCTTTTCTAAATAATGTTTCTTTTTTAAAAAAGATGTTGGGTAATTTGGCCATCATCTTATACTGCAGAAAAAAATTGTCAATAACTGGGAGGGAAAATAGGTAAGAAGAAAAGGAATTTAGTTAATACAATAAATTTTTCCATCTTGTAGACTGGATTGAATTTTGTTTTTTGTTTTTGATCCTTCAAGATACAGTTGAGATTCCATTACCTACAATTTGTCTGGGGACATTAGGACACTGGTGTAATTAATATTGTATAGTTGACCCTTGAACAGTACAGGTTTGAACTGCATGGGTCCAGTTATATACATGGATTTTCTGCCACCTGAGACAGCAACACCACTTCCTCCTCCTCCTCAGCCTACTCAATGTAAGATGACAAGGATGAAGAACTTTATGATGATCCACTGCCACTTAATGAATAGTAAATACATGGTATGGCTTCCTGTCAACAGCAGGCTATCAGTAGTTAAGTTTTGGGGGAGTCAAAAATTACATGCAGATTTCCAATTGTGTGGGGGATTGGTATCCCAATCTTGAACAACATAGGTGTTGTTCCAGGGTCAACTGTGTATTTAAACTTAAGAAATTTGCATATCTTTAAGAAGTAGCAGAACCAATTGTTCACTGATGACTGTAAAGAGAATAATTGTGTGGTGTACATAAAAGTGTGAGGGACTCTCAGTGGTTGTCTGGTTTCACTTGTATGTATACTCATAATAAAAGAGGTTTTTTCATTTTGAAACAACACAACAAAAGACACACAAAAAATACATCAATGTGCATCTATAAAATATGCATGGTGGCTCATGCCTGTAATCCCAGCACTTTGGGAGGCCAAGGCAGGTAGATCACTTGAGGTCAGCGGTTTGACAACAGCCTGGCCAACATGGCAAATCCCCATCTCTACTAAAAATACAAAAATTAGGTGGGCATGGTGGCAGGAGCTTGTAATCCCAGCTACTCATGAGGCTGAGGCAGGAGAATCGCTTGAACCCGGGAGACAGAGGTTGCAGTGTGCCAGGACTGCACCACTGGGCTCCAGCCTGGACCACTGGGCTCCAGCCTGGGTGACAGAGTAGACTCTGTCTCAAATAAATAAATAAACAAATAAATAAATAAATAAAATAAAATATGCATGGCCAATATATGAGAAAAATGTTCAACCCCATTAATAACTGAAGAAATCGAAAATAAAGCAATTAGACATGACTTGACTACCAAATTAAAAACACTAAAAAATACAATAAAGAATTCAAGGATACTTGAATGGGTACTCTCAGTATGGGTGGAGAAACGTGGCAATCTGTATCTAAAACTTCAGATTTATACATATCTTTTTTTTTTTTTTTTTTTTTTTTGAGACTGAGTTTCACTCTGTCACCCAGGCTGGAGTGCAGTGGCGCGATCTCGGCTCACTGCAAGCTCTGCCTCCTGGGTTCACGCCATTCTCCTGCCTCAGCCTCCTGAGTAGCTGGGACTATAGACGCCTGCCACCACGCCCGGCTAAGATTTTTTTGTATTTTTAGTAGAGACGGGGTTTTAGTAGGCAGGATGGTCTTGATCTCCTGACCTCATGATCCAACTGCCTTGGCCTCCCAAAGTGCTGGGATTATAGGCGTGAGCCACCACGCCCAGCCCAATTTATACATATCTTTCCTGGGGAAATTCCACCTTATAAATACAGCCAAACAAAAAATAATAGATATGTAGAAGGATGCCTGTCAACACATTGTTTTCGACAGCAAAAGAATTGGAAACCAGTCTAATAACTGGATTTTTATTTTAAAGACAGGATTTTGCTATGTTGCCTAGCTGGGCTGAAGTGATCCTCCCGCTTCAGCCTCCAGAGTGGCTGGGACTACAAGTGTGTGTGCGCTACCAGCCAGCTTATCAACTAGATTTTTAAAAGTATTTTTTTATTGCAATGGGATACTATACAATCATTTATGTTATAAAAGGATATTTAATGACAGGGATATATATTCAAAATGTAATATACAGGATGTATTATACAGAAAAATAAAGGACAACATGACAGTGGTTATCTTTGGATGGTGATGATTTCTTTGTCTCTAGAAATTTAGGTTTTCCATAAAGTGAAAGACTGTTGCAGAAAAGATGACTTAATGAATATTAAGATATTTCCCAAAACATCCCAGTATATTTCCCAAAACATTCCAGTATAACTTTGGTACTTACTAATGCCTTTCTCTTTGGGAGCAATCTTCTCCAAGTCTTTTAATTGAAATACATCTTTCTGTTTAAAGGGTTTTAAAGAAAATGAAAAGCACGTGTTTATTTTCTACTATGTATATTTTCATTTTTAAAAATTTTTATTATGGGTACATAATAGTTGTATACATTTACAGGGTATGTGTGATATTTTGATATAGGTATACAATGTGTTATGATGAAATTGTGGTAATTAGGGTATCCATCTCTTCAAACACTTATCATTTCTTTGTGTTAGGAACATTCCAATTTCACTCTTAGTATTTTTAAATATACAATATATTATTAACTATAGTCACCCTATCGTGTTCTACTACATATTTATATATACATCATAATTTTATGTTCATGAAAAATTGTATTTAAAAAATTGGCCTGGAAATGAACAGTATAATAGAATCAAGCATTTTAGAGCTTATTAGAAACTCTTTGATTATCTCATTCCATACCTTCAATAGAACTTAAGAGATTTTTGCATACATTTACAATTTGCATATATATACAATTTTTTTTTTGAGACATGGTTTCACTCTATGGCCCAGATGGGAGTACAGTGGCACGATCATGGCTCACTGCAGCCTTGACCTCCAGGGCTCAAACAATCATCCCACTTCAGCCTCCTGAGTAGCTGGGACTACAGACATGCACCACCATGCCTGGCTAATTTTTAAAAATTTTTTTAGAGAGAGGGTCTCACCATTTTGCCCAGGCTGGTCTTGAACTTCTGGACTCAAGCAATCCTCCCGTCTCAGCCTCCCAAAGTGCTAGGATTACAGAGATGAGCCACCATGCTTGGCCAGCAGCATACAATTATTTAAAGTTCTTGGAGATCAGAACATAAAGAACAATCTTCCCACTTAAGTATAAAAACTAGTTATAGGCCAGTCATGGTGTCTCCTGTCTATAATCCCACCACTTTGGGAGGACTGCTTGAGCTCAAGAGCTGGAGACTGGCCTGGGTAACACAGTGAGACCACTCTTGCACCACATCTCCACAAAATCAAAAAAATTAGCTGGGTGTGGTAGTGCGTGCCTGTAGTCCTAGATACATGGGAGGCTGAGATGGGAGAATAGCTTGAGCCTGGGAGGTTGAGGCTGCAGTAAGCTATGACTGTGCCACTATACTCCAGCCTGGGCAAGAGTATAGAGTAAGACTGTGTCTCAAAAAACAAAACAAAACAAAACAAAAACAATAACAAAAAACCACCATCCTAGTTATGCTGGATCACTTGGTAACAGGAACGAATTACCTTTTCTGACACTTTAAGAAAACACAGACAGTGCTTTGCTTAACATGTATGACACTGTACAGATTTAGCAGTTCTAACTAAAAGCGAAACAGGCAACTGTCAAAATTTGTTTACATTTAAGGTTTCATGGAAGAGCTATACCTAAACAATAGGGAAATTATACATTTCATGGCTACCTATCAATCATTCACATATACATGTTGCATGTCTACCACATGCAAAGCAAAACATTAAGGGAAAATATGCGTGTAGAATATTTAAATCTTATGGCCAGAAAAAAAAAACCTGTCTAGAATATTATTTTCTACTGCTAATAAGCCTTGGTTGAAGTGGTGAAAAGAACTTGCATAACAAAAGTTAAATCACTTGAAGAAACTAAAGTATGTAGTAATTAGAAAAGAAATACTGTGGCTGGACATGGTGGCTCACGCCTGTAATCCCAGCACTTTGGGAGGCTGAGGCGGGTGGATCATTTGAGCTCAGGAGTTCTAGACCAGCATGGCCAACATGGCAAAACTCTGTTTCTACTAAAAATACAAAAATTAGCTGGACGTTATGGTGGGCACCAGTAATCCCAGCTACTCGAGAGACTGAGGCACGAGAATCGCTTGAACCTGGGAGGTGGAGGCTGCAGTGAGCCAAGATCACACCACTGCACTCCAGCCTGGGCAACAGACAAAACAAAACAATAAGAACAAAAAAACCTAGAAATATTTTGATTATTGTTATGAAAAAATTGGGATACAGTTCTTCCAAAAAAAACTTGAAAAGGCAATTGCAATTAGATAGAAATTATACTTCATAAAAATTTATACTCATCCAAGGGCACTATAAAGAAAATGAAACGACAAATACCAACTAGATTAAAATAATCGCAAAACATATGCCTGAAAAAGGCGTGCTACCCAGGATATACGTATATAAAGAACTCCTTTGAAGTACATAAAAAAGAGTTGATGGAGAGATAAGTGGATAGATGAATATATATATATATATATATATATATATATATATATATATATATGTGATAAAGTCAGTAGAATAAAATGTGAATGGTAGAATCTAGGTGGTAGGCATATGGGTATTCACTGAAAAACTCATCTTTGCTGTATGTTTGAAAATTTTCATAATAAAATGTTGAAAAAATTTCATCTCACTACACCTAAGAGTTCGCAAATTTAGGAAAATATTAAGTCATTGAACTTAGTGCGAGTATGAGATCAATTTTTGCTCATCGAGGAATAAATTATTTAAACATAATACTTTAGAATCTCAGGGAACATGTAATAAATTACTGACTTTAAGTCTTTAATGCATTAGAAAAAACAGTTAATCAAACCTCTTTGCAAATACTTTAAATTCCCTAGAAAAAGAACATGAACCACTGAGATATCTGCCTAAATGCAGGCACCAAGGAAGAGCTCCAGATGTACTGGCTGCCCCAGTGGGGCTGCTGCATAAATAAACAGGCTTGGAAAGAAGTAGCCTCAGAACTCAAGTGCGGTCATTGAAGTGGACAGAGCAAATGATCTCAAGTAAATCTTAGTTCTTAGACTCCCCAGCATTAAGCAGAGAGAATCAAGGAGGGATGAAGAAAGTGTAAAAAGAACTATGTGTAAGGTACCATGGAAGACATATAATCCTAGATAATATCGTTGTGTTTTTTTTTTTTTTTTTTTTTTAAGATAGGGTCTCACTCTGTTACCTGGGCTAGAGTGCCTGAGTGACAGAGTGTGATCATGGCTCACTACAACCTCAAACTCTTGGGCTCAACAGATCCTCCTGCCTTGGCCTCCCAAAATGTTGGAATTACAGGTGTGAGCCGTGGCACCTGGCCCTAGATAACATTTAATAAAGCACTTACGACCTGGGCATTGTTTAATCATATTATCTTATTTAATCCCCATACCAACACTGTGAACTGGGTACTATTATCATCTTCTTTAAGAGATGAAGAAACAGACATAGAGAGGTCAAGTAACTTGCTTAAAGGTCACGAAGCTATTGAGTGAAACAGGTTCCAGATGCAAGCTTTCAGTTATTGAGCTATACTGTTCTCATGTTCTTCCTAAGTGCAACGGGCAAATAATTTATTACATTAGCAGCTCCAAAACCCACACACACACACGCACATATATATCCATCCATACATGATCATGTCTATGTCTCTTTTTCTCCATTTACATATTTATATTAAATTATCTGGGCATAAGCATGGCCATTCCAGAGATCTGTGTGCCAATGGAAAGCTACTCATTTAAGTGTTTGCTGAAGTAATTTTTTAAAAAGCTCAACACATTTATTGGTGGCCTATTTTGTGCCTCAAACAGTCCCTGAAGGTTCCTACCCTCTCTATGAGTTGTCATTATTACCAATGACTGTGTTTTTAAAAGGTTTCCAAAACCTCACAGACAGCCCACTTATGATTAGAGGCAATATAGTATATGCTGCTTCATTAGTTGATTTTCTAATTTGATTTAAAATTTGTTCACTATAGGTAACAAAGAAAAGAGTGTAAAACAAAATCCCCCTGTATCTTACCATTGTTAATATTTGTCATCATGTCTTGTTTTTTATATTCTACATTTTCTACTTAACATTAAATTATAAGCATTTTCCCATGACATTTGTCTTGAAAAGGGGGCTACTATTGACATCTATAGAAAATCAAATTCTGTAACAAATCCTGAGTAGCCATATTTGATTTTGTTGGAATTTTTACTTGCCAATTGCAACAACGAAATTAGAATCCAAATTCCTGAATCTGAATTCCAGAATCCATGCTTTTCACTTTGCACCATTATTGGCGATTTGCTTTGAGATGTTGAAGCAAATCTAATATTCATCAACTTTTGACATCAGTCTGGATCCCGGATATACCATATTCCATTCATGAAAGAACAAATGAAATGGCCTCCATTACTTTTCCCAAATCTCTTATACTTTTCAATTCCGTCAAAAAACTGATAGACTAAATGAGCAGCAACTGATTAGGCTATAATGAAAAAAAGAAACAGGAATATATGAAATAAATCAATCAGTACAATTAATTCCCAGCTTTATGGAAAACCTCACTAATTACTGAACTTCCTTAAACTGCTGATCCTCAGAGTCTTTCATGTTTTGATGTTACTAAGGACAAGGTTTAAAATTTTTCAGTTAGAAACAGCCAATTTTTATATTTGAGATAATAATATTGTAAATGACAAAATAATTTCCCCAACCACTCTCCTCAGCTTTCTACTGTCTTGAAGGAATTAAACTTACTTTTCTTGCTGAGACCATAGGAAAAATATTTCAACTCAGCAGAAGAATTGCTATAATTTTCACATAGAGACTTCACCAATTTATCTTTGTAACCATATCATCATCATAATATGACACCCTGTTCTGAATTGCCAATGACTTTTAAGAACAATAAGATTATACTTAGTGGGCAAATCCCGTGTATTTTGTTTGTTTTTTTTTTTTTTTTTTACTAAGAATCTGCCTTAAAGTGAAAAGGGATTTTATCAATTTAATATTCAATTCTACCACTTTTCCCCATCTTCTTCACATTTGTATATGATGAAAATAGCCAGTAGACTGGGGCCAACTAGGCTTTGTAGGTCCTGCCAAGCCATATGAAGTCGGTGTTCTTTTAGGTCAAAGATTTATGTGGCCTTTAACCTGAAGACATAGAAAAGCCTTCCAGTAACAGTGTAAAGCCATGAGACAGTAGGCTGTAGAGCCAGGTACCTGGGTTTGAACTCTGGCTCTTCACTTAGGAGATGAAACTTTAAACATATTTCCTGTTGATGGCAGGCACAAATATCTGGAATAAATGAAGGCCTCTGTACCATCGACTGTGTGTTACACTATAGACAGACTTAAAATGCAAAGACATAGTATTTGGTACTCCCTCTGAAATCAAATGATCCTCCCTGGTTTGAATCCTGGAACTATGGCTTCTATTGTTTGAGATCCAAGACTGGTTGGCACCTAGGCAGCACTCAGGAGATGTGGGCTTTCATCATTATTATTTTTCAGGCAGAAAGAGGAGATAATCAAATATATGCATCAGAAGATTCTGGTGCCAGTATGCAGGACTGCTTGGGTGAAAGAGACTCTACCAACAGTGGGATATGGTTTTTCACACTCCATAACTCACAGGAACCACAAATATTTGCAGAATCTTACCCATTCTTCAAGAAATTGATCAGTATTGATGTTTAACAAAGAGGGGACAGTTAACATTGGATGACATATACTTAAGATGAAAATTACACAAAATTATAAGTGTTAAAGAAAATGACTTACTGTTTCAGAAAATATTTCCATCATGCGAGTTCTCTTTTCTTCTGCACTCAGTCCTTTTTTCTTTGACTAAAGCAAAAAAATTAACAAGTAAACAATGCTTTTAAACACATTTTGAAAACAACTGGATTTGCAACATTTGAAATTTTATGCATGGTCTTATCTGATGCCAACAGGTTTGATACTCTCAAAGTCAGACCTAAAGACTCATTTTAATTACTATCTGCCAACCACTGTGGTAGGTGCTGCCAAGATGGTAACTGTAAATTGAGGCAGAGCCTGGCATTTTGTAGAAATTCAGCATTTATAAAGTAAACCAATGATAAGCCACTGTATTGACCTTCCAAAGGCTTACAATCTCTCAGAGAAAATATATAGATGCAACTATTTATAGCTAATGAACAGCTACATGCACCAATTGTTACATAAATACCCAGAACACAATGAATTCCACTATGCAGAGGAAGAAGGGTTACCTAAGGACAGAGATTAAAAGGATTTTGGCAAATTGAGAAATGGTTAGAAGCACATCTTGGGGAGACCACACACAGGCACAATGTTATGGAAGTACATGGAATTCCCCAGAAGGATAAGCAGTGGGGGACAGTTATTGTATGAAGTATGTAGGGGGATTGGCAGATGGGATGAGAAAGGTGTGGGGTCAGGTTATGGAAAGCTGACTGTCCAGCTGACAGTGGACTTCATTCTAGACAATGAGGAGCTGCTGAGTAATTTCTAAAGCAGACTAGTGACAAGATTAGAGTTGCATTTTCGTTAAGTTAATTATAGCAGCAATGTGGAAGAGAAGATGGAAGGGGGAAAGGCCTATCCAAGTAGAAAATGGAAGCCCACTCAGGTTATTCTTCTGTAATACCCTTTAGCCAACTTGAAATTAAGACAATATGTAGCTGAAATATATGTTAATAATAAATTTTACAATATATTGTACATAGAATATATAAAGCTAAATCCTAAGTTAAAAGAGAAAGGAGCCAAATTTCCTCCAAACCAAAGGTTTACAGAAAAAAAAAAAAAAAAGAGTGAGAACTATCACCTCCAGTTCTCTAATAAAAAAACTCCACACTAATATTTCTTATGTGATCTGCATCTTTCTCAAAAATTGTAGGGGATTATAAAGGAATATAAATTGTTTGCTTAAAAAGCAGACATAAAACAACAGTTAAAGACTGCCCCATCCAACCAAAAACATCATCAGAAAACGTGAGTTTACATAAGTGAAGACAAGGATTTGGAATTGCCATTCTGGCTACATACTGGAGTGAGTGAGTCTTAATTCTTGTAAAACCTAGAAACCCACTAACTTGGCTGGGCGGTGGCTCACACCTGTAATCCCAGCACTTTGGGAGGCTGAGGCTGGAGGATCACTTGAGGCTGGGAGTTTGAGACCAGCCTGGGCAACAAAGCAAGACACTGTCTCAAAACAAAACAAAACAAAGCCCACACACACAAAAAAAAACAACAACCCACTAACTCATTCCCACAGGAATAAAATGATCAGGTGTTTCTTGATGAGTAATATGGGTAAATAAATAGCTTAAAGTTTATATTTTTCTCTTCTTCCTCGGTCCACTTTCAAACACTGTTTTTCTGCTGGGTTTGGCTACTGATCCCATCTCCTAATATCTTATCTTTGATCTCATTTGCTTTCATGGTTTTAATTAACACTTATGCTGAGACCTCAAATCTTTACATTCACCCCTGGGTGTGCTCCTGAGCTTCAGTGTCATGCATCTACCCGCCTGCTGGACAAACTTCAACTCCGTCAGTCTAAACTGAACTCTTCCTCTCTCATACCTACTCCCCACAAACTTGCTGTTCTAGACCTTGAGTCTCAGATACTATCTCGTGACCCAAGCCAGAGGCCTGACAGTCATCCTAGGTACCTTCACCTCCTTATCTCACATCCAACCAATCACCAAGTTCTGCCAGTTTCAGCATTTAATTATTTCTCTTATCTGTCCTGTCTGTTCTATCTCTACTACCACTGCCTCATTCAGGCCTTCATCATCTATCTCCTGCAATATACCTCCAGTCCCCTAACCACACTTTGACTCACCCTCTATGTTCACATTCCGCACTGGGAAAACATAAATAAGACCTTTTTCCCTGCCTTGCTCAAAACCCTCCAGTGGCTCCCAGACATCCAGACGTTTCTGAGTACCCCAGTATGATATACAAGGCCCTTTATCACCTAACCCCAACCTACCTTTTATAGCCTCTTCCACCACACCCCACCTCAAACTTTGCCATTAACAGTATGGAGACCTAAGCAACTTGTAATACAAAAACTGCCTGTAATTATCTACTCGAAGAATGCTCTCATTTCCATCCTTAAAAAAAATGTTCCTCCACCTAGAACATCCTCACTTCTTGCCTAGTCAAAACTCCAAAACATCTCCCAAGGCTTAGTTTAGGCACTCTCCCTCCAGAACTTCCCTGAGTTCACAGGCTAAGCATGTATTCCCAGAACACACCTTCATCAAATCACTCACTACATTGAAAAGATGTTTACTTGTCCGTATCAGCACACTGAAAAACTTCTTCAGAACATGAACTGCCTTTGCCTTTCCAGGGCTTAGTGCCAAGTTAGACAAGGGAGACATAAAGCTCTTAATTTTAGGACCATGTATCTAAAGCCCCCAACTCTAAAATTTGAGGCTGCTCAGGCTCCTAAGCCCCCCAACACCTACCATACTCCCATAGATATAACAGGTGAATTAATCATAGTGAATTCAGTGACATCATGTATTGCCTGGCTTGAAGAGACAAATCAGAGAAATCTCAGTTAGGCAAACTCCAGGAACCCATACAGATCTGCTCACTAAACCTAGGGCTGAGAGCTAGGGTCCAGGACTGCTCTATTTGCCTCCCTTCATTCTCACCTCTGCAGTATCTGACAAATCAAGCATGAAATTCATAACAGTTAGAAGACTCCTTCAACATATTTTTCTAGTCCAATAGGTCCTAAACTGCCATACATTAGAATCACCTCAGGAGTTTTTAAAAAATACCGATGCCCAGGCTCATCTCTAATGAATGGAATCAAAATCTCTGGAATGGGACCTGGGCAACATATTTTTTAAATCCTCCAACTTATTTTAAAAATCCTCTCCAACATATTTTTTAATTGTGCCCCAGGGTTGAGAACCCTACTTTTGTCAGCCCAGAATCTGAAGGCCATGTCAAGGGCGCTGCGGGGCAATGGGAATCCCTTTAGAATTTCAGTGTGTCGCTGCACTAGCAGAAAGCAGATCCTGAAGTGTTAGGAAAGACTCCTAACATTTTGATATTCGAAACAGCTCCTTGCACTCCACAAGAATCTGCCCCCCAGAGGCAGGCAATGAGGAGAATCTAGCGTCCTGGGGTACCCAGTTTTAGGAAAGCTCTCAACACTCAGCTCAGCAGCTATGAAAGTTACTCAAGAAATGTGGATGAGCTGTATCATCCATTTACCTTGTTTTCAGGCTGATTTATTCATCAGTCTCTTTCATGACTAGAAATAATTTCTATTATTAACCACAGTAGGAGTATCATAGCCAGAATTAAAATAACTAATGTAAAAAGATGCCATATTAATACTCATATTTAGAAACTTCTCAAAAAAATCAATGAGGATTTATCTAATATTTAATTAAGACTAGGAAAAACCTGATAGTATAAGTTAGAGATGCATTCAAATTAGTAAGTCAGGAGACTCAAAACCTGACTCAAGGACTATGAAGCTTTCTGGAAGTATTTTAAACCACTTAAAAAATCATGTTATCTGAGGAACCTTCTCAGTTAGAAGTTATGGAATTCCTACAGCCAGCCCTACTAATCAATTACGATAAAATTATGAAGAATTATTAAGTAGACATCACTGCTGCTCTCAGAGTTCAGCACTGCACTTCTCCAATTTCAAAAATTGCCTGAACTCATTAACTATTTACTTAGGATGCCTAACCAAATGAAAACAGCTATTAATTCATAATCAATCAAAAGTTTACCTTTGACCAACACTAAATTTATTTCTCGATCACATATTAAAAAATAGGAAGTCCACATCTTATCAAAAGCTTTAATTTTTTAAAAGGATTCTCTATTATCGGAGGTAAGCTTCTAAAGAGTTAACACATTTAGTATTAGCAGGTGATTCATGTGTAGAGAGATAGATTAGGTAAAAGGACAACGCGCGTTTGAGCTGCACAGTTCTCCAAGTCAGTTATACGAGGCCAGCAACTCTGCAGAGAAAAATTGTAACACAGAAGGGCACTGCTAACAGATTTGTTTTAACTGTAGTCCTGTTTGGCTCCTTAGAGCACTTCACGCCCAGGTGGCTGGGTTGTTAGTTTAACCACAAAGAAGCCGTTATCATTTATAACTACATCTGGACAAATATCTTCAAATAAATACCATACAACTGGATCCTGGTGTCCCACCCTGCCCCCCTTAGCTCGGCAACATTTAACGGCCACGTAAGTAAATGAAGATATTAAAATCTTAGATCCATTTAACCAGATGTTGATTCTTCGCCAACTGAAGCAGAAAAAACGGCATGAAACTTTGAAGGTTTATGAAAATGATTTGATGAGCAGAAAGACGTTAAGCTCACAAAGCCGATCTTACCAGGACTTAACTGATCATGACCCACGAGGAAGCCTAATTCAGTGCAGAGCGTCCTTAAAAAAGCAACAGCGCCCTACACAACCAGCAGCACCCGGCACAAGAGCAGCGACTCCTGCCCTTTGGCAGAAACCGGGGCGTTTTCACAGAAATCGACTAATTGGCACACAGTGAAGATCCATTAGGTAACTCGAAACTGAGCAGTTCTGGAATGTGCTCTACATATTACAATACAGAAAACCACTCAATGGTGACAAACCAGGAGTGCGCTTTGGGATCAAGACGTTCGCTCCCCGCAGTCCCTCCCGCCCACTTGCGCTTTCTCTCCCCGTTCTTAATGGGGGGGGCTACACCACGCGGGGCCGAAGCTGGAGGCGTAGGGAGCCCAGGTTCTCAAGGGCCCCGTGGTCTTTTAGATAAATCCAGGTTGGTGAAGTTCTCGGGTCACGTTCGCGAACGCTTCCCGCGTTCTAACCTAACCCGCCCGAACGGGCCCTGGGGACAGACGCGGGGTGCAGCCGGCGGGGAGGCCGCGGATGCCCCCGCGCCTCGGGACTCCGGACAGGAGCGGCGGGGAACGCCGCAGAGTGCGGAGTGGCTGCGGCGGGGCCGGGCTGGGCCCCTACACGGTGAGGCCGAGAGCCGGGCGACCGCTCCCGCGGCCCGGAATGGCGGTCAACGCCAGGCCGGGATCCACATGCAGCCGAGGGGCGGCGAAGCCCACACACTAGGGAGGAAGAAGACGCGGGACCGTAGCCTCAGTCCTTACCATGGCGCGGGCGCAGGGGCTTCCGCTGGCCGGGCCCGCGCTTGGGGAGAGGGGCGGGACAGGCCAGGACGCGTTTGATTTTGGCGCCGACTACGCCGCGGGGGCGGAGCAGCGAGACGGTGGAGGTGGGGGAAAGAGGCCGGTCCTCGCCCGCGCGGCGCGCAGCGACCCCTAGCGACCCATCCGAGCCGCCGGCGGGGGAAGGGGCGCGGGCCTGGGGCCGGGGCTGTGGGGAGCGTGTCCGCGTCTCAGTGGACGGGTTGCAGAGCTGCCTCCGTCTCCTCGGTATTCTGTGAATGTGACCTTTTTTTTTTTTAAGGACATCTTGCCTTTGCTTTTACTGCGTTTTCTTGGCGCCGCAGAAATATGGCCTAAGTTTGGATGTAAAAAATAGAGGCGTTTAGGCTGTTGAGGAAGGAAACGCTGCCTCCATCCTTCCGGACTTGTCCTGTCTGGGGCGGACTGGATTCCTTTCTCGTCTTCTAATCTGACCCCTCATCTTCTCCCGAGCCGCTACCCACTGCTTTCCAGCTTTTCAAATCCTGTGTATGTCTGTTTGTTTTTCCCTTAGGTTTTAAAAAAGAAGGAAACAACGGAATGAATTTCAAATCAACATGGTCAAAAATACGCTACTTCATGGCTTGAGAATAGATCCAGATTCATAGCAAAAGCTCAGGCCCCTGAAAGTGCTGAAAAATTTTAACTCAGAATTCAATTATTTTGAAAATTATTCTATGGTGTTTTGAACCATTTTTAGGTGTAAGAAGTACGGTTGGGCGCTGTGGCTCACACCTGTAATCCCAGCAATTTGGGAGGCCGAGGCGGGCAAATCACTTGAGGTAGGGAGTTTGAGACCAGCCTGGCCAACATGGTGAAATCCCATCTCTAATAAAAATACAAAAATTAGCCAGGCGTGGTGGCGGACGCCTGTACAATCCCAGCTACTCGGGAGGCTGAGGCAGGAGAATCGCTTGGACCCAGGAGGCAGAGGTTGCAGTGAGCCAAGACCCCGCCACTGCACTCCAGCCTGGGCGACAGAGTGAGACTCTGTAACACACACACACGCACGCACACACACACACACACACACACACAGTGTAGTAAGTCTTGTAGATGCTATAAGAGTAGCATCTAAAGTTGGAATTTATGTCCCCTGTTGCTTCTGCTGGAGGCAGAGGAAGGGGTACATTGAATTGCAGAGTTCCATTAATTTGGTTTTTCCTGTAAGAGTTATACCATGTAACTGATGGTACATAAGGTAATTTTAAAATGATAAATGAGTACATTAAGTAACTACAGTAGTGGTATATACATTTGTGCTACTTGGGGAAAGCCTTGTCTTAATTGGCTCTCAGGCTTGTTGCAGGTGAGTGGTGACTATCTGAGGCCAGTGGCGCTGTGGCAGAAAAATTTACCAAGGCAGTTGTAAGTAAAGAAAGGCAGAATCATTAGAGAAAGCATGAAAATACGTTGCAAGGGAGCAATGGGCAGAATCAGCAGAAAAGGAGCTGACTGCAAGGAAACAAAGGCTTGCTGGGGATTTTATAGAATAGTGCTTATGCTGTATACGGAAGAGGGCTTTGTGCAGTACTGATGTTACAGTCCCAAGTTTTCCTCCGCCCCTGCCTCTAAAGCGACACAGTGCAAAAGCCTGCCCTGGGACAGTAACAAATTGACCCAAACAGGTCTTCTTTTGGGAAAAATGAGTGCTAAATGGATATAAAAAAGGGTCACTTAAGCTGCATCTGTATCCTAAGTGTCACTGAGAGCTGCTGTGACAGTTCTCTGAGGTTCCTGTTGTGCATTGCAGTCTTGATCAACCAGACCTGGGAATCACCGCCACCTAGGAAAGAAGACACATTCTACTGCCTCTGGTTCCTTTGCATTTTCAGTACAAATACCTTAAACTTCAGATAACCTTCTGATGCCCCTTCCTTGACATTCTGAAAAGCATGACCTATAGGAGCAGCTTATTTATTTATTTAGAGTTGGGGTTTCGCTCTTTTGCCCAGCCTGGAGTGAAGTGGCATGATTTTGGCTCACTGCAACCTCCAACCCCTAGGTTCAAGCGATTCTCTTGCCTCAGCCTCCTGAGTAGCTGGGATTATAGGCGCCCACCACCACCCCCGGCTAATCTTTGTATTTTTAGTAGAGATGGGGTTTTACCATGTTGGCCAGGCTGGTCTCGATCTCCCAGTCTCAGGCGACCCATCCGCCTTGGCCTCCTAAAGTGCTAGGATTACAGGCGTGAGCCACCGTGCCTGGCAGGAGGAGCTTATAAAGGAAATAGGAAAACAAAGTCAAGTCACTTGGAAGAGACTGAGGAAAAAGTCTGCAATGTAGGAAAAGAAGTAGGAGAATGCAAAACCAAGAGAGGAGAAAATTTTAAAAGAAAAACTTTAGACAAATGAGTTCCTCTCGGCAACGTGGCCAGAGAGGTTTTTTGTTGTTGTTGTTTTGTTTTTTTGAGACAGGGTTTCACTCTGTCACCCAGGCTGGAGTGCAGTGGCACAATCATGGTTCACTGCAATCTAGAACTCCAGGGCTCGAGGGATTCTCCTGCCTTGCCCTCCCAAGTAGTTGGGACTACAGATGTGCATAACTATGCCTGGCTAATTTTTTAAAAATTTTCCATAGAGATGGTGTCTCCCTATGTTGCCTAGGCTGGTCTAGAACGCCTGGATTCAAGCAATCTTCCTGCCTTAGCCTCCCAAAGTATTGGGATTACAGGTGTGAGTCATGCCTAGCCAACAGGAAGTTTTTATAGACAGAAAAGGGAAGTGAGTTACAGAAATAGCTTGACTGATTACAGCTCCTTGTTTGAATTATTTGGCCACTGTCGGCAGCCTGTGGGCTGAAGCTCAGCTACTTGTGATTGGCTGAGAATTGGGGGTTTGTTACACACCATGCTTGGTTTTCAGTTTGTGTACCACGTTAGGTTGCAGTTCCTTACAATTCCTTAGGTAGGAACTCAAAGTGTGGAGACAGCTTCAAGCCAATGGCCGCCTGCTTATTTAACAAAATTTTAAGGAAGAAATAGTAAACATTATCAACCTGTCAGTCACAACACAGCTTCTGAGTTAGAAATGACAATGCAATCATGTCATTTGGGTAGGGCGTCATTCTCAATGGGATGACATCAAAATGGGTTCCTGGGAGACAAAAAGATCTTAGATGGTTTGTGCTCCAGTGGTTTGTGGCTCTCAGTACATAAACAGATGTACAGTATATCTCTGGTATTAAAATTTCATGGGACTGGGGATGGCATTGTGAACAGGGAAAAAACATCTAAAAAGGTTCTTTATGGGAATGGTAATGAGAAAAAAGGTTGAGAAAGACTGATGTCTAGTGAATATATAATTTATCATCCGAACTGAGACACTTCTGAGAACAGAAGGGAATGCTATTCCTATTTATGCTAGGACACAGGCATAAAGAGGATTGTCCCCATCAGCTATGTGATAACATGGAACTTCCATTATACTTTATTAACCCTTCTCCATGGCTCTTTAATTTTCCCTGTTTTATAGTTATTCTTTTAATCTTTCCATCTGGAATGTAAACTCCTTAAGAACAGGCACAGTAACATACTCTTTATAACGGTGCCTCATCAGTAATTTCTTCTTGAGAAATTCTGTGGTCTTGCCATATCAGACTATTTGTTATTCCCTGAACAACTCATGTTCTGGTGCCCTCTTTTAGCACAAGCCTGGGGGGAGTCTGAGTTCCAGGGTGACTCCAGGTGCCTGTGGGTCTACACTCACCCAGCAAGTATCCCTATGGCCAAGAGAGTATAACATTAAGTAGCAAATAAAAAACACTGTGACTGGTGGAGACACCACAGAAGAAAGGAAAATGTCTTTTTCATACTTCTTGAACAAGGGGCCTTGCATTTTCATTTTGCACCAGGCTCTGTAATTATGTAGCTAGCTCTATATGTATTCAGTTATTTGTTTCATCCCAGTAAAATGAAAGTCTGTGAGAAGAGGAGCTTTTTTTGTTTACTGCTATTCCCTAGTGAGACTAGCATAGTACCTGAACATTCTACACTCAGTAAATATTTGCTAATGAATACAGCAGTTTATGGTACTGTAAGTATCTGGTCTGTTTCTCCAAGCAGGCTGTAAGCTCTGTGAGGGTACAGGCTTCAGTATTCATCCCGGTATCCCGTCCACCTAGCCAAAAGGCTGGTGGACCAAGGGTGCTTAGACGTTTGTTTGGTCAGTGACTTTAACAGTGAAAAACAGACAGAAGAGTGAGTAGAACATCAAATGTCCACTTGCCCTTCCAGTCTCCTTAGGCAAAACTGAACTCGTTCTCTCCTCTGGAAAGGGATGCATCTGGCTTCATGTGAAATGTGCTCCTGGAGGACAATCTCAGATATGCTGAACTATGCAAGTGGCTTATGGAGGGACCCACCCTCTCTCTGATTCTGAAAACCTCCAAGGAGCCCATGATGGTGGCCTGCTTGGGTAAAAGAAAAAACAAATGAAGAATGGAAGTAGAATTCAATAATATTAATATTTACAGTTCATCGTCAGCAGTGTCACATTTGGTCTTTTTTTAAAGAGACAGTCTGTTGACTATGTTGCCCAGACTGGTCTTAAACTTCTGGGCTCAAGTGATCCTCCCACCTCAGCCTCCCAAGCAGCTGTGACTCCAGGCGCTGCCGCCATGCCTAGCTCCATGTTAGGTCTTCCTAATTTCTGTTGTTTCATCTCTCCTTCCAAGACTGACTCATGTAACCTCTTCCAGAGTTTCCATCTATGCTGGATTTTTTTTAACCCTCAAGAAAACAAAACGAATTTTTATTGTGTTCCGTCATTGTTCACAATCACGCCTGTAATCCCAGCGCTTTGGAAGCCCAGGCAGGAGATTGCTTGAGCCCAGGAGTTCAGACCATCCTGGGCAAAGTAGTGACCGCATCTCTTAGAAAAAATTTAAAAAATTAGCCAGGCGTGTTGGTGAGTGACTATAGTCCCAGCTACTTGGGAGGCTGAGGTGGAAGGACTGCTTGAGCCAGGGAGGTCGAGGCTGCAGGAAGCCATGATCACACCACTGCACTCTAGCCTGGACAACAGAGCCAGAGCCAGAGCCAGACCCTGTCTCAAAAAAAAAAAAAAAAGGTTGGTAAGGTTGTTCTACTTCTATAACTTTCTAAATGTACATGTTCTACGTATGTATCAGGATTTTCCAAATTCCTACTTAAGATACATCCTAAATACTAATGGATTATTAATGTCATAGCCAACAAAAATTTTCTTGAGCTTTTCCTCACTAGTATAAATAGTCTGGTTGCAGTATTGCTATCTTCCACAGATTCCAGGATGTTCCTCAATTTCCCTTCAGGCAGAGAATATATTAAATAAATATTCACTCTGCAAATGGAGAAATATTAAATAAATAAATATTCACTCTGCAAATGGAGAAAACAAGCTTTATTATAATGATTTGAGATTTTGTGCATGGTAAAGAGATACACATGAATCCTGTTTCTCCTATGTTTCAAGACAGAATTAATTGAAAGTTTCATTGTAGACTAAAGCATCCAAAATACTGTGGTACGTATGTAGCTACGAACATACAAACACTTTGATGCACAGCGTTCATTCTTTTCTTTAAATAGGCAGTCAACATTTTGATTCATAAAAGAACAAATGACGAGAATATATCAGTATCAATGTCAGAGAGTGCAAGACTTAGTGTTCTATACATAAAACATATGAAACAGACCTATAAAGATGGAATGTACAAAATCTAAAAAGAAAACAAAGCAAAAAAAAAAAACCCCTTCATATTCATACATAGGCTTGAAAGTCTATAGAATTGAGAACGATATAAAGAATTCTATTACAAGAATACACTCCATTGATGACAGAACATTCCCATGTCATAAAGCAAAAGCATTGAGTTTAAGGCTGTGTTGCTTTCAAAAGTTAATGGAAGTGCTGTACATTCATTGGAACAACATAGCCAATTTATTAATCTATTCTAGAATATTAATAGCTTTCATACATTCTCCACAAACAGACCAATCACTGCCACACAATTCATCTTTAGAAAGTTTTTAAGCATCATGATTTGTAGCTTACTGTCATTGAAAACAAAACAAATAATTCTTTATTTATACCAAACAAATCTTTGATGGGCACTTAGTTTCCTTTATGGCAATACTAGATTTCTAGTTATCAAAAATATTAAAGTAATTATAAAGTTTAAAACCCTGCAACATTTACAGAAACCAACAGTATTACCACTTTCACTTTTAAGCTAAATTAGATAATGTTTGCATGAAATAGCTTTCATTTTTTCCTACCTGGAGATGTCTTGTTTTTAAATTATTAAATTGTCAAACTAAAAATACTCCTCCCTTTTCAGAAGCTAGTGAATAGAGAGGGTACTATAGAGTCTACAAAAAGATTTTTCCCATTTGAAGTAATCTGCAGATTACCTAATGTTTATTTACTACTTCCTCCAATTAACTAAGTAGGTATTACCAAAGCATTTCTGTTAACCCGTCAGTGCTAAGGATTCACAGATACTTGCTAGTGTACTGCTATTCCAGTTAACTCCATGTTAGGACATACCCTGTATATTTAGTAGTGGAAGCAAGTGTGTTCTAGCTGCATGGATCTGGAGTATTTATTTGCTTCAAATCTAGTCACAGTAAATTAAAATAAGGAAACTTAGGGACTTGTTTAGTTCTGGAGACTAAAGTTTGATCAAAATACTAAGTACCATTAAAAAAAATGGCAAACAGTCATAAAGGACTTGTAGTCATGTATTTCTGGATGGTCAAGTGACTCTCTGCCTCCCCATGTCCAGCAAGGGGGGCTGGGGGGTCTGTACTGGGAGGAAATGCGTCGTCACTGACCTTGAAATCCCAACCGGCAATATTTTGCCTTACGTGCCCAGGGGAAATTTGAATGAGTAATTTTTCAGTGCTACTTATCATGAATGTATGACAGGTTCTATACACTTGACAAAGAGAAATCAAACAATAATGGTAGCCCAGAAAAAAGCCACTTATTTTAATATCCTTCTCAGTTTACCAGAAACCATTTTCCATAGAATGTGACAAAATTTCATTTAAATTTTGTCTACTTGTATCATATCAGCAGCACTTTCCCCCAAAAATATGCTTACCAAGAAATACAGTAAATGCACATATGTATCCAAGTGTGAAATGTTATCTATACTTTAACATATATAATCACATATTTTTTGGAAAAAATATAGTGTTTCCTGGAGTGCTCATAGCATGTGTTTTAGCAACACATAGTGGAGCAGGTCTGAATCAAACTATTCTTTCATTCCAGTTTGTGCCAATATTGACATGTAAAAAAAATTAGCTTTGTATTCAGTCTACTATTGAGATATCTAGCCTGATAGGATATGATATGATGGCTGGTTAGATTGTAAGTTAATTTCTAAGTTCACAAATATAATTGAAATGTTGTGCAAAAAAACTCTTTAAATCAACTAGTTTTAAGATCAACAGCCTGGGACAGAAAGAATCTAAATAAAAAGCCATTTTTACTTGTGAAAATAAACTAAAATTAATGTAACCAATTTGAAAAGTTTCTTTTAAACAATCTAGACAAGAGTCTAGCCTGTCTTTTGTGCAGAACGTTAGTACGTGGCAAAATGAAATTCCCACCCCAGAATGTCAGCTCTGAGGGGGCAGCGATTTTTTACCTGTTTTGTCCATCACTGTATTTCCAGTGCCTAAAAGAGTACTTGGTACCTAGTAGGTACTCAGTAAATATGAATGTTTAAATTCAAAGATGTATCTCACTGATGTTAGGAAACAGTGTCTTCATTTAACATTCTAAAAAGTTATTGAATTTTATAGCTTTATCACGGACAGGCTCAAGTATTTTTTAAAACTCTACCTAACTAAAAAAATATTAAACCTAAATGTAAATCTTCCTGGAAAAACCTTTTTTCAGAGGTTGATTTGGGCATAATAAATTTAACAGACAATTTGAAGTAGCTAGATTTCCCTTCTAAATTTTAAGAAGTCCTATATAGAGAATGACTGAATTATAAATTAATAAGCAATAAACATCACATTCATATAATTATACATAGGGGAAATGTTTTCTTATAGTACAGTTCTAAGGTGCTTTCAGTGAAGAAGACCCCAAAGTCACTATCAAAAATGTCAAACATGACATCCTATTTGGTAGAACTGAGTAGAAAATTAAACAGTGGAAATAGACCACAGCTTATTTTACAGTACCAATGACAGATGAACGATTGACTAAATTGTTCTTAACATTTCTCAAAATGCATTTATATTTAAATTAAATGTAACTCAAGTTCAACTTTTATTTTGACCTGTTGGGTTTTTTATGTGTGTGTGTGGTTTTTTTTTTGTTTTTTTTTTTGAAAGCACAGAAGGCCATTTTCTGACTAAAAGCCACCACCGTCATTCTTGGAAAATGGCAAAAATTAAATCTGCTTTAGGGCTTGCTCCACTAGGACGGCTTTAAACTGCTTAGTAAAGGAATGTGCTGAAGAGTGGCTGGACGAAGCTTCTGTCTTTCAGAGTGCTGCCTATTTCAATACACCAAAGATTCAGCTATATATATGTGTGTGTGTATATATATATATATATAATACATTCTATCTTACCCTAATCATGTATACATAGTCCCTTGACACCTCTACTATTCATTAAACAATGATAAATAACCATAACATGCCCTTACCTGTAATGCTTTCAAGATAACACAACTTTGGTAACACTTGCTTTCTAAGGGGGAATCATTAATCAATCACATGCCTTTGGTTGACACCATCAGTCCTCCAAAGGGCTACTTATGGCTCTCTGTCCTAGGATACTGGTGTCCTACTACATGTGCTGACATTTGCAGGAGGTAAAGCTTTCGCTTTCAGGAAGTCGAAGAGAAGAGACACGTGTGAAAACATGGTACATAAAACATGACTAACTTTCTTGATTACATTCCAGTGCAATGATCTGGAGTTAACGGGGCAGTTTGTTTCCCAAAAGGTAGCATTACTTTTGTAATATGCTTTTCAAGGCATTAGAAATTTCAGGTTTCCCTGAAGAAGTACTTTGTTTGCTGATACAAGGTGAGCCAAAGGGGTGGTGAAAAGAACACACAAAAAAGGATCTTTGTCTAACCCAGAAAGGTTGAGAAATTTGCACTGATACTTAAGTTCTGAACTCCAGAGGGCTGCTAATCAGAGCTGGGATCATTTTGCAAGACAGCCTTACTTTTTCCAAAGTAATTTATATTTAGTTGTTGATAACCAAAAAAATGTCACAAGAGTAATACCTACTGTAAAAGTGAGGTTAGAAGATTCCCTGGGTCTTGTGACCTAGGTTAAATGAAGTATATAACTACAATAGATTTTGTTTTTGTTTTGCTTTTGGAAGTTCTGTGCAAAAGCTACCATTCACAGGATTAACGAATACCTTTACATATGCTAGTTTTTTAAGTGTCTGTTTGATTTGCAAAATTAGTTTAGCTACATAAATCCTGTCCCTTAAGCCATAGTTCACAGATGTAAAACTGCAGTTTTTATAGATTCAGTAGAAGAGTTTTTTTTAACCCTAAAGGTGAAATACAGAAATTGGATAAGTCATTTTTAAGGAAATTGTTACATTCAGAAATAACCTTGGAAAGTTCACCAATGATTCCTTCTGGCATAAAAACTCTAGTCATAATCTGGTCCCGCATTGAGAAATCCATTCCAGTTTATAGTGCAAGACCATGGAAGCGGGTATCCACCTGCCCACCATTACTGTAAGTATCGATAGACTTTGAAACAGTGATTTCCAGAGTCTGCAACCACAACATGACCATCTGAAGTTAGGGCCAGGCCTTGGGGGCCATAGAGTGGGTCAGCAGATGTGTTAATGTAGGACAAAAATGATCCACTCCCATCAAAAACCTGTAAACAAATAGGAAGTCAGAATGTTATAGGAGAAGTTATAGTAATATGCTGAACATGGGTTAGAAAACTCTTGATGCTAATGTTTTTCTGTTTCTTTCTTTCTTTTTGACAGGGTCTCACTCTGACACCCAGGCTGGTGTGCCGTGGTGTGAAGACAGCTTACTGTAACCTTTAATTCGTAGGCTCAAGCGATTCTCCTGATTCAGCCTCCCAAAGTGCTAAGATAATAGCCATGAGCCACCATGCCCAGTATATATGCTTTTATATTTAAAACATTAGCATAAGCCAGGTGCAGTGGTTTATATCTGTAATGCCAGTACTTTGGTAGGTGAAGGTGGGAGGATCCCTTGAGGCCAGGAGTTTAAGAACAGCCTGAGCAAAATAGCGAGACCCCGTCTCTTAAAAAAAAAAAGCAGAAAAAAAAAAAAGCAAAACAAAAAAGCACTTAAGTAATCATCTATCCATCTATGGATATGTCTTTGTTTATGTCACTATCATATCTATAATCCTACTCTCCACTTACCTTGCTTTCTCTCCTCTCCCCATCTATTTCCAGGTGGTGGAGAAGAATATGCCATTGGCTGCTAGCTTTCACTTGTATTCCTATAGTGGTCACAACAAATATTGGGTGGGAAGGGCCCTAGATGGTGCTTAAAAATGAATGAAGCTTATTGTTCATGTTAAATCTTCACTTATTCCACTTCCAGCCTCACATCCTTTTCCTCCCCCACACTTATAAGGGGAAAAATCAGCAACTAGATGATGGAAGAATGTTCCTGAGTCATAATAGCAATGAGACAGTAGAAATTATTTTTTCCTTTTTAGAAAAGAGTGGGTTGTAAGAAGTCAATGGTTCAACAGGTAAAGCCATCCCCTGGTATCCCAGGAGACTGATACCAAAATCTTCAGATTCTCAAGTCCTTTATATAAAATAGCCTAGTATTTGCACCTAACCTGTGCACATCCCCCCATATATTTTAAATCATCTCTAGATTACTTCTAATACCTAGAGCATGCTATATAATGTAAATAATATTATGTATTTTTACAATTCGTATTATTTTTAATCATTGTATTTAACAAATTATTTTTCCTGAAATTTTTGATCTGTATTTGGTTGAATTCACAAATGTGAGATTTGGGGGTACGGGGGGCTGATTATATGTTTGGATGTGAAATCACTTTCTTTTGGTCTATCGGTTTCTGCTTTGTTACTTCTGTTAAATTTTTATTTTGAAATAATTATAGATTCATAGGAAGTGGCAAAGATAGTAGAGAAAGGTCCTGTGTACTCTTCACTCAGTTTCCTCCAATGGTCACATCTTCTATAATTATGGTACCACACAAAACCCAATACATTGACTTTGGGTTGTGTGTGTACAGTTTTATGTCATTTTATCATGTGTGTAGATTTACCACTGCAACCAACGTACAGAATTATCCCATCAACATAAAGATCTCCCTCTTGCTACTTACTCCCCTTTCCTCACATCTCTAATCCTTGCCAACCACTAATCTGTTTTCCTTCTCTATAATTTTGTTATTTTTTTGAGAATGGTACACAAATAGAATCATATAGTATGTAACCTTCTGAAAATGGCTTTTTTTCACTCAGCATCATGCCCTTGAGATGCATCAGAGTTGTTGAGTGTATCATTAGTCTGTTCCGTTTTAATGCCAAGTCATATTCCATAGTATAGACATACCAGTTTGTTTAATCATGAACCTATTGAAAGACATCTGGGTTATTTTCAGTTTTGGGCTATTACAAATAAATCTTCTATGAACAACAATGTACAGGTTTTTGTGTGGACGTAAGTTTTCACTTCTCTGGGACAGACAGCCAGGAGTATAATTTATGGGTTGTATGGTAAGTATATGTTTAGTTTTTAAAGAAATACCAAACTATTTTCAAGGCTGACTGTGTAGTTTTGCATTTTTACCAGCAATGCATGAGAGATCTGGTTTCTCTACATGCTCTCCAGCATTTGGCATTATTAATATTTTTAATTTTAGCTATCCTTATAAGTGTGCAGTAATATCTCACCATGGTCTTAATTTGTACTTCCTTAATGTCTAGTGATATTGCACATCTTTTTATGTATACATCCTCTTCAGTAAAATTTCTCTTTATGCCTTTTGCTCGTTTTTCTTTTTTTTTTTTTGAGACGAAATTTCACTCTTGTCACCCAGGCTGGAGTGCAATGGTGTGATCATGGCTCACTGCAACCTCCGCTTTCTGGGTTCAAGTGATTCTCCTGCCTCAGCCTCCCAAGTAGCTGGGATTACAGGCACACACCACCACACCCAGCTAATTTTTGTATTTTTAGTAGAGACGCAGTTTTGCCATGTTGGCCAGGCTGGTCTCAAACTCCTGACCTCAGGTCATCCACCCGCCTTGGCCTCCCAAAGTGCTGGGATTACAGATGTGAGCCACAGCACCCAGCCGCCTTTTGTTCATTATTCTAATTGGATTGTTAAATTATTTTACTGCTGAGTCTTGAGAATCTTTACATATTCTAGGTATAATTCCTTTGTCAGAAATTCAGTTGGTAAATATTTTCTCTCAGTCTGTTGCCTATCTTTTTATCCTCTTAAAGAGATCTTTCACAGAGCAAAACCTTTTATTTTTTATGAAACCCAATTTGTTAATTGTTTTTCTTTTATGGATTATAGTTTGGGTATTATGTCTAAAAACTCTTCATGGAGCCCTAGGTCCCAAAGATTTTCTCTTAAATTATTCTAAAAGTTTATCTCCTCAAACATTATCTTCTAAAAATGTTATAGTTTTACATTTTACAGTTAAATCTACAGTCCATTTTGAGTCAACTTTTTGTACAAATTAATGTTCATTCTTTTTTTCCTCTGTGGTGGTCTTAGTTGTTCCAGTCCCATTTGTTGAAAAGGCCATCATTCCTCCATTGAATTGCTTTTGTACCTTTGTCAAAATGCAATAGGCTGTACAACTGTGGGAGCAATTTCTAGATTCTCTATTCTGTCCCACTGATGTATGTGTTTATTCCTCCACCATATTACATAGCCTTGATTATGGTAACTATATAGTAAGTCATATAGCTTACTCTATGGGTTTGTAAGGGTAGAGTGATTCCTCTCAATTTATTCTTCTTTTTCAAAATTGTTTTAGCTATTTCCTTTGCCTTGCCATATAAATTTTAAAATAAGATTTATATCTGCAAAAAATCCTGCTGAGATTTTGTGTTAAACCTGTATATTAATTTGAAGACAACTGACATCATTGTTGAGTCTTGCAATCCATGAACACAGTTGTTTCTCCATTTACTTAGAACTTCTTTGATTTCTTTTGCCAGCATTTTATAGTTTTCAGCATACAAATATTGAATATGTTTTGTTATAATATCTAAGTATATATTTTTTCAGTGATTCTAAATGGTATTGTGTTTTTAATTTTGGTTTTCACTGTTAGTTGCTAGTTTATAAAAATATAATTTTTTTTTGTTTTTTCTTAAGAGACAGGGTCTTGCTCTGTCACCCAGGCTGGAGTGCAGTAGCACAATCATAGCTCACTGCAATCTCCAACTCCCAGACTTAAGGAATCCTCATGCCTCAGCCTCCTGAGTGGCTGAGCCTATAGACATGTGCCACCATGTCTGGCTAATCTTTGTATTCTTTTGTAGAGATAGTGTCGTCCTGTGTTGCCCAGGCTAGTCTCAAACTCCTGGCCTCAAGCAATCTTCCCACCTTGGCCTCCTAAAGTGCTGGCGTTACATGCATGAGCCACCGTGCCTGACCATAATTGATTTTTGTATGTTGATCTTATATTCTGCAATCTTGCTGAACTCACCTATTCTAGGAACTGTTTTTATAGATTCTTTGGGATTTTCTATGTAAACATCATGTTATCTGCAAACAGGGAGAGTGGTTAATTTCTTCCACTCTAATTTGTAAGCTTTTTATTTCCTTTCTACCTTTTGTGCTGGCTAGAACTTCTAGTATTATATTGAACAAGAATGGTGAGACATCCTTGCAGACATCCTTGCTCTATAGGGAATGCATTCAGTCTTTTACTATGAAGTATGGTGTTAGCTATGGTTTTCATAGATGTTGTTTATCAAGTTGAGAGAGTCTTAGTTTTCTGAGAGTTTTGTCATGAATGGGTATTAAATTTTGTCAAATGATTTTTCAGTGTCAATTGATATGATCATATAGTTTTTCTTCTTTAGAATTTTACTATGGTGGATTATTACATTGACTGATTTTCTTTATTTTTATTTTTATTTTTTAAAGGGCAGCCTCCCAAGCCAGAGTAGCTCAGAGACTCCCTGATTTTCTAATACTAAACCAGTCTTGCATTCCTGGAATAAACTCCACTTGGTCATGGAGCAATTTTTACATATTGCTGAATTATATTTGTTAATATATCTTTAAGAATTTTTACACACAGGAGGAATATGGTCTGTAGCTTTCTTTTTTGTACTGTCTTAGCCTGGTTTTGGTATCAGGGCTTCAAAAGCTGATTGGAAAATGAGTTGGGAAGTATTCTCTTATCTTCTATTTTCTGGAAGAAATTGTATACAATTGTTACTAAATTCTTTAAACATTTGGAAGAATTCCATGGTGAAATCATCTCCATCTAGACATTTCTTTTTGGTGTTTTAAAATTATGAATTAAATTTTCTTAATAGTTATAGGGCTATTCAAATTATTTCATACGGGAGTTGTGGAGTTGGTATTTTTTGAGGAGTTGTCTATTTCATCTAAGTTGTCAAACTTGTGTATGTAGAGTTGTTCACAGAATTCCCTTATTATCCTTTTGATGTCTACAGAACATGTATTAATATTAGTATTTTGTGTCTTTTCTCTTATTTCCTTTGTCAGTCTTGCTAGGGTTTTGTTGGTTTTACTATCTTTTCAAAGAGCCAGTTTGCTATTTCATGGATTTTCCCTATTGCTTTTCTGTTTTGAATTTCATTTCTTTTTTTTTTTTAATTTTTTGAGACAGAGTCTCCTTCTGTTGCCCAGGCTGGAGTGCAATGATGTGATCTTGGCTCACTGAAGCCTCTTCCTCCTGGGTTCAAGCGATTCTCCTGCTTCAGCCTCCTGAGTAGCTGGGCTTGCAGGCGCCTGCCACCACACCTGGCAAATTTTTTGTATTTTTAGTAGAGATGGGGTTACACCGTGTTGGCCGAGCTTGTCTCGAACTCCTGACCTCAAGTGATCTGCCTGCCTTGGCCTCCCAAAGTGCTGGGATTAAAGGCATGAGCCACAGCGCCCAGCCTTTAATTTCGGCCTTGCTTCCTTCTGCTTGTTTGGGGTTTGCTCTTTTCTTTCTAGCTTCTTGAGATGGCAGCTTAGACCATTGATTTAAAATGTTTCCTCTTTTCTAATAGAAGCATTTAGCGTATTAATTTCCCTCTCAGCATTGTTTTTGCTAAATTCCACAAATTTTGATACGTTCTATTTGCATTTTCATTCAGTCCAATATATTTTACAATTTTCCTTGAGACTCCCTCTTTGACTCAAGGGTCATTTAGCACAATAGTGTTTTAAAATTCATAAAACAAAACACATGGGATTGTAAAAAACCATATTAAAATATAGCTATTGAAATATTACTAAATTATGATAGAGCAATATGTGTGTGCTTCTAAAAATTAGCACATTAAATAATAAGAAATAGTAATGGGTCTAATAATTACTGTAATTTTGAAGTAGTGATGAGAATAAGTGACAATTCAAGATTTTTGCAACAATATGATATGAAAATTTCTGTGATTTTTCTTGGTGACAAAGTCATAGGCATTACTAAAATTACTATGATTGTTGCTTATATTCATGATTAAGGGAAATGATAATTTTCAGCCAGAGGTTCATAAATATAATAATGTAGTATTTTTATTCAATGGCCCCCTTGAATTCTATCTTCAGACCCTTTGTGGGGGTCTGTGGGGTCCATATTAAAACCCCAATTTAGAGGGTTTCAGTCTGGTAACATTTTTTCTACTCCATCTTGCTGAGTTTGGTCCTTCTGGTGAGAGTATCTATGGTTCTATGTCCTAACCAATGGAAAAGAGAAAACATTCCAGTTTGGGGGACAGCAAATTCTTCACTTTTAACAAATACCAAACACTCTAACCATATACATTAGCACATTGATCTACCTGGATCCTGCTGTTTCCCCAGTCGGCCACAATGATGTTTCCATTTGAATCCACTGCTACACCTGTTGGAGCATTAAACTGCCCATTTCCTTCTCCATTTGAGCCAAACTTCAACATGAATTCTCCTTCCTGATTAAACACCTGTATGAAATATTTTTAAATTATTTTGTTTTACATCAAAATACTTGAACCAACATGATGGATTAAAAAAATATCTATTTGAGCAGGTTATTTATAACAAGACTTATCATTTAAGACATTCTAAAAAAAGAAAATGAAATCTACAAGACAGACTGCATATCATTGTGGTTCCCCAAATTACTGTATAAATCTGATTTATCATTTGTTAAATCATCACTTTTTTTGGCTTATATCTGGTTATTAAATCCTTATGTGAATGATACCTTTGTTATAAAATACTGTACAAGTAAGTATGAGTAAGAAGTGCTATAATTTTCAATAATATTATTCTTCCCACCTTTAAAGAAATTGCTAATTTCAAGAATGGGCATTATATTTATATTTCTAACAGGATGGATGACCATTAAAAGTTGGATCAGAGAGTAGGAGTTTTTTGTTATGCCAGATGCTCAGAATTTATTATCATTTTACTACATCAACATAACTAGAAAGAGTAGGCTGGACTCCATACTTAGAATGGGAGAAATTCATTGCATGTGTGTGTGCACATGTGTGGTAGCAGCAGGTGAGAAATAAGAGAAGGGCTTTTTTATTTACCCTCAGAAGATATTTTAGTTCGAGAGTTTATATGATCCTAAGGCTTTGATGAATATAAAAGTAGTTTCTATTACTCTATTTTCTATTACTCTTTTATCTCTCAGTAGAGAGACGGGAAGCTGTTAGAAGTAGGGGGCTAAACAGAACTCTTAAGCAAATTCTCTAACATCTGATATGGTCAAGCAGTGGAGTGCTGTGGTTAATTACATATTCTTATTAATAGAGTGCTACTAAATATGTATCAATACAGATCACTGATTTTGAAAAAAGTAAATGTTAATGTTTAATGATAACACTATAGTAAGCATAATTGTATCTTGATGATTCAGATGATACCTAATGGTTTTGAAATGTCTCCAGGACATTATTTTTAACTTCCATTGTCATGATGCCTAGATGCATAGAAATATTCATTGACAAATCTGAAAGTATTATGTAAAAGGCACTTTGAGAGTAAGGTTTCCTCAAATGTAGAACTGAAAGAGCTCACTATATTTGAGTACAGATCTTCATTTGGGGATGATCTCAAGACCTTTTAGAGAGCCACCTGTTGTCATCTCTGATTACAGAAGATCAAAATGACCATTACTTTTAGGTAAGTACCTTGGGAAAGTAGGACACTTCCATCTCTACAGGCTAAACTCACATTACGATAAAAAAGAAAGAGTCATGGCTACTTCCTGAATTCATTACGTACTTGCCAAGAAAGCAAGCCACCTTTGTGGTTCTTTAGAAAGGACCAGGGCAAGAACAACCAGCTTTTACTAAGATGCCATATTTAAATTTTTTTTCTGACTCTTTTTGTCTCCTTTTACATAACACATTGTAGTTTTAAAGACCAGTGGGAACATGTTTATGCTGGACACAATTTATTATTCTCTATTTTTTTCCCTTACTAAGCCCTACAAATAGTCATTTTGTTTATCTTTCTTTCTTTTTTTTTTTTTTTTTTTGAGATGGAGTCTTATTCTGTCACCCAGGCTGGAATGCAGTGGCACAATCTTGGCTCACCGCAACCTCCACTTCCTGGTTCAAGCAATTCTCCTGCCTCAACCTCCTGAGGGCCTGGGGTTACAGGCGCCCACCACCACGCCCGGCTAATTTTTGTATTTTTACTGGAGACGAGGTTTCGCCCTGTTGGCTAGGCGGGTCTCGAACTCCTGACCTCAGGTGAGCTGTCCGCCTTGGCGTCCCAGAGTGCTGGGATTACAGGCGTGAGCCACTGCGCCCAGCCTTGTTTATCTTTCTGAGTCAATATGTTTTCCTGGGCATAATCCAAATGACTCAAGTAGTTTTGCTTCATTTTGGGATAATGAAGGATGCCAAATCTAGTCTTACTTGTTTTGTGATGAAAAGAAAATATATTCTGCAGATAGCTAAGAAGCTAACTAGACCCCTTGTTAGCACTGACCTATAGATATGCATTTTACACTTATCAACAGAGAAGTGACCTGAATTCAGAACTATTGCTAACTGCCCAGCATTACATGGGGAAGAAAAACCCAAGTATTCCATAAAACTTATTTGGCAATAGTTGTCAAAAAGAAGAGAAACAACAACGAAAGGCTATGGTTTTTTAAAACAAGAAGAAAATTGAGTTTAAATAAATAGCTAAAATAATCTACTTCTACCATGCTGAAAACTTGAAGAGTTTTCAGAATATTAAGAATTATAAATGTTTCATATTTTCTATTTTTCCCGACTAAAATGCCATTTAATTACTTAAAAATTATTCACATGAAAACAAATTAAGAGGCAGAAGTATCAGCTTAAATAGTTTTTACAGCTTTGCTTTTTACAATAAATATTTAAAGCAAGTTTTTTAAAAAAATCACCTTGATGATAGCCCTTTCCTGATTTCAAAATTCTGCTCATGTCAAATACCATCTCCACTTGGAAGTCTCCTCTGATCATCTTAATTAAGGAAATCTTCTCTTTTCTTTTGGAAAGTTAGGAAACTTTATATGTACCTATTTTATGAAACTATTTAGTGCTACCTGCCTTGCATTTTGGCTACTTACATATGTTTTAATTCTTTCTACAGTGTCAGCCAGGACTGGTAAATAGGAGCCGTCCCACATACCAATGCCAGTTGATTCTTAGAGGTTGCCTGGAGCACTGGACAGGAAAGGCTCTGAGATCACAGTTGCGCTTAGTAGAAAAGAGCCACTTGATTAATTATGACTGTCTTTCAGCTGGGAGTGGGCAGAACCTATGCAAGCATTTGCTGGCCTTTGTACTATTAGGATCTCATATGGGTTTCCTTCTTGCTGAATGCCCTGTAGTTATATGAATGATTCCTCTACAAAGTGAGTGAGAGTAGGAAGTATGAGAACAACCTGTGTTATCCTTTGACAGTTGTGCTCATTCTCCAGCACTGTTATAACTCTTGGGGAGGCAGTCCCCAGCCCGGTTACTGCTGCCTCTTTGCTCTCTACTTCCGTCCTTCTTTGGCTACCAACTTTTTCCACTATCCTATTCCTTTTACCAAGACACTTCCCATGGACAGTAGTTTCAGCAGAGAATGCAGATTATCTGCATTTGAGTGTAGGGGGGACCTATGCCACCATGTGAGCATCTCTGGAGAGACAATATGGCAGGGAGCAGTTTCAGAAAAAAGCAACGGTGGGCACCCTGTTCCCTTATCCTGACCCCATTTCCGCAGCCCACTGTGCGCTACTGTCTGCACAGGGACTTGGCACCCATCAAAAAGATCCAAGCCCTCTCCATTTACTCAGGTTAGAGGCTCTCCAGGATGCAGAAAGGACATCACAGAGAGTACCTTTGGGTGTTAAAAAACCTACCCCTTATCTAGCTATCGCAGTCATTAGCACTGATAAGTCATTATTAATTTTGGTTGCTCAGTCATTGTTTCTAAGTGCAAACTTTACTCACTGGCATACCATCCTCTGCTGTTTCCTTATCATTTTTCCTTTAAAATGACTCACCTTTTAAAATTTAGATTAATGTATTTAAAAGAAAAACTTTATTATGTCTGTAAGTGCAAAACAGCATCACTTGATGTAAACAAAAGGTAGCCCTAAAATAAATGCATAACTTAAAATAAAAATATCCACCAGTGTACTGCCTATGGCCACGGATCATACCTTCAGTGGAACATGCATCACACCTTGAGAAGCCTGATCTAGGATATTACTAAATATTTCCTCATCATTTCAGTAAGTGAGTAATGTGTTTTGAACCATTTTATTATTTCCTGATTTTCTCATAATAAAGTTCAATTCTCTCTCCCCTGGTACCTAGTAAGAAAGATATACTATAGGTCACTGTTTTCTAAAGAACACCAAATGTGTGAAAGCATTCTAAGAAGTATAAAATATACTGTATGAATGTATGCTAGGATTATCCCCCTCCCCATGCTGTCTGTTGTTGTAACAGAGTCGAACATCTAATTTTTTTTTTAACAAAAAGATGCGGAAAATTGAAAAAGTGATTTTAATTTATTGACTAGCCACAAAACATTAAGCTTCAGAAAGTTCTGCCTCTAAGTTCAACGAATTGCTTTTTAAAATTTAATTTTCAAGTCCTCTTCATTTGCACCAGTTTCAAATTAAGCAACTTATTGCCACCACATTTTATTCAATTTCCTGACTTTCCAAGGTCTGTAAGTCCAAGTTAAAACCGGCATCTTTGAGCAGAACAAAGTCTACTCTGCTGGTTAACTCCCTTTGGTGCCATATGTAAGTATTGCATTATTTTCTCGCAGACCAATTTCTCCATAAAAGCAGTTAAAAGTTAACAACAACTCATGTGCTTGTAGTACCTTGACAGAATGATTATGGAAATCTGTAATAATAATCTCATTATTGCTATTTACAGCTGCAAAATGGGGACCTGCAATAAAGATGGAAAAAAATATGTGATGACTACAACAAAAGTGATTACATATAGCAGTTACTGTAACAAACAAACTTAATATATTAACTTAGTTATTTAAGAAAGTACAAAGAATCATAGACTCAGTCTTTGAAAGATCATTCAGCCAGACCTCCAGTTGCAGATAACATGGATCCTATATTATTCTCTACTTGCGCCAGTCTATTCTGACTCTTTCTCAAGCAGGCTGGGAGTTCTAGCAGCCCTAATGAAGTGGGAGGAGCAGTAAGCATCAGAATTCATTCTCCGTGCCACCATCTAAAAGTCACATCTGCCAGCTTCCCTGAGTATCTGTTAGTCATTTTAGAGCCCTCAGCTCCCACCAAGGAAAGACGTGGCAACTCAGCATTGGAAAAGAGACTCCAATATGTAATTTTTAAAAATTGATTAGCTGGACATGGTGGCACATGCCTGTAGTCCCAGCTACTTGGAGGGCTGAGGCAGGAGGATCACTTGAACCCAGGAGGTCGAGGCTGCAGTGAGCTGAGATCACGCCACTGCACTCCAGCCTGGGTGACAGAGCGAGACCCTGTCTCAAAAACAAAACAAAACAAAACAAAACAACAGAAAACCCACACTATAATTCTGGGTGACATTCAGAAACTTGGCAGAACTGGAGACAAAGCATAAACAAATATTATGCAAATTAATACTAAGTGCCAAAAGCATCCTTTCAAAAAGAAAATTAATAAGCTATTTTCAGCCTCTTCTTGCAAATGCAAAAACCTAAATAAGCTTGTGATTGCAAAGTGCTACACCAAAGAGACGTAAAACAGACTGCCCTCCTTAAACCTAGCAAATATTCTAGACTCCTGTTCTCTTACAATAACCTAGAAAGGTGAAAAAAAATTCTCATTCAGTGGCTTTTTAAGCAAAGTTACAGCTAGGCTGAAACAGTAGTTATTCCTTGTTTTTCAAATATTTTTATTTTAAAATTTATACCTTATTTAATATGAATATTTCAAAGCTAGACTTCTGAGTTGTGAACTGCCACCGATAAAAACCACACAAGGACTGCAGCTCAACTTACTGCCGGGTGGGTGGCGGTGACTAAGGCTCAAGCAACGAAACATGCTTTTGCTTAGATTTTATCCCCAGCATCTTTCCCAAAGCCAGCAAACACACTAGGGATGCGGTGTCTTCAACATGCTCCAACATCATGCAAATGTGAGCAGAAGAAGCATAAAAAAGGGGGTTTACATATTACCATCGAGTGTACCTGCAAACTGCCTGTCCCCATTTCCTCGGCTACCAAACCTGGTGACTATTTTCCCGTTTGGCTGGAAGATAAACACGCAGCACGCCTTGTTGTCCACAACAATAATGTGCCCATTGCGGTCCACAGAAACTCCTTTGGGTCCCATCAGCTTTCCTGATCCAATTTTTGTCTGTTTGAAACAAGTACAGAAATAGAAGTACAGTATAGAGTCAAAGTTTAAACCACTACAGAACATGAAGATAAACACTGTTTTGGTCAACATTTACCTGAAGGTTCAAACGGGTACACAGCTACTCATATATCACAATGAACTTCTGTCTTGGAAAACTGGCTTTGTCACATCCATTATCTGCTGCTGATATCTATATAAATCCTTATTCTTTTATTTATTTATTTATTTATTTTTGAGACGAAGTCTCATTCTGTTGTCCCAGCTGGAGTGCAGTGGTGCAATCTCGGCTCACTGCAACCTCCACCTCCTGGGTTCATGCAATTCTCCTGCCTCAGCCTCCTGAATAGCTGGGACTACAGGCGTGCACCACCATGCCTGGCTAATTTTTTTTGTATTTTTAGTAGAGACAGGGTTTCACTTTGTTGGCCAGGCTCGTCTTGAACTCCTGACCTTGTGATCCACCCACCTCGACCTCCCAAAGTGCTGGGATTACAGGCATGAGCCCTCGTGCCCAGCCCTTAAAATCCTTATTCTTAAAAGAGATCACCACCAAAAATAGTCTAGGATCCCCTAAACTGGGGTCACAGTTCCCTGCTGAAGAGGCGGTGTGATCTGGTGAAAGATCACTGGATTATGACTCAGAAGAATGACCTACTTCCATTGCTTGCTTTAAACACACCTGGAATAGCACAGATGGATTTCATTTCCTTAAACTTCAGATTCCTTATACATTAAAAAATGTCCAAAAAATGACAACTCGACAACTCCTAATGGCATTTTTGGAAGATGTATTAAGTAAAATAAGGTAGGTAAAGGGTTTACTGTAGAGTGTAGCACACAGCAAGCAGTCACTGTAGGGAAGCCATCACTGTCATTGTTATAGATCATAATATCAAAATTGCCTGGCATCTAGCATTAAACTTTACGAGAATTAAGTTCTCCTTGGGCGGGAGTCACATCTGTTTTATTCACCATTGTGTACTCAGGGGCAACACACTTCTTGGTGCATAATAAATATTCAATGAATATCTATTGGATACATTAATTTTAAAAGTCTAGCATTATTATAGGGCAATCATAATGATTAAATGGCTCCACTTTTTATCATATTTTAAAATAGGGGAAAAGCATTTGATTTCTATCAATCATATACCGTATTTTAAATTTTATTCCTGTTCTTGAGTAGACTGTGGTGTGTATTTAAATGTCTATTTGCCATGAGATACAGGTCTTGTACCTTTACTTTTCTTTCTATAGCTTAATTTTCTAGACTACGTATAAAGAAGTGCTTCACTCATTCACTTATTTATTTCCTAATTCTACAAACACTGCCCAAGCACCCACTATGTGCCTGACGGTATTCTAGGCACATGGCAAACAAACACAAATAAGACGTAGCTCTTGCCCTCAAGTATGTCTCAGTCACATTGCAGGGACAAACATGTCTACTGTATCTCTTTAAAGAGTGTGGTATTGAGTCTTCATTTTAATATACTTGGGAGAATTCAATTAGGCCATCTCAGAATGCATGTGAAGTGAAAACTTGATGACGCCACAGCAGACAAGGAAGGCGAAGGACCACCCCAGGTGAGGAAACAGCAGGAAGGAATGTATGTTAAGTCAGGGAAACTATAAGAACCACAGTTCTCCCTGGCACCCAGGCTTGACGTGTTGGAGGGAAGCAGATCTATGTGTTTTTATGAAAGAACTCTTCGCCGGGCGCGGTGGCTCACACCTGTAATCCCAGCACTTTGGGAGGCCGAGGTGGGTGGATAACTTGAGGTCAGGAGTTCGAGACCAGTTGGCCAAGGTGGTGAAACCCCATCTCTACTAAAAATACAAAAATTAGCTGGGTGTGGTGGTGGGTGCCTATAATTCCAGCTACTCAGGAGGCTGAGGCAGGAGAATCACTTGAACCTGGGAGATGAAGGTTGCAGTTAGCCAAGGTCGCGCCACCTCACTCCAGCCTGGGTGACAGAGCGAGACTCTGTCTCGAAAACAACAACAACAACAAAAACTCTCAGACATGCTATTAAACAAATTAAGGTAAGGAACAATGAGTGTAGTCTGAGTCCACATGTGTTATATGTGTGCATGTATGTACATAGACTTCTGGAAGGAAAAGTGAGAAATCAGCGTCTATATCTTAGAAAACCCAAAAAGTTATATTCTCATAGGTTATGCTTTAGCCTTCTTATTTTATCTCTCTATATTAGTGCTGTCTGATAGAAATATAATGTGAACCACATATGTATTTTTAAATTTTCTAGTAGCAGGATGGGACTTTGCATGATGGGGACTTTAGACTTTATATGCTCCTTTTATTCTTCTAAGTTTATAAATGATGAAGATTCAGATTTCATCTCTTTAGAGCAAAGGAACACAATTACTTAGGAAAGAAACAGTGGTTTTCTTGGCAAGAGGAACTGCTGTGTAAATTTGATTCTGATTCTCCAATCTAGCCCAAAGATCAAAGAGGCTATAACACAATGGTGGGTAAAGAAATGGCATTTGTTGTTTCATGTCTAAATGGAGGGTAAGTCAGCAGAGATCAAAAGGGAGAGAAGGCACTTCGATGATTAAAACAAGAATGTCATTACTACCTAACATTATGAACACTTGTAGTTGCTTAGATGACTCAACCAAATAATATCAAATGGATAATTATCTAGAATAAAAAGAGAAAATAAAGGGTTACTTCCATTCTATCATGTAGTGACAACTAGGGCAGATCTGAAAGAATAACTTAAACATTGAACCAAAATTTCTTTACACTTCCCTTCATCACTCCTAGTTTAGCTGCACTGGATTCAACCAAGTGAAAGGTAAGAATCCCTGCATTTCCCTGATTGTGTCAACCCCATCTTAAACAGAATAGTAAACAACAAAAAATATATATATATATTTTTTTTTTGAGACAGAGTTTTGCTCTTGTTGCCCAGGCTGGAGTGCAATGGCGCAATCTCAGCTCATTGCAACCTCTGCCTCCCGGGTTCAAGTGATCCTCCTGCCTCAGCCTCCCGAGTAGCTGGGATTACAGGCGCCCATCACCATGCCCAGATAATTTTTTGTGTTTTTAGTAGAGATGGGATTTCACCATGTTGGCCAGGCTGGTCTTGAACTCCTGACCTCAGGTGATTTGCCCGCTGCGGCCTCCCAAGGTGCTGGGATTACAGATGTGAGCCACTGTGCCCGGCCCAGCAAAAATATTTTAACCCTGCCTTTGGAATGGTTTAATCAGGGTATTTAACTCAACAAATAGTTCCTTAAATTGAACAGGAAAGAGATGAGATATTTTAGAGTAAGGTGGCCAGAGGTGTTTCCATTTGTTTGGATAGAAAAGGTTTCTAGATGGGCTGGAAGATAGGAGGCAGTGGGGAAGATAGAATAAATTCAGAGGAGGCAGAGAGAAATAAAAATTAGGGCTAATAAATTGGTGAATAAAAGAAAAGGAGATAAGATGTTACATCTCTGGAACTACTAGGAATAAATACAAAGAGTCTACACTGGTGTTAAACGTGTGTCTTTCTCAGCACTTGTTTAATTTTACTGAGTCCCACCAAAGAAGAAAAAGAAGAAAATAAGTATCTCTGTCTATACCTGTGGATATTCCACTTGGATGAACTCCTGTGAGGGTCCTAAAGTGTTTTTACATGCTATCCTTTTACCCTTTGGGTTTTGATCAACACCTATCATAGAAGAGGGTATTGCTGAAACTACACCACCTCCACTCCCCCAATCCTCTAGGGGGCATGAGTGTTCTTTAGAGTTTATTCTCATTATTACCTTTAATATTCCAACTCTAAGAACCCAGTTCTTCTAAGAGTGTCTATTACAGATAGACTATTGAACCACTGAACAAAAAATGCTTAGAGAGCCCTTCTTCCTTAGACATAAAACTCCTGTCTCCGTAAGTGAACCTATTTTAGTATTAGCTTCTGAATTTACAAAGACAGATCACGGTTTTGCTAGAGTATAAAACATAAACAAATGGGTTGCCTCCAAACTATATAAACATTTTCAAGATATTCAAGATATAAATATTCACATTAAACTTGTCATATTTGGGTATGTCTTACCACATATACAATTATTAAAATGCAAAAAAGGGGGAAGAAGTTAGAGCTACAGAAAGGCAGGAGATTTTTATATATATGTGGTCATCATACAGAGCCATTAAATTTCTAGTGAAACCAAAAATTCAAGGGTGATTGAAGAATTGCATGCAATATTATGGAATAAAAAATGACAGTTTTTCAGTCTCCAAAATTGACAAGATGCTGCCTCACACAAAACAGAGGCTCAAATCTGAGAGTTTCACAATTACGTAACTCATTTCATTAAAACAATGAGGGGACTACAGCAGTCTGAAGACTTTAAAAAGGAAAACAGAAATTCTTCCAGAAAGAAACCAATAAGTACACTTTGAGTAATCTTTAGAATTCCAGATTGGATTATGAAAAGCAGCATCTCCAAACTCCTAGACAAAGTGATGACCACCAGGTGCCTGCATGAGGACATGAAGCCCAGATCACAGCTGACCAAACAAGACTTCATTTTTTGGACAGGGTTACTAGCGGCATGGAAAAGAACATTCATTTCTTAGATCCTTATTTTGTATGTGGCACATAAAATCTCATTTAGTCTTTGCTTAAATCCTATGAGATAGGTCTTTTTTTTCTTTTGAGACAGGGTCTTACTCTGTCACCTAGGCTGCAGTGCACAGGTGTAGTCACGGGTGACTGCAGCCTCTAACTTCTGGGCTCAAGCAATCCTCCCACCTCAGCCTCCCAAGTGGCTGGGACTACAGGCCTGTGCAACCACACCTGGCTAATTTTATTTTTTGTAGAGGCAGGGTCTTGCCATGTTTCCCAGGCTGGTCTTGAACTCCTGGGCTCAAGCAATCCTCCTGCTTCAGCTTCCCAAAGTGCTGGGATTGCAGGCATGAGCCACCATGCCCAGGCAAGATAGATCTTTTTTTTTTTTTTTCTTTTTGAGACAGAGTCTTGCTTTGTCGCCCAGGCTGGAGTGCAGTGGCACGATCTTGGCTCACTGCAAGCTCCGCCTCCCGGGGTTCACACCATTCTGCTGTCTCAGCCTCCCCAGCAGCTGGGACTACAGGTGCACGCCACCACGGCCGGCTAATTTTTTTGTATTTTTAGTAGAGACGGGGTTTCACCGTGTTAGCCAGGATGGTCTCGATCTCCTGACCTTGTGATCCGCCCGCCTCGGCCTCCCAAAGTGCTGGGATTACAGGCTGAGCCACTGCGCCTGGCCAAGATAGATCTTTTTTAAATCAAAATTTTAAAAACAAGGCTATTGAAGCTCAAGGAAGTTACGATTTGCAGATGGCCAAACAGTAATAAGCTGGGATGGCAATGTGTTGATCTGAGTTAAAACTCATGTTATCAACAGAAATAGAAGCCTCTAGTAGGCTGGACAGGGAAATATATAAGGCATAATGCGGCCAGGCGTGGTGGCTCACGCCTGTAATCCCAGCACTTTGGGAGGCCGAGGCGGGCGGATCATGAGGTCAGGAGATCCAGACCATCCTAGCTAACACGGTGAAACCCCGTCTCTACTAAAAATGCAAAAAGTTAGCCGGGCGTGGTGGCGGGCACCTGTAGTCCCAGCTACTCAGGAGGCTGAGGCAGGAGAATGGCGTGAACCTGGGAGGCAGAGCTTGCAGTGAGCTGAGATCGCGCCACTGCACTCCAGACTGGGTGACAGAGCAAGACTCCGTCTCAAAAAAAAAAAAAAAAAAAAAAAAAGGCATAATGCAAATGGCCCTTACAAAGATCTTTGACGACGTGTCTCACAATTTTTTTATGAGCAAATGTAGAAAATGGGCGGGCTGATACAATTCTTTGATGACACTTCATAAGAGAGATTTCTGTTATCACCAGAGGGCTCTCTACTCTTTGGCAATTAGGTGAAGACATTGAGTTAAATTTTTATTTGCAAAAAGCTGACGCTGGGAATGATAGCAAATATATCAAACAATGGGATCCCTCAAAGTGTAGCTCCACTTCCATTTTCTCTGGAAATTCAGCCTTTTCTTTTTTTTTCCAAGTCCCATATTATGTACGTATGTTTTCAGATTGTATCAATGTACGACTCATTAGAGACTGACATAAATTGTTTTCTGTCATTTCTTGTGTTTGAGTCTTTTTTCCAAAATGGGCCTGTACATTTTTAAAAGGTGGAAACTATTTTTTACAATTCTGTTTCTCCCATATCATCTGTCACAGGCCTGAGAAAGTAAAAAGTACTTCCTAAGTGACAACATGTAGACTAATTTGAGAAATATAAACTGCCTCTTAATAACTCTTTTGAAAACCTTGTTGTTTTTCATTGAATTGAGGTAACAGGACCAGTTTCCCTGTAAATCTATGGTTTTAAAGAAAAAAAGTGACTGAGCAACCTAATTGCTTTAAAAAACAAAGCCACATTTAGGATATATATGAATAGATTTATGAAATTATCACTGTTACTCTCACTTCACAAACTTAGATGTCAGATATCTTTGTGTATGAAGAATTGTTGAATGTTGCACTGCATCTCAAAAAAGAAATATGCAATTTCATTTTGTATTTCCTGTTCCTTCTCTCCATTGTTTAGTGAACAATTAGTAGTTAATCTTACCTTAAATTTCCCATCGGAGGAGAAAATGCTGACCCATTTATTATCATAATCGGCAATGATTATGTCCCCACTGGGATGTACAGCCACTCCTGTGGGCCGCTGCAGCTGCCCCGGAGAGCGTCCCCGTATGCCAAAACGACTTTTGAACTGGCCATCATTGGAAAATATCTGTAAGATAAATTACATTCATTGGAATGTGAACTAGTACAGGCATTGCTGAGGAAGGCATAGGCAGAAACATCTGCCATACATACAGAGATCAGAACACGCAAACTCTATTTGAAGAAAAGTCTACATAAACATAAGCTTTTTTCCTTACACCATGTATCTGAAGTCTAAAGTAGGAATATATGTAACTATATATATTTTTATCAATATAAGTAGTTAAAGGTATATAATTAGGGGCTATACCTGCACACATTGGTTGTTACTGTCTGCAATTAATATCTTTCCATTTGTAGATGCAGCTACCCCCTGAAGATTTGTAAACTCTCCTTTATTTCTTCCTTTGGTACCTAAAATAAATGATAAAATCATAAAAATTAAGCACTAAAGGGTTAGATTTCTCTGTTTCAGCAAGAGAATAATTCAGATTTCCACAGGTACCTGAGAATGCATTGTTTTTAAATATACTTTAAAAAAAGGGCACCCTCCCTCCCCAATAACCTAATCCATATGCTATTAAACCTCTCTTCCTGACAACAGTCTCTGCAAAATCACTTTTTTAAGTAAATGTCAATCTTCTCTTATTAATTTGTAGCTGCATATTAACATGTTTAAAATATTCTTAGATCCCACAAAGACATCATAATAAAAACTAATACGGCCTGCCTTTATCTGACATGGCTTTCCCACTTTACCCTATGGCACTGCTATCTGTCAGGTCTGTGCTGCCTTGGGCATGGCAATAAACATTCTCAGCCCTGGTCACTCTGCCTCTGTCTTCTATCTTTGTGGACCTGGTTTGCATTTGGGGTGTGTGGGGCATTTGGGATGGTTCAGACTCAGTTTGGGTCCTGCCATTCTTGGTTTTAGTGGGAGAGGGAAACCTGGCAAAGGGGCCTTGCCCTAAGGATATGCAACAGGAAAGGGCCTTATTTTACAGTTTTGCCAAAATTCTACCCTCTCACTCAGCAGCTCTTGGAAGAAATGTGGACGCTTGGCTTTCAGTACATTTGACAAACCGAAGGCCACAGATAGTTATAAAAATAGTAGGCGATTTTCATATTATGGATTTACTTATAGATTATTTTCAAAGATTCAATATCTCAGAGGCTGGATATTCTTCCTGAAATTATAAAAAGATATTCTCGCAGGGTGCTTTGTAGATTAGATAAGAAAGGCAAAAGGAAATTCATTAATCCAAGAAAATATTTCCACCCATACTAGATTCTTTTTTTGATTTGTTTTGTTTGTTTGAGACAGGGTCTTGCGATATTGCCCAGGCTGGTCTCAAACTCCTGGGCCTAAGCGATGCTCCTGTGTCAGCCTCTCAACTAGTTGGAACTATAGGTACATACCACAATAACCACCACACCTGGCCATACTAGACTCTCTTTTTTTTTTTTTTTTTTTTTTTTGAGACGGAGTCTCGCTCTGTCGCCCAGGCTGGAGTGCAGTGGCGGGATCTCGGCTCACTGCAAGCTCCACCTCCCGGGTTCACGCCATTCTCCTGCCTCAGCCTCCCAAGTAGCTGGGACTACAGGCGCCCGCCACTACGCCCGGCTAATTTTTTGTATTTTTAGTAGAGACAGGGTTTCACCGTTTTAGCCGGGATGGTCTCGATCTCCTGACCTCGTGATCCGCCCGCCTCGGCTAGACTCTCTTTTAAAAGAATAGATGAGGCAGAGAGAAAAACAGCAAATCATCTACAGGTTAACGGACATCTGGTTTTGTTTTAAAAGAAGTTTTTATGATTTATTTCAATAGGATGATGTAAATATTAATGAATGGAAACAATGAATTTTGCTCAAAAATGACCAGGAAGGAAGATAAATTTTTCATAGAGAGAGAGAACCATTCTTCAGGTTTATAATTTCATTTATATTCAAAAGAGCAATTTGGGCCGGGAACAGTGGCTCATGCCTGTAATCCCAGCACTTTGTGAGGCCGAGATGGACGAATTACCTGAGGTCAGGAGTTCGAGACCAGCCTGGCCAACATGGTGAAACCCCATCTCTACTAAAAATACAAAAACTAACTGGGCATGGCAGTGTGTGCCTGTAATCCCAGCTACTCGGTAGGCTGAGGCAGGAGAATCGCTTAAACAAACATGGGAGGTGGAGGTTGCAGTGAACTGAGATCACACCACTGCACTCTAGCCTAGATGACAGAGCAAGACTCTGTCTCAAAAAAAAAAAAAAAAAAAAAAAGAGCCATTGCTATTTTGTTTTTCGACATCAATGCAGTGCCTTAGGAAAGGGTAGACAAGGATGCACTGGTGGTGGCTAATGTAAAACACCTGCTTAAGCACTGTTTGGGAATAGACTTGTCTGAAACAGATTTTTGGGTTTAGGAATTGAAATTGGTGATGGATTAAACTTAGAATAAAATCAACAACAAAATTGCTGGGCAGAATCATCATAGATGAGCTGGTTCTCACCAGACCCAGGTGGTGGTCAGTTCATTGAATCATGGACCCTATCAAGTTTACTCACTAACTCTGCATCTCATCTACTCGCACTAGCGTGAAAGAAAAATTTGAGATCCAGATACTGTCATATTTTAATTCAAATGTATCAGAAGAAAGGATCTTCAATACACGACCCACATAGAATCCCCATAATATGCATGAATATGGAAGCAGTGAACACTCGTGAAATGGCGAGTTGTTTCTGGTAGTGGGGAGCAGGAAAGGAGTGGTTGGCCCTCGAAGGGGGATATGTGCCAACATGGTTTGAAGTTAAGGAGAGCTTGAGTCTGTTTCCCACATGTAAGTTAAATCACAAGGTTGGAGGAACATCTGTTTGTCTAACGTTGCTTATATATTTCTGAAAGAATCTAGATGAAACGGGCACTGCCATTTTTATTTTATATTTGTTTTAAAACAAATATTATTTTTGGTCTTTCCCCCATGTCTGAATAATAGCTAGGTAACAGGTACAGCAAAACAGATGGGCTAGAAACAGAAACAATTCTAAAATGCTCAGCTTAGAAATAATTTTTCAAAGGTGGTATGGACAAGCCAGGGTCTCTTAAGAATAAAAACTTTGCTGTTGTGAATAGTGCCGCAATAAACATACGTGTGCATGTGTCTTTATAGCAGCACGATTTATAGTCCTTTGGATATATACCCAGTAATGGGATGGCTGGGTCGAATGGTATTTCTAGTTCTAGATCCCTGAGGAATCACCACACTGACTTCCACAAGGGTTGAACTAGTTTACAGTCCCACCAACAGTGTAAAAGTATTCCTATTTCTCCACATCCTCTCCAGCACCTGTTGTTTCCTGACTTTTTAATGATCGCCATTCTAACTGGTGTGAGATGGTATCTCATTGTGGTTTTGATTTGCATTTCTCTGATGGCCAGTGATGGTGAGCATTTTTTCATGTGTTTTTTGGCTGCATAAATGTCTTCTTTTGAGAAGTGTCTGTTCATGTCCTTCGCCCACTTTTTGATGGGGTTGTTTGTTGCGGCATTATTCACAATAGCAAAGAATTGGAACCAACCCAAATGTCCAACAATGATAGACTGGATTAAGAAAATGTGGCACATATACACCATGGAATACTATGCAGCCATAAAAAATGATGAGTTCATGTCCTTTGTAGGGACATGGATAAAATTGGAAATCATCATTCTCAGTAAACTATCGCAAGAACAAAAAACCAAACACCACATATTCTCACTCACAGGTGGGAATTGAACAATGAGAACACATGGACACAGGAAGGGGAACATCACACTCTGGGGACTGTTGTGGGGTGGGGGGAGGGGGTAGGGATAGCATTGGGAGATATACCTAATGCTAGATGACGAGTTAGTGGGTGCAGCGCACCAGCATGCACATGTATACATATGTAACTAACATGCACATTGTGCACATGTACCCTAAAACTTAAAGTATAATAATAATAAATAAATAAATAAATAAATAAATAAAAGAATAAAAACTTCATTTATCAAAAACATTTTATAGGCCAGGCATCATAGCTCGTGCCTGTAATCACAGCACTTTGGGAGGCTGAGGCAGGAGGATTGCTTGAGGCCAAGAGTTCGAGACAGCCTGGGCAACACAGTAAGAACCCATCTCTACAAAAAAAAAAAAAAATTGATAAACACAAGCATGGAATTAAACAAGATGAGGAAATGAAGACCAATTAACTGAGGCTGGACCATAAACCAAAGAAGTGACTATATAAAACCCAGGCTATTCTAGATTCTTGCTTATATAAAATTGAAAGTGCACCCAGGCTTAGAGGGCATACAAGGAAGGGAAAGAAATACTGAAAAACAGGAGAGAAGGGGCTAAAAAGCACCTGAACAGAATAGATGAACACTGATTTACTGTCTTTGTGGTCCAGGTAGGGACAAAAACTGCCTGCTGCTCTCCTTCCTCTAGCCTTTTGTCTATCCTGCTAGAATGATGCCTATTCTATTCAGAAGACCATGCAGACAGTAGCAGCTTATAAAAGGAAAAGAAAAAAAAACAGAGAAAATAGTGCTTTAGTACTAGTCAAGGAGGTGTCTTAGTCAAAAAGAGTCTGTTTTCCTTTTGAAAATATGGACATGATGTTGGAGGAGGGAAAATATGAGGAAAAAGTACTAACACTTTTTGTTCTTTACAGAAATAAGCACACGTTTTTTCAGTGTGAGTAGAAATGGGCAATAGTTGTATTTTGGGGTATAATTTTAAAACTTGGGAAGATATTTAGTTGGATTCCATAGTAATAGACCATTCAGAGCAAGGAGAAGGAAGACTCTATGCTTAGCTTGACATGAATGTGAGATGTTCCATACCTGCTAATACTAGGTCACAAGAGCAATGGACTGTGTTGCAAAAGACCACACTGCTGGAAAGAGGTTCCATGACCTCTGCTGAACTCAAGGGCAATGTGTTGGCCCAGCTCTTATTCTTGGTTTGAATTTAAGGAGAGCTCAAGTCTGTTGCCCACATGTAAATTAAATCACAAGGTCAGAGGAATGTCTGTTTGTCTAACATTGCTTATATATTTTTGAAAGAAGCTAAACGAAACAGGCACTACCATTTTTATTTTGCAATATTTGTTTTTAAAAAATCTTTTCTTTAAGCTCTATGGCTTGGTTTCTGAATGGCTGGTTGGGATTCCTGGTAACATCTCCTGATTCTTACGGTCCTCTTTTGTCGTATTGGAGATTATTGATTATTATTATTTTTTAAACTCTACCTGAAAGCACAGCAGAATCAGTGTGTTACTCCTGAAGATTAAAAGGACACCACTAGCATATACTTGGGAAGACAATTGATGCCAACTATTTTCACCAACAGTTAAACTAGAAATATCTTGATGGTGATGCAGCACTACAGTAGATTGTCATTATGCTGCAATGTTCAAGTGTTTGTAAAGTGTCTTAAGGCAATTCCAGAAGTTAGAAATAATTTGGGATCATGCCTTACTCTTCAAGCTTTTCAGTAAATTCTGTTTCATTTGTAGAAAGTCTCTTCTCTCTCTCTAAAGTATTCTAAATATATAATAAAAACTAGTTCTTTCATAACAAATATAAATAACACAAAACACATATAATACTTATAAAATATTTTTCTATCTACTTTAATGTAAAAGATTTCATTTGATGGTTACATATTAGCTAGTAGAATGAATAACAAGAATTTTTAAAGTAATTATAATCAATTTAACAATTATTCTATAATTCCATAATTAAATCATTTTGTTTTTCCAGATGCAAGTCTAGCCTATGAAGCACAAAATGAATTTTTAATTCAACAGCTTCTCACCCATATTCTTCCTGGTCACTTCCACCTACCCCTCCAGGAAGATTACATAAGGTGAACCCTTAGACTGAAATAGGGGATCAATAAATGCAGATTTCCTCTCACCACCCACTCCAACTTAATATGAAATTAATGCTGGCCGGGCACAATGGCTTACACCTGTAATCCCAGCACTTTGGGAGGCCAAGGTGGGTGGATCACTTGAGGTCAGGAATTTAAGACCAGCCTGGCCAACATAATGAAACCCCATCCCTACTACTAAAAATACAAAAAATTAGCTGAGCATGGTGGCGCATGCCTGTAATCCCAGCTACTCAGGAGGCCGAGGCAGGAGAATTGTTTGAACCCAGGAGGCAGTGGTTGCAGTGGGCTGAGATCATGCCACTGTACTTCAGCCTGCAAGACTCCATCTCAAAAAAAAAAAAAAAAAAGAAGTTAATGCTAAATAAATCTAGATGTTTTGAATGGAATCATGCAACAAGATGAAACTGAGCCAAGTGTAAGATCTAACACAGGATCTTCAATCAAGTAGGTGCTTAACAAATGTTTGCTGGATGAAAAAGTGCATGAATAAGTTATTAATGAGTGAGTAAATTACAACCCCCATTGTATCACTGGAAAACAAAATGTTCAATTATATTTATAGCACTTTCATGTACATTTTCTCACATACCATCCCATGAGATAGCAGGACAAACATTATCATCCCCATTTTATAGATGAGAAAGTTGAAGCTAGACACATTACCGAGATCATCAGAGACAGGGGGAAGAATAAAACCTGGTTCTCCTGATCCTTTACATAACACTTTTTTCCCCAATACACACATGGCTTCTTCTGGGTTTTGGTGGTGAAGATAATTACATTTTGGGCTCACATGAATCATGTTTTCTCTTTAAAATCCTTTAGAAAACCCCATCCTTTAACACATGATACTTTATTTAACTGTCTGTATCCTTCACTACACTGTAAGTTGCTTGAGGGCAGGAGCAACATCTGTCCTGTACACCATTGCACCCTATAACACAGCATAGTGCCTAGCACTTAGTCAATATTAGTTGCATCTTTTTCCACTTGAAATGCAAGAAGAGTTCCCAAGGATGAGATTCTCAAGGATGGGGTGAAGGTCCTATAATGACCTAAGATGCCAACTTAGCACGACCTCCCTCCTCATATATTTTAGGGAGGAAAGGTGGTAGTTTGCAGAGGTGGGGCAGGGGAGAGGGGCATAAAATAATATATTTTCAGCTCAGCATCTGGGGACGCTCTCAGGTCTTGGTGCCCAGCCCAGCTTCCTTCAAAATATCTGCTGTTCATGAAATCCTGTGCAAGCTCAGCTTGGAGGGTGAACACTCTACACTCCCAAGTGCATTTGGGTCAGTCAAAGCCTACACCAAATTTGATGCTGAGCAGGATGCTTTGAACATTGAAATGGCCATCAAGACCAAAGGTGTGGATGAGATCACCACTGTCAACATTTTGACTAACCACAGCAATGCACAGAGACAGGATATTGCCTTCACCTACCAGAGAAGGACCAAAAAGGAACTTGTATCAGCACTTAAGTCAGCCTTATCTGGCCACCTAGATAGTGGCTTTGGGCCTATTAAAGACACCTGCTCAGTATGATGCTTCTGAGCTAAAATCTTCCATGAAGGGGCTGGGAACCAACAAGGACTCCCTCATTGAGATCATCTGCTCAAGAACCAACCAAGAGCTGCAGGAAATTAACAGAGTCTACAAGGAAATGTACAAGACTGATCTGGAGAAGGACATTATTTCGGACACATCTGGTGACTTCTGCAAGCTGATGGTTGCCCTGGCAAAGGGTAGAAGAGCAGAGGATGGCTCTGTCATTGATTATGAACTGATTGACCAAGATGCCCGGGATCTCTATGACGCTGGGGTGAAGAGGAAAGGAACTGAAGTTCCCAAGTGGATCAGCGTCATGACCGAGCGGAGCATGTCCCACTTCCAGAAAGTATTTGATAGGTACAAGAGCTACAGTCCTTATGACATGTTGGAGAGCATCAAGAAAGAGGTTAAAGGAGACCTGGAAAATTCTTTCCTGAACCTGGTCCAGTGTATTCAGAACAAGCCCCTGTATTTCGCTGACCGGCTGTACGACTCCATAATGGGCATGGGGACTCAAGATAAGGTCCTGATCAGAATCATGGTCTCCCACAATGAAGTGGACATGTTGAAAATTAGGTCTGAATTCAAGAGAAAGTATAGCAAGTCCCTGTACTATTACATCCAGCAAGACACTAAGGGTGCTGTACCTGTGTGGTGGAGATGGCTGAAGTCCGACACAGCACGAGCGTCCAGAAATGGTGCTCCCCATGCTTCCAGCTAACAGGTCTAGAAAACCCGCTTGTGACTAGCAGTCCCTGTGGCTGTTCCTGTGAGGATGACGTTAGCATTGCCCCCAACCTCATTTTAGTTGCCTAAGCATTGCCTGGCTTTCCTGTCTAGTCTCTCCTGTAAGCCAAAGAAATGAACATTCCAAGGAATTGGAAGTGAAGTCTATGATGTGAAACACTTTGCCTCCTGTGTACTGTGTCATAAACGGATTAATAAACTGAATTTGTACTTTAGAAACAAGTAAAAAAATATATATTTTTTTCCTGTAAAGTCTCTGAATTCATGCTAAGCGATTTTACACATCCATTTTAAATTACACTGTTCTAGAGTAAAATGAGTGTTTCATTCAACTTTTCATCTACTCATTAAGGTATGGTGTATAATGAATTAAATAATTTGAGACTATTCACCTGTAATTCTTTCATTCCCTCCCACATCATCTGACTTACCCTTTGTTCAATGACTCTTTTTAGTATAATAGCTAATAAAACCAGCTCATGGTTTCTAGTCAGCAAACTCTTTAACAGTCAAGGAAATATAATCCCTGTGTTTTAAATCATCATCAACAGATGCTCTAAGCTATTTCTCTAAACTCATTCAGGATTGTTTTCTAATACAATATTAGAGTAATGTAATAACTCACTCACAGTGGGCATACACTTAAGTTTTCAAGTATTAGAAGCATCAAATATATCAACTTTGGAAAACCAAATAGTTAAAGGGCATTTTCAATGAAGAGGAATCATTGTGCAATTTAAAAGGCAGGGGCTTCACTTCTCTAAGCTTCCATTTCTTCAACAGTAAGGATAATTATATGTTGCCCTAGTAATATGGCTCTTGGCAGGGCAAGGACTGGGAGCCTGGGAGGCCAGGGGAGCTCTGATATGTAGCATTTCCCATTTCTGCAGTGTAAATGCTTTCATCCAGGCCAATTGCAAGCTACCAATATGAAGTCACTGAATAAGCCAGTATGGCCTGGCTCCAGCATAACAAATATGATGCTGTAGGGTTATTGGGAATGGAAAGTATATTATATCTACTAAGAATTGTAAGTAGCAATTCTTGCCTGGCTCAGAGAATGCCTGTTCGTTTCTCCTGCTTCCATTCCCCATCTATTCCTTCTTGAACTACAACGCCTATCTTTGACATTTCACTGAAGCTCATGATTTAAAGTAACTTCTCTATACTTTTTGCTTCCAAATTGATGTCTCTAGCCCTGACTTCTTTGCTGAGCTCCAAACCTATACTGCAAACTGCCTACTATACACTTCAACCTGGAAGATCAAAACTGACACATATCTGCTCTTCATCTTGGCTTCCTTTTCTTGGTTAATAATGATAATGACAATAGCAGTCAATATTTATTGAGTCCTTACCATGTGCCTGCACTGTTGTAAGCCTTTACATGCATTATTTTAATCCTCACCATATGTGGTATACATTAATATCATTCCCATTTTACAGATAAAGAAACTAAGGCACAGAGAGGTTAAATAATTTCCCCTAAGTCATATGGCTAATAATAGCAGGCTGGGATTCAAACTGAGCAATTAAACTTTTTTTTTTTTTTTTGAGATGGAGTCTTGCTCTGTCATCCAGGCTGGAATGCAATGGCATGATCTTGGCTCAATGCAACCTCTACCTCCCGGGTTCGAGCGATTCTCCAGCCTTCTGAGTAGCTGGGATTACAGGCACCCGTCACCATGCCCAGCTAATTTTTGTGTTTTTAGTAGAGACGGGGTTTCACCATGTTGGTCAGGCTGGTCTCAAACTCCTGACCTCGTGATCTGCCCACCTCAGCCTCCCAAAGTGCTCCCACAGGCATGAGCAATTAAACTTTTGATCTCTGCTATAGTTTGAATGGGTCCCCCCAGAAAGTTACTGTTATTAGAACCTTAATTCCCAAAGTGGTAGTGTTGAGAGGTGAGGCTTTTAAGGGGTTATTGTGTTGTGAGGGCAGAGCCCTCATGAATAGATCAATACCATTTTGGAGGGGTGAGTTCTCACAAGAATGAGTTGTTTTAAAAGGGAGCTGAGCTTGTTCTTGTGGTCTCTTTTGCATTTGCTCACTTATCCTTCAGCTTTTCCACCATATTATGATGCAGTACAGAAGCCCTAGCCAGAAGCTGCCACCATGCCTCTGGACTTCACAGCCTCCAGAACCATGAGCCAAATACAATTATTTCCTTTATAAATTACCCAGTCTCAGGTATTCTGTTATAGCAACAGAAAAGGGACCGAGACAAGCTCTTTATCTACCATATTTCTATTTATGTTAACTATTAGTTCTAGACTACAACTGTGAATATGCTAACTAGTACTACCTACTTTGCCTCTCTAAAATGTACTGGACACTATTTAATTCCAGGCATTGTTCCAAGCTTTTTTTGGTGTTAATTAATTTAATTCTCAAAACAAAGGAAACTTTGTAACTTTATAAAGGAAACCGAGGCACTGAGAGGCTAAGCAACTTACCAAAAATTGCACAGATAGAAAAGTAGCAGTGTTGGGGCAGTCTAGCTTCAGAGTTCACAGCCTTAACTATCTACTCTACTGCATCACTTCCCTACAGCACTCAAGTCTAACAGCTGGGAGTTTAAATTGTTCACCAAATTTCTCTCTCTCCTTCCAAAACATTTTATAAACATGCTGTTTTCTGTCTACTCCATCACATCACTCTAAATCCTGGCCCTTATAATAGCTCATGTGGACTACTGCAAAAGCTTCTTAATCATCTCCCTGCTCCCTTGGGAAACATTTCCAATAGATCTCCTATAATGCCTCCAGGTTCTCTGGAAAGTAAATATCTTAGTAAGTCACTACACTACATTACACCATTCAAAGCCTTCTCACCACCTGTATAATAACTATGGTTTCCAAACCTTAGTGTGCATAAGTAGCACTGGAGCTTGCAGAATGCAGATCCTTGGTCCATCTCAAGAGATTCTAATTCTGTAAGAGCAGTTTGGAATTCAGAGATTTTAAATTATACCAGGCACCTCAAGGCATTCTCGTGCATGTGGTTTATGGACCACACTTTGAGGAACACAGGTTCAGAGAACAAAGTCCCAGCTCCTTATCAAGGAAACAACCTCCTCTCTGCTTGTATCTCATTTCATTTGATGCTCCAAAATAATGGAATCATTTACAGTTCCTCAAACTACTCAGTTTCTCACTTTCATGCCTTTGTACCTGCTTTCCCTTCCTATAAAACACTCTTTTCCTCCTTCCATCTGACAAATTATTTCTCTTTCAAACCCAGCTTAAATTTAAATGTCATCTCAAGGGGCCGGGCATGGTGGCTCACGCCTGTAATCCCAGCACTTTAGGAGGCCAAGGCGGGCAGATCACTTGAGGCCAGGAGTTCAAGACGAGCCTGGCCAACATGGTAAAAGCCCATCTCTACTGAAAATACAAAAATTAGCCAGGTGTGGTGGTGCACGCCTGTAGCCCCAGCTACTTGGGAGGCTGAGGCAAGAGAATCACTTGAACCCAGGAGGTGGAGATTAAAGTGAGCTGAGATCATGTCACTGCACTTCGGCCTGGGCAACAGAGCAAGACACTGTCTCAAAAAAAGAAAGAAAGAAAGAAAAAAAAAGTCATCTCTAGGAACCTTCCTTAACTTCCTTCCACATGCCAGCCTTCTCCCCCCACCATCCTGACTTCTGTGCCTTGATTTATGCTGAAGGCACTCCATCTTTTACATGTCTGTCTCCTTCTAAACTGTGGCCTCCTCTAGATCAGAGTAAGCATCTCATCGTCTTTTATAAGGATGACCTAACATAGAAGGTGCTCAAACAGCAGTCACATCCAACTAGAAGGCTGGATAATGAATGGGCAAAGATGAAAATCTGAGTTGAAATTACCCCAAAAAATATAAAGGTATTGCCCAGAAAATGACGAATGTCATGAATCTATAAAATTAATACATGTATTTAGGGTTGTTGTATAAACACCAATACATGTTTTATGAAATGATGTATCTTTAAGCATAAAATTAATGCTACAAAAAGCTTAGTATGTATGTCACCGGCTGAAAAGCAGAATCACCATTGCCATCTCACATGTGTATGTGATTGGCTTTGAATGATTTCTGGATTACATGTGGCAGGCTTCACCACATGCACAAAATGATTATTCAATTCATAAATGTTCTGTTATCACATACCTAGCAGCACAAAGGCATAATTGTAGAAGAAAGTTGAACTCTTTTTTTTTTTTTTTTTCTGAGATGGAGTCTCACTCTGTCACCCAGGCTGGAGTACAGTGGCAAGATCTTGGCTCACTGCAATCTCCGCCTCCTGGGTTCCAGCGATTCTCCTGCCTCAGCCTCCCAGGTAGCTGGGATTACAGGTGCGTGCCACCATGCCTGGCTGATTTTTATATATTTTTTTTTTTTAGTAGAGATGGGGCTTCACCATGTTGGCCAAGCTGGTCTCAAACTGCTGACCTCAGGTGGTCCGCCCGCCACAGCCTCCCAAAGTGCCAGGATTACAGGCATAAGCCACGGCGTCCAGCCAAAAGTTGAATCTTTTAATGATAACATAAACTCTACTGATTTGTAGTCAAAGGTATGGATGTTGAAAAGCCAAGTTCTTAGGCCAGTGCTGTTTGATATTGCCTAGCATAGTCCCATGCGTGTGAATGTGAATGATTACCCCTGCAGCTGAATGCATTGTCACCTGATCTGTGTGTTCCTGGGCCTCCAAACGAGCATGACGGTGGTGAGAGGGAAGTTAAATCATGAGGTAGTTCACAACTTATCCTATTCAAATGGGCAAAGTACTTATGCAAAGCATTCTTCTGTGTATTTTTTGGGAATTATAAATGATTAAAGACACCATCCTTGACCTTAAGGAATTTACCATCTTGGGTAATAAGACCCAGGCATAAGTAACAATAATCAAAGTGTATTTTGAAAGAGAAGGTGGTTTTTGAGGGAAGATAAAATTGGGAAAAGAATTCATGCACAAAGGTGTGTGAGAGCACAGAGGGAGTTCAAGTAGCCTCCACTGCTGATTTGTCCAACCTCATTACTTTTAATCCCTTTGACCTTTTCACACTATATGGGATGTGTCTCCAAAATAACAATCATGTCTTCTCCTCTTCACCTTTCTGTACTTCTTCACACTGGTCCCTTTGCCTGGGATACCAATTCTGCCTGCCAACCTGGGTAAGTCCTACCCATCATTAAAGTCCCAGTTTAAATTCCTTCCCATTTCTACAGCTTACCATCACCTATCTCATGCTGTTAGTTGCTCATACATCTATCATCCCAAACTGTCAGCTGAAGAGGGTGACAGAGATGTCATTTCCTTCATCTCTATATTCCCATCACCTAGAATAACGCCTGGCAGGCACTAGGTGCCCTAGAAATGTTTTTTGAGGTATATTATTGCATAGTGAGTGTTGTCTTTTGACTAGATACTGGATTTGAATGTAAAGTTAAAGACGAATGCAAGAAAAAGAAAAAAACTAACAACAACAACAATGTAGGGATGAATTTAACCAAGGAGGTAAAAGATCTGTACACAGAAAACTATAAGACATTGATGAAAAAAACCGAAGACAACATAAATAAATAAAAAGATGGCTCATGTTCATAGATTGGAAGAATATTAATAAAATGCCCATACCCCCAAGTGATCTAAAATGCAACTGCTATCAAAATATCAATGACATTTTTTCACAGAAATAGAAAAAGCAATCCTAAAATTCGTATGGAATCACAAAAACTCCCAAATAGCCAAAGCAATGTTAAGCCAAAAGAACAAAGCTGGTGGCATCACACCATCTTATTTCAAAATTGACTTCAAAGCTATAGTAATCAAAACAGCATGGTACTGGCTTAAAAACATAGACCACTGGTACAGAATAGAGAGCTCAGAAATAAATCCATACATTTATAGTTGATTTTCAACAAAGATGCCAACAGCACAAAATGAGGAAAGATCAGTCTCTTCAATAAATGGTGCTAGGAAAACTGCATGTCTACATGCAGAACAATGAAATCAGACTTTCATCTCACACCATATACAAAAATCAACTCAAACTGGATTAAAGACTTAAACATAACACCTGGAACTGTAAAACCACTAGCAGAAAACATAGGGAAAAAGCTCCATGACACTGTTCTGGGCAACGATTTTTTGAATATGAATGTGAAAGCACAGGCAACAAAAGCAAAAATGGATACATGGAATTACATCAAACTAAAAAGCTGTACAGCAAAGGATCACCAGAGTGAAGAGAAAACCTACAGAATGGGAGAATATTACATCTTGATAAGAGGTTAATATCTAAAATACACAAGAAACTCAAACAACTCAATAGAATGAAAAAAATAGCCTGATTTTAAAATAGGCAAAGGTTGGCTGGGTGTGGTGTGCATACCTATAGTTCCAGCTACTCCAGAGGTTGAGATGGGAGAACCACTTGAGCCTATTGAGCCCAGAGTTTGTATTCAGCCTGGGCAACAAGGTGAGACCCCATGTCTATTTTTTTTTTTTTGAGATAGAGTCTCGCTCTGTCACTCAGGCTGGAATGTAGTGGCGCGATCTTGGCTCACTGCAGCCTCTGCCTCCTGGGTTCAAGTGATTCTCCTGCCTCAGCCTCCCGAGTAGCTGGGACTACAGGCATTTGCCACCACACCTGGCTAATTTTTGTATTTTCAGTAGAGATGAGGTTTCATCATGTTGGCTAGGCTAGTCTCAAACTCCTGCCCTCAGGTGATCCGCCCACCTGGACCTCCCAAGGTGCTGGGATTACAGGCATCATCCACTGTGCCCGGCCCCCATGTCTATTTTTAAAATAAAAATAAAATTAAAAAAAAAAAGGCAAAGAACCTGAATAGACATTTATCAAAAGAAGACATACAAATGGCCAACCAGTATATAAAAAATGTAATCTCAGCACTTTGGGAGGCTGAGGTGGGTGGATCACAAGGTCAAGAGATCAAGACCATCCTGGCCAACATGGTGAAACCCTGTCTCTACTAAAAATACAAAAATTAGCTGGGTGTGCTAGTGCGTGCCTGTAGTCTCAGCTACTTGGGAAGCTTAAAACTGGGAGGCAGAGGTTACAGTAAGCTGAGATCACGCCACTGCACACCAGCCTGGCGACAGAGTAAGAATCTGTCTCAAAAAAAAAAATGTTGAACATCACTAATCATCGCGGATATGAAAATTAAAACCACAATGAGATAATACCTCATACGTGTTAGAATGGCTATTACCAAAAACACAAAAGAAAAAATTAGTCAGGTATGGCGGCACATATCTGTGGTCCCAGCTACTTGAGAGGCTGAAGTGGGAGCATCTGGAGGTTGAGGTTGCAGTGAGCCATGACCTCGCCATTGTACTCCAGCCTGGGGAAACGAGCCATGATCTCGCCATTGTACTCCAGCCTGGGGAAACAGAGCAAGACTCTGTCTCAAAAAAAAGACAAAAGATATCAAGTGTTGGCAGAGATGTGGAGACAGTGAACCCTGGCACAGGTTGGTGGGAATGTAAATTAGTACAGCCATTATGGAAAACAGTATAGAAGTTCTTCAAAAAATTAAAAATACAATTATCATATGAACCAGCAATCCCAGTACTGGGTATATATCTGTTAGAAACAAATTTTCGGTGCCGCAAAGAAATAGCACTCAAACATAAATTTAATTTTCTCAGCAAGGCAATTTTTACTTCTATAGAAGGGTGCGACTTGCAAACGGAGTAATGGTGAGAGCACACCTGGACAAGGGAGGGAAGGGGTTCTTATTCCTGACGCAGGTAGCTCCTACTGCTGTGTTGTTCACCTATTGGCTAGGGTTGGACCACACAGTCTAAGCTAATTCCGACTGGCTATTTTAAAGAGAGTACAGGTATGAGCCAGAGTGGTGGGGTGAGTAGTTTGTGGGAAGGATGGTTAGGAACAGGTAACTAAAGGTGACTTAGGTCAGAGCAGGTGACCAGGGGTGACTCGGGTCAAAGCAGGTGATAGGGATGAGTCAGGACAGAGCAGGTGACCAGGGGAACAAATGTGAACTACCGATTAAAACTGATGGAAAAAGTTGTTTACTGAAACTACAAGGAAGTTAAACTTTAAAATGGAGGACAAAGAACTGAACATACTGACATACTGATTCTTTGAAAAGAAATCTAGAACTCACTGTATCTAACATATCTAAAGAAACTGAAGTCAAGATGTCAAAGAGATATCTGCATCCTCATGTTTCACTGCAGCACTGTTCACAATAGCCAAGATATGGAATCAACCTAAGTGTCCATCAACAAATGAATAGATAAAGAAAATGTGGTATATATATACACAGTCTTTCACTGTGTGTATATATATATATACACATACACACACAATGGAATACTATTCAGCTTCAAAAATTGAGGAAATCCTGTCATTTGTGACAATATGGGTGAACCTGGAGGACATTATGCCAGGCACAGAAAGACAAATAATACATGATCTCACTTATATGAGGAATCTAAAAATGTTGAATTCATAGCAACAGACAGTAAAATAGTGGATACCAGAGGCTGGGGAGGGTGGGGGTAAAAGGACTGGAGAGATGTTGATCAAAAGACAGAAAAATTTAGTTAAATAAGAGGGATAAGTTCAAGAGAACTATTGTAAATCATGGTGACTATAGTTAATATATTATGGCTAGGCATGGTGGCTCACGCCGGTAATCCCAGCACTTTGGGAGGCTGAGATGGGGAGATTGTTTGAGTCCAGGAGTTTGAGACTAGCCTGGGCAACATGGCGAGACCCAACCCCTAAAAAAAAACAAAAACAAAAATTAGCTGGGCTTGGTGACATGCAGCTGTGGTCCCTGCTACTTGGGAGGCTGAGGTGGGAGGATCACCTGAGCCCAGGAGGTAGAGGCTACAATGAGCCATGATCACGCTACTGTACTCCAGCCTGGCCAACAGAGCAAGGCCCTGTTTCAATAACAAGAAAAGAAATATATTATATACACTTGAAAGTTGCTGAAAGAGTGGATTGTAAGTGTTCTCTATAAAAAAATTGATCAATATGTGAGGTAATGCATATGTTAGCCTGATTTAGCCATTCAATAAGGTATGCATATATCAAAACATCATGTTGTACACCATGAATATATACATATTTGGAGATTAGGTCTTTGAAGGGGTGATTAAATTAAAATGAGGCTGTTAAAGCGGGGCCCTAATTCAGTATGATTGGTGTTCTTATAAGAAGAGGAAGAGACAATAGGGGCTGAGCCACAAAGAGATGACTATGTGAGGACAAAGAGGCAAGAAGGTGGCCATCTGCAAGGACAGAGGCCTCAGAGGAAACCCACCCTCCCAGCACCTGGATTTTGGACTTCTAACTCTAAAACAGTTCCAGTTTTTCAGAACTGTGAGAAAATAAATGTCTATCATTTAAGTCACTCAGACTGTGGAATTTTGTTATGGCAGCCTTAGCAAACTAAGACAGCATCTTTACTTCATTGATAAACTCAGACATCGTGCTGCATGCCAGGCACTGTTCTAAGTTCTTCACAAATGTTTACACATTTCAACACCTTTCCAGCAGTGCCAATACATCACTATGGCTGCATTTCTCAGTAGGTACGAGGGGAGAAGATATACCCCCTTGTCCCTGGGGTGGGATCTGGAGAATCAAAACCAATATAGTTTGAGCACAGGAAACTCCTGAAAGACATGTCTCTTTCCTCAAGTGGGTATCAGAGGTGATGATGATTATGATGATGATGATGATGAATAACAAGAGTAAAATCTTAGCTACCATTAATTGAGCTCTTGCTGTACACAGGCACATGCCACGTATATTACAAGAATTCTCTCATTTCACCCCCAACAGCAACCTTAAGATTTAGGTAATATTTCATTCCCTTTGTTTTACAGAGGAGAAAACACTGTTCAAAAAGGGTAAGTAAGCCAGTTGCCCAGCTGGTGAGAAGAATCAAGATTCCAACCCAGATCTGCCCAATTCCAGTTCTGAGTCTTTCACTGCACATGGCCTAGGGGAGTAGACTGGGGTCACTTGGTGGGAGGTGTGGGGGATGGAGGTTTAAATGGGAAAATGAATTTGTTCGTAATGCAAGAGATCAGTGGGGAGCCAGCAGGTTTTTTGAAAAGAAAAGGTAGTAGGGATAATCTAAAAGCCTTAACAATTACATGTACAAAAACAATAGCTCTCATTCATTTAGCTCCTCCTACATGTCAGGCATTCAGCTTGGAACTTAGAATAGTTCTGATAAGCAGATATTTTTGCATTTTCATTTCATGGACATAGAAGTTGAAGTACAGGGAAGCTGAAAGATTTGCCCAAGGCTCAAGTAAGTGGCTGAACCGGAGTGGCAGACCTGGGCGCCTCCCAGTCCTGCATCCACCCAAGCTCGTCCACTCTGCTCTGGTGGAGAATCAACAACCCCTGCACCCATATCGCACATCTGGCCGTGAATGTATGAGGGCTTCCATGCTCTGAACAGACAAGTTACATATCATATCACCGTCTTTGCGAAGATTCAGCCTGAAGCATTAACATTGAGCAGCTCTGCCCAAGAACGTTCCACAGAGCCTTCATTTCCCAAGACGTTCCAGGGAAAAAGTTCTATGGTTGGAAGTTTGGATGTGCTGCCTGTTATCTATCCCTCTCCTGCCTCAGAGACCTACAATGTACATCAGCAGATTCTAAAGGTTTTAAGAAGTTCTGCAATTTAAAAAAGTCCACTTCCTTCATTTAGCCTAAGGTTTCCCAAATTTATCTGAACCATAGAATTGTTTTTCTACATGTGCCAGCTAATATACAGTGCAGCACTCTTTCAGAGATACTGCATTGTTAAATGGAAGAGGGAGGAAAAGAAGTCTGCTGGAGCTACTTTTTGAAGCTAACTAAAATGCAGACTTTTCTCCCTTAAGAATCATCAAGCCCTTTGCTGTTTACATTTAGTTGCTTTCTACTGAGAACATAGAAAGTTTAAAAAGAGAGAGACCATAAATCAGAGGAGGGAAGGGCTATTTGCATTCCTAACTCTCTTGGCTCATCGGGTACCTTCTTGCTTCCACCCCAACCCCGCCTCAACCCCATTCTTTCTCCAAGTTTCCACCCCTCCTCCTCTCCTTGGGGCTGCTCTCCAGCTACACACAGCTGGAGGTGGTTGCAACTTGCAATGCACACATCCCCTCCCTCCTGCAATGCCGATGCAGTGACAGGGAGGCATCACATGCTCTGCCAACCGTACAGCCTCAGCTCTGGCACAAGAAGACCCTCCCAGGGAAGAGGGGCGTTGGTGGTGGGGGTTAGGGGGAGGATTGCCAATTTTTCCTTCAAGATTTTCAGATTACGGGTGCTATGATTTTTCTATTTCTCTTTTTGCTTATTTTCAGCTTGTAATTTCCTACAATGAATATGCAGCACTTGTGTCTTAAGGAAGAGGAAGAAGAGAAAGGAGGGAGTAGGGAGGAGACTAGAGGCGGAGGAGAAGGAAATACCATCTCTGGAGGAGACTGCATAAGCTCGACTAACAAAATATATCAAATTTTATAGCAGTACATCTCCTAACACCTGCAGGTAGAGTTCTGGGCTGCAGTGTTGCTATTTGCAATGACACGTGCCCAGTTACCCCTTAACCAGTGCCAGCTCAGGCGTCGGGCACAGAAGCCCTCTCCTTACCCACTCGAAAGATCAAATCGTCTTCGATGGGATTCTCTTTTCGTTTTCCAGTGCTGTACATGCTTGCGGGTCTTTTCACAGCTTTCTGCTTGACGTGGCCGCTCCCCGGGGACTTAACGCGCCTCTTCACGCCTTCTGTGGTGGGAGACACATCAGCGGATCGGATCACTTTCAGCTTAAACGGGCTGCCTCGGATGTGCTGGTCATAGAGTCTCAGAGACAGGGTAAAGTCCCCTTCCTTCTGGACAGTGTACAAAAACTCATAGGTGCCGTTCTTGTTGTCCAGGATCTCCCCGTCTGCCACGCTCCCGTCGGGGGTGCTCAGTTCGGCGGTGAGGTAGGCGTTGCCGGTTTTGCACAGCTCACCGTCTTTGTCCTTGGTGGTGATGGTGACGGACATGGGCTGCCCGATGATGGTCTGCCGCAGCCCCTCGCCCGTGGCCACTGTCTCTGAGGCAACGGCGTTGGTGGTTAAGATCGTCCCGAGGTTGTGGATGGACTTCTTCAGCCCCTCGGTTTCCACGATGAAATCCAGCTGGTCGTTCTCCCGCGGGTGCAAGGGGAAGTCCTGGTCGGCCAGCTCGTTCAGCTTCTCGCTCATCTGCTTCTTCACCAGTAGGACCTCGGTCTCCGTGCCATGGTTGAGGGCCTGCGCTGTGAAGTTGCTGCAGCTCTTAATGCTCTCCTGCCCCTGGAGCAGAGTATCCAGCTGCGACTGGAGGACCTGCGGGAAAACCGGAGGCCTGGTGAGCTCGTCCCACAGGGCGGGGCCTAGCCCGGGGCAGTGCCCTCCACCGGCGAGAAGGAGACTCTACACCTGCCCACGCAGGTGGCTCTGAGCAAGCGGTGTTTGTCAACCCAGGGAACCCAGTGCTAACGCAAAGTCCTAAACTGCATTCCCAGTACCTTTTCGAGGTTTCCCTTCCGCCTCGCCCTCTCTTCCACACATGTATTTCTTGGCTCATGTGTTTTGGAGAGGGGAAAACAGAAAGGTCACTACCAAGAGCATAGCAAATTAATTGCTATGCCTGACATCTGAAATATTCATTATTCAGTATCTTTCCCCATGTCCCCATGTCCATCACCACCTAAAGGAACAGGAAGTAAACAAATGAAAACTCTCCACACCTGAACATCAGAGGTTTCTCATCCCTGTTTTGTGAACAGACATGCAGAGTTAAACAAAGGCTGCAGTCAGGGTTCATTTTGAAGCTGACTAACAGGTTGGTGTGGGTGAGAGAGCAATTAAGAAACTATTTCATGTTATAACTGAGGAATGAAAACAATCCAGTTTAACTCTAAATGCTAAAAGCATTACATTATATTCAACCTTGCCTCTTGTCAAATTATAAACTAGTACTTAAAGTCACAGAGTCATCGAATTTTGCTGAAAATAGGGGAAAAAATAGCTGGATATTACATTCAGTGAAAACTATAGTTTACTATACAATGATGACACTTAAGGACCCCTTGTTGCTATTAGGAAACAATAAGCTAGTGCCCTTGGATATCATGTCTCTTCCAGGACATCTGTAATGATTCTGGTCTTACTTTGTGTTTGAGGCCATAGTTGACCTCCAATTCCATAAGCAGCACACTCTTGCGCACATTTAAAGTCTTCTGGAGCTCATCAAAGGTGGAATGAATGTCATCCACGATGCTGGCCTTTTGGTTGGTTAACTGATGAATGATTTCAGAGATGAACTGAAGAGCAGAATCTATTTCTGGGAGCCTGGTGGACAGTTGTTAAAGGTCGTTATTTAACCTCAACCCAGAAATATTCCAAAATCTATCTAAACACTACATTTTGTTTAAAAAAATTCTATGCCTTTCATCATCTTTAAAAAAACAATAACCAGAGAACAGAATAAGATATGACATAATTACTGCCTTAGAGAGAAGAGATTTTGTCTCTTCAGAGACAATCAAAATTGTCAATTTCAATCTACCATCAATTGTCCAATTTTAATAATTAATTAAGTGTATAGACTTGAAGCTCTCTGAAAAGCCATTCTGGCCAGGTTAATTCTTCGTTGCAGGGGCCGTCTGGTGCATTGTATGATGTTTAACAGCAGCCTGTCCTCTACCAGATACCAATAGCTCTCCCCGCCCTGCCTCCCTCTCCCCAACCCCCTGCCAAAACACACAGTTGTGATACCAAAAATGTCTCCAGGCATTGCCGAATGGCTGAGAACCACTATTCTAGATAGCTGTATCTTTTACCCTAGCCACATAAAACATTTATCCAAACCCAGTTTCTTGAGAACTTCTCGTAAGTTTCCAAGTTCTTTGAATTACTATAGAACAACCACACTTTTCTCACTACAGCTATCAGTGGAGAGATTTATTTTGTCTGCTTTTCTGCTGGCTTCTCATTTCCTCTCTTTGGTCTTTTTCATGCACCACTCAGCTACTCTGTTCTTTCATTTCTGTGCCAAAGAAGGAACTTGGAAGCAGGAAAACAAGGAAAATTAGCAATCACTGCTCAAGACCATTTTGCAGAGCTCAGACAGAAAGGAGCCAATCACAGCCAACAAAATGGCCTGTATGTGTGTCAGGAACAGCAGATAAGGAAGGCTCCTCAGAGAGCCTGGTTTCAGGGATGAATTTCAGAACTCTCCTGAGAGCAGTTTATTTGAGTGTACTTTAATTCATGTAATCATACTTAGGTACTAAAACAAAAATGCCACTCATAAGGAGGCTGGAGTTCTACCAACAGGCAGAAGACAACCTTCCTCACTCATTAGTTTATGACAACAAATCCATGATAAAAGAACTTATTTACCCACAAAGCCTGATATCTCAAGGGAAATATGAACCTACTCTTGTACCTAGACAAGAGGCCATGAGGCCAGGCCTCAAGTACAGGCAGCCAGTTGGGGGTTTGGGGAGGGGTCCCCCACCTTTTGTTGACAGCATCCAGCTGGACCTGGAGCGAGGCCTTGTGCTGTTCCACCACATCCTTGAGTGGAACTGTGGGGTGCTCTGCGTGCTCCCCCTCCGTGCACTCCCGACACATGGCAGTCTCACAGGACTGGCAGTAAAATTCCATCACCTGTGGATGACACAAGAAAAGTTCCTGGTTCTGGGCCATGGGTTGAGGGCTTACTCTACACTAAGCACTTGCCTTGCAGTCTCTCATAATTAAATGAGAGCCACCCCAGAATGTCAGCATTATTAAGTCCAGCTTCACAGGAGAAAAGGAAGGACACATTTTTATGTGACAGGTCTCAGAAATGGAGCTGACTTCTAAGCTGCTTCTATAACCATAAAACCAGCTTTTGGGTATCCACTGCCCCAAGGCAGTACAGTATAGGGCTGTGGTGCTCAAACATTTTTATATCAGGACCCCGTTATAATCTTTAAAAATTATTGAGGACTCCAAAAGAGCTTTCGTGTATGTGGGTTATATTTATAGATATTTCTTATATTAAAAATTGAAACTAGGCTGGGTGCAGTGGCGTATGCCTATAATCCCAGCACTTTGGGAGGCCAAGGCTGGAGGATTACTCGAGGCCAGGAGTTAAGACCAGCCTGGGAAACATAGCGAGACTCTGTCTCTACAAAAAATTTTAAAATTAGTATTTAATCAAATTTTTAAAAATTAGAACGGATAAAAATTTTAAAGTATTTAATTTATTAAAAGCAGTAATAAGCCCATTAAATGTTAATGTGAATAATGTAATTTATGAAAATAAATATATTGTGAAAAACAAAAAAATTTGTGGGAAAAATGGTATTGTTTTCCATTTTTGTAAATATCTGCAGCGTCTGGCTTAACAGAAGATGGCTGGAGACTTGTATCCACTTCTGCATTGAGTCCATTGTGATAGCATACATCACATAGCCTGTGGAAAATTCCACTGTGCACTCTTGAGAGAACGAGAGTGAAAAAAGCAAATAATGTCTTCATATGATTATGAATATAGTATTGACCTTGAAGACTGCTTGAAAACGTCTTGGGACCCACAAGGGTTCCTGGACCACACTTTGAGAACTGCTACTGTTTGGCTAAGAGACTTATCCAAATAAGAAGTCTGGACTGAGCAGTTTGTCTCCTGGCTTCACCACTTATTTAGCTGAATGACCTTGGACAAATTTTCAGCCTCACTGTGTCACAACTTCTGTCTCTGTCAAATGGAGATAGTAACAGTAACCTACTTCACAGGGCTACTATGAAGAATAAGTAGGTTAGTATGCACGAAGAACTCAGATGGCACCTGGCTTTGGTACATAATAAGTTCTTAATATGTAGTAGCTGCTGTGGGGATGATGATGATGATGATGATGACATCATCTGCTTACCTGAAAATAAAAAAATATGACCCTGACAATGACGAACTTTCAGTAACAATATAATATAAAGCCAGAAAATTAGCTTCCTTGCAGAGGTATTACCTTGTTTTCTCAGCTGGAAATAATGTCTTCCAGTTTTCAATTCCCAAAGCACTTTTAGGAGGAACTTTTTCTTGACATATAACACAATACAGAAAAGGGCATAAATCTTAATGCAGCTTGATGGATTTTCACAAAGTGAAGGCAGTCACCAAATCACTTTTATTTATACCCAATTTATGAAATAAAAGATTTTAAATTCCTAAGCCCAGGAACTCTCCCACCCAGAGCCTAGATAATACCATACATTTAGTAGGTATTCAATAACACTACTGAATGAATAAATGAGAGGAGGCTCTTAGCCATGATTCGGGTGGCATGTGTAAGACCAACCAAGGGACACCTCCTTCCTCATTAAGACTCACTATGTTACATAGTGCTTTCTGGAGAAGATTCTCCTAGGAATAAAGCACTCAGCTTGCTCATACTACATGTGTTTTGGAAAAAACCTTTTCTGGTGAACCAAATTCAGATAAAAGTCATTCAAACCATGTCCAAGATAATTTTAAATTTCATATTTATCATAGTTTCAAGTAGGTACATAGTAAGAGGTTTAGAAAGACACTTTTTTTTTGTCATATAAAGACACTTTTTTTTTTGTCATATAAGGCTGTAATTTCATGTACTTTGCTCCTCTGCAGGCCTTTTAGGAATAGGCTTGAAACATTAACTGGAAATTTCTTGTATGCATTCTCTGCTCAAAAACATTTCTCAGCTGGGTGCAGTGGCTCACACCTGTAATCCCAGCACTTTGGAAGGCCAAGGTGGGAGGATCACTTGAGGCCAGGGGTTTGAGACCAGCCGGGGAACCACAGCAAAGCTCTGTCTCTAGAAAAAAATTTAAAAAATTAACTGGACGTGGTGGCACATGCCTGTAGTCCCAGCTACTTGGGAGGCTGAGGTGGGAGGATTGCTTGAGCTTCGGAGTTCGAGGTTGCAGTGAGCCATGATTGTGCCACTGCACTCCAGCCTGGGTATCGGAGCAAGATCCTATTTCAAAAAGCAAAAAAGTATTCACACTTCTCATTAAAATATGTTTTAATAAACTCAAATGAAAATTCAAATATCCCACAGAAAGACTATAATACTGGTCATTTGCACCTTATTTTGGTACAAGTCTGATACAATCCAGCAGAAAGCACAGCTTATAGAAGCTGTTCAATAATTATTCGCTGAGGGGCAATATGAGCTAAGGGGTACTTCCAAGGGATTTCCCCAGTGAGGGAAGACTATACTTTGGGTTGCATTTGTGTATTTTACCATATTGCTTTCCTTCATGTGTTCAGGAAATAGAACGATCTAAAACTATACGCAGTGTCAGCAAATGCTTGGTAACAATATATAAGCCTCATATCATAAATATTTTACTTGTTATTAGAAAAAAATTCTTAATCCAAGAAGTTTCCTGTTTTTCAAAGGGCTGGCAGAAGGCAGGATAAATGAGCATTCCCCACTAAATTCTGAGATTTCTTTGGAAAAATTTCATCCCCTGGGGTTTGTGAAACATAATTCCTATCAAGGCTGAGCTTCTTTATTACTTCATGGCTTCAGCCAGAGGTGGTTTACTTTTACCAGACATTTTATTTCTAGATTATATATAACTAGAATAGCATTTACTAATATTTCATCTTCATGGTCAGTGCTCAGGAGGTCTCTTTAAAGCAGGTTGTCACTGCCAGTCACATGTACCAGAGGACAGCCCAAAAACAGAATGTGAAAAGACTTCTTCCCTCAGGTTATTTCGGGTGTTGGGGCAAATATAAGTGTATGGACTGAGGGAATATGCCACATTAACAGTGCTTAGTCAATCCAATGGCACTCTTCCCAAACCAATCTAGCCTGGGACTGAGTTCCCACATCTTCACTGGAAGAAGGGAGCATGGCCTCATGTCTAGAATGGGTCTAGATCAATGGCAAATTTTACTTGGGAATCAGTGTGCACATTGCATTTAGAAGTTGCAAATACTATATCATATTTGTTGCATTTTGTGGTCTGAGTTGAAGTTCCCCAGCAGTATAAGAAACGAGATGACAAAGAATACTCATTGGAAGACAGAAAAGGATGCAAAATAATATAGAGTCGCGAAAAATGTAAAAAATCCTCAAGACCAGAGTTCATCATGTATGAAAAAAGATCAGCATCCATTACTATTATTATCCTTCTTTTTAATTCATATTTTTAAATGATTACAGGGAAGTGATGTTACTGAAAACAGCAGCATAAGAAAATCTATGTCAGGTCACTGGTTGGTAGCTAATCTACTGGAACAGACTTCATTAGCCACATATGACAAAACATACAAACTTTACAAAATTAGTTGCATTGGATAATAAAAGTGGGGAACGAAAAAAATATAAAATAATTAGTTTAGAAAAGTCACCAAACAACAACAGCAAAAAACTATAATAATCATCAACAAAAAACCCTAGGGAGAGGGGAGACTCTGATTTCCAGAGTTGCCACAATATAGTACTTTAAATGTTCAGTTTCCAATGGAAAAAAGTGAAGCACACAAAAAAGGACAAAGTTCACAAAGAGGAATAAAAGAAATTTATAGGCACTCTCCCTAAAGAAGCCCAGATTGGACTTACTTGACTTTAACTCTTTCATATATGCTCACAGAGCTAATGGAAACCATATATAAAAAACTATGAGAACAATGTCTCACTAAATGGAGAATATTAATAGAGAGATAAGAATTATTTTTTAAAAGCCAAATAGAAATATTGTAGGGTTAAAAAATATAACTGCAATGAAAAATTCACTAGAAAAGTTCCACAGAAAATTCAAGCAGGAAGAAGAAGGTTAACTTGAAGATGGGCCTATTGAGATTATACAGTCTGTGAGGCAGGAAAAAAAAAAAAGGAAGAAAAAGTAACAAAACCTAAGAGGCCCGTGGGACACCATCAAGTGTACCAAATATACCTAATGAGAGTCCCAGAGGAGAGGAAGAGAGAAAGGGAAAGAACCGATATTTGCAAAAGTAATGGCTGGAAACTTCCCAAATTTGATAAAAGACACAAATCTACACATCCAAAAAACTTAATAAACTCCAAACAGGAAACTCAAAGACATCCAAACCAGGAAACAGTATAACCAAACCATAAAAAGACAAAAACAAAGAGAGAATCTTGAAAGCAGCAAGACAGAGGTGACTCATCTTGTATAAGAAATATTCCATAAGCAGATTTTTTTTCTTTTTTCTAAGATGAGTCTCACTCTGTCACCCAGGCTGGAGTGCAGTGGCTCAATCTTGGCTCACTGCAACCTCTGGCTCCCAAGTTCAAGCGATTCTCCTGTCTCAGCCTCCTGAGTAGCTGGGATTACAGGTGCGCGCCACCATCCCTGGCTAATTTTTGTATTTTTAGTAGAGACAAGGTTTCACCATGTTGGCCAGGCTGGTCTCAAACTCCTGACCTCAGGTGATCCGCCTGCCTCAGCCTCCCAAATTATTGGGATTACAGGTGCGAGCCACCATGCCCGGCTGCAGATTTTTTAATAGCAGATATCTCATCAGAAACTATAGAGGCCAGAAATCAATGGGGTAATATATTCAAACTGCTGAAAAAAAAATAAACCTGACAACTAATAATTTTTTATCTGGCAAAACTATCCTTCAAACATGAAGGAAAAATTAACACATTACCAGAAATACAAAAACTGAGTGTCTGTTGCTAGTATACCTTCCCTACAAGTCATGCCAAAGGGATTCCTGCAAGCTGACCTGATTTGATACACTACAAAGTAACCTGGGTCCACATGAAAAAAACAAGGAAAGCAGGTAAAGGTAACTACACAGATAAATATAAAGGTCAGTATTAATGTATTTTAGTTTTCTAACTCCTACATGACATAAAATAAAACTGCATAAAACAGCATAATCTATAATTACAAACCTATGTAGCTGAGCATACAACATATAAATACAAGCTAAAAGAAGCAAGGATTTTACATACTATTGAAATTATGTTGGTATTAATTTGAATTAAATCATTATAAGCTAAAATGTTAATTATAACCCTCAGGGCAAACAATAAAGAAAAATAAAAATATGTATAGTAAAAGAAATGAGAAGGGAATCAAAATGGTTCACTAGAAAATATCTATTAAACATAAAAGAAGGCAGTAATGGAGGAATAGAGGAACAAAAAGATATGCCATACAGAAAAAGAATAGTAAATGGCAAAAGGAAAGAAAGCCTTTCTTTTCAGTAATTAAGTTAATTAATTTAAATGGATTAAACTCTCCAATCAAAGGGCTGATACTGGCAGATTGGATTGAAAACATAATCCAACTATATGCTCTCTATAAGAGACTAATTTTAGATTCAGAGACTCAAATAGGTTGAAAGTGACAGGATGGCCCAGATATGGTGGCTCATGCCTGTAATCCCAGTACTTTGGGAGACAGAGGCAGGAGGATTGCTTGAGTCCAGGAGGTCAAGACCAGCTTGAAAAACATAGTGAGAGACCCTGTCTATTAAAAAAATACAAAAATTAGCTGAGCATAGTGGCGTGTGCCTGTAGTCCTGGCCTTCAGGAGGCTGAGGCAGGAATATCAATTGAACCCAAGATTATGAGGCTGCAGTGAGCTATGATCATGCCACTGTACTCCAGCCTGGGAAACAGAGCAAGACCATCTCTTAAAAAAAGAGAGAGAGAAAAAGGAAAAGAAAAAAAAGAAAGTGAAAGAATGAAAAAAATATTTCATGCAAACTGTAACCAAAAGGGAGCTAGAGTGGCTATTCTAATATCAGAAAAAATAGACTTAAGACAAAAGTTGGATAGTATATAATTGACAGAAAGGATATTATAAAATTGATAAAACTTTAGTTAGACTGACCAGAGAGAGAGAGAGAGTGAGATGGTGGGGGGGTGCGGGGTGGTGGGTGTGTGTGTGTGGCAGGGGTGGTGTGGGAGAAGAGAGAAAGAAGACTCAAATTACAAAAATCAGGAAGGAAAGTGGTGGGGAAATTACTACTGACATCATAGAAATAAAAAGGATTATAACAGAATACTGTGGATAGTTTTATGCTAACACATTGAATAACTTAGATGAAATGGACAAATTCCTAAAAACACACAAACTATCAAAACTGACATGAAGAAATACAAAGTCTGAATAGACCTGTAATATGTAAGGAGATTGAATCAATAATCAGGAAACTTCCAACACAGAAAAGCCCAGGACCAGATGGCTTCACTGGTGAATTCAACCAAATATTTTAAGAAGAACTAACACCAATCTTCCTTAAACTCTTAAAAAAAAATAGAAGAGATTGAGGGGTAATACTTCCTAACTCATTCTATTAGGCCAGTATTTCCCTGATACCAAAGCCAAAGATACCACAAGAAAATTACAGACCAATAACCCTTATAAATATGGATGAAAAAATTCTTAATAAAATGCTAGCAAACTGAATCCAGCTGTATATTAAAGAGATTATATATCATGAGCAGGTGGGATTTATCCCAGGAATGCAAGGGTGGCTTACCTAGACAAATTACTGTATGTAATACATCACATTAATAGAATGAAAGAAAAAACTCATTATCATCTGAATTAATGTGGGAAAAGCATTTAACAAAATCCAATATCTTTTCATGCCAAACTAGAAACAGAAGGGAACTTCCTCCTCCTAATAAAGAGCATCTACAAAAAACCCACAGCTAACATCATACTTAATCAAGAACAAGAGGATATTCACTCTTATCACTTCTAGTCAACGGTGTACTGAAGGTGCTGACCAGGGCATTTAGGCAAGAAAAAGAAATAAAATGCATCCAAATTGGAAAGGAAGAATTAAGAATTTCTCTATACAGAGATGACATGATCTTATATACAGAAAATCCTAAAGAATACACACACACACACACACACGCACACACATTCACACAATTAGAGCTAATAAATGAATTCAGCAAAGTTGCAGGATACAAGATTAACAAACAAAAATCAGTTGTATCTCTAAACACTAACAATGAATAATCCAAAAGTGAAATTAAGAAAACAATTCCCAGCTAGGCATGGTGGCTCATGCCTGTAATCCCAGGACTTTGGGAGGCTGAGGCAGGAGGATTGCTTGCCCCAAGACCAGGCTGGCCAAAATAGTGAGACCTATCTCTATTTTTTTAAAAAAATCCATTTACAATATTATCAAAAAGAATATAACATAGTTGGGAATAAATTGAACCAAGGAAGTGCAAGACTTGAATACTGAAAACTACTAAATAGCCAAAACAATCTTGAAAAAGAACAAAATTGGAGGACTCATAGTTACCAATTTCAAAACTGACTATAATGCTACAGTAATCAAAACAATGTAGTACTGGCATGAGAATAGGCATATAGATCAATGGAATAAGATGGAAAGTACAGAAAGAAGCCCATACATCCATGGTCAATTGATTCTTGACAAGGGTGTCAACACAGCTCAATGGGAAAAATTGCCTTTTCAACATATTATGCTGAGGTAACTAGAAATTCACATGTACAAGAATGAAATTTAACCCTTCCTTCAAACCACATACAAAAATTAACTCAAGATACATAAAAGACCTAAATGTAAGCTAAAACTATAAAAATCTTAGAAGGAAACAGGGGTGAATTTTCATGACCTTGAATCAGCAATGGATTCTAAGCTATGACACCAAAAGCACAAGCAACAAAAGAAAAAAATAGAGAAATTAGGCTTCATTAAATTAAAAGTATTTTTGAATCAAAGGACACTAATAAGAAAGTGAAAAGAAACCCCACAAAATGGGAGAAAATATGGCTAGTCATATATCTGATAAGGGTATAATAATCCAGAACATATTAAAAATTCTACAACTCAACAACAAAAAGATAAACAACGCAATTCAAAAACGGGCAAAGAACTTGAATAGACTTTCTCCAAAGAAGATATACAAATGGTCAATTAGCACATGAAAATATGATCCACATTGTTAATCATTTGGCAAATGCAAATCAAAACCGCAACAAGATATCACTGCATACTCACTAGAATCAAAAGTCAGGATGAAAAAGTCAAATAATAATAAGGGTTGGTAAAGATGCTGAGAAATTAGAACCCTTATGCTTTGCTAGTGGAAATGTAAACTGGTGCAGCCACTGTGAAAACAGTTGGTGGTTCCAGGCCAGGCATGGTGGCTCATGCCTGTAATCCCAGCACTTTGGGAGGCCAAGGCTGGCAGATCACTTGAGGCCAGGAATTCAAGACCAGCCTGGCCAACACAGCGGAAACCCCATCTCTACTAAAAATACAAAAAAATTAGCCAGGCATGGTGGTGGGCGCCTGTAATGCCAGCTACTCAGGAGGCTGAGGCAGGAGAATCACTCGAACCCAGGAGGCAGAGGTTGGAGTAAACCAAGATCACGTCACTGCACTCCAGCCTGGGCAACAGAGTGAGACTCTGTCTAAAAAAAAACCAAAAAACAAAAAACAAAACAAAAAAAACCAGGCCAGGCGCAATGGCTTATGCCTGTAATCCCAGCACTTTGGGAGGCCGAAGTGGGCGGATCACCTGAGGTCAGGAGTTTGAGACCTGCCTGGCCAACATGGTGAAACCCCATCTCTACTTAAAAAAAAAAAAATACAAAAATTAGCTGGGCATGGTGACATGCACCTGTAATCCCAGCTACTCAGGAGGCTGAGGCAGGAGAATTGCTTGAACCCAGGAGGAGAGGCTGCAGTGAGCTGAGATTGCACCACTGCATTCCAGCCTGGGCAGCAGAGCAAGTCTCTGTCTCAAAAAAAAAAAAAAAAAAAAAAAAAAAGATCAAGGCCATCCTGGCCAAGATGATGAAACCCCGTCTCTACTAAAAATACAAAAAATTCACGGGGCGTGGTGGCATGCACCTGTAGTCCCAGCTACTTGGGAGGCTGAGGCAAGGGAATTGCTTGAACCTGGGAGGCAGAAGTTGCAGTGAGCCAAGTTTCCGCCACTGCACTCCAGCCTGGCAAAAGAGCAACTCTGTCTCAAAAAAAAAAAAAAAGAAAAAAAACAGTTGACGGTTCCTTAAAAAGTTAAACATGGAATTATCATATGGTCTAGCAATTCCACTTTTAGGTACATACCCAGGACAACTGAAAGCATATGTCTACACAAAAACATGTACATGAATGTTCACAGCAGCATTATTCATAACAGCCAAAAAGTGGAAACAACTCAAATGTCCATCAACTGATGAATGAATCGATAAATTGTGGTATATCTATATAATGGAATATTATTTAGCCATTAAAAAGAGTACTAATATACCATAACATGGATGAACCTTGAAAACATGCTAATTGATGGAAGCCAGACTCTAAAACTCACATATTGTATGATTCCATTTATATCAAATGTCCGTAAGTGGCAAATCCAGAGACAGAATGCAGGCTGATGGTTGCCAGGGATTAGTGGGAGGAGGGAGTAGGAGGTGACTGCTTAAAGGGCATGGAGTTTCTTTTTGGGGTGATGAATACGTTCTGAAATTTAGACAGTGGTGATGTTTGCTCAACTTTGTGACTATACTAAAAACCACATTAGTTGTGCTTTTCCAAATGGTTGAGACCTGGTGCAGTGGCTCACTCCTGTAATCCCAGCACTTTGGGAGGTCCAGGCAGGAGGATCCTTTGAGCCTAGGAGTTGGAGACCAGCCTGGGCAACATAGCAAAACCTATCTCTTAAAAAAAAAATTAGCTAGGTTGGTGGCATGCGCCTATAGTCCCAGTTACTCGGGAGGCTGAAGTGGGAGGATCACTTGAGCCTAGGAGATTGAGGCTGCCATGAGCCATGATCATGCCACTGCACTCCAGCCTGGGTGACAGAGTGAGACTTTTTTGTCTCCAAAAAAAAAATTAAAAATAAAAAACATCATTATAAAAAGAAAAACAAAAAAAACAGGCCAGGCTCGGTGCCTTAACACCTGTAATCCCAGCACTCTGGGAAGTTGAGGCAGGCAGATTGCTTAAGCCCAGGAATTTGAGACTAGCCTGGGTGACAGAGTGAGATCCTGTCTCAAAACAAAAAAACAAACAAACAAATAAAATTGTTGAAATATTAAATTTTATGTGATGTGAATTTTATTTTTTATCTTGTATTTATGTATTTATTTACTTTTGTAGAGAAAGGGTCTCACTTTGTTGCTCAGGCATGTCTCAAACTCCTGGCCTCAAGTGATCCTCCTGCCTTGGCCTCCCAAAGTGAGCCACCAAGCCCAGCCTGAATTTTACTTCAGAAACAAACAAACAAAAATTGATCTCAGCTTTGAAGAGACAGCAGCAGACCTGGCTTATTATTCCTAGTTCAATATCTTAAGTGTGTCTTGGGAAGCCAAGGCCCTGAAATGATTTTGAATTATCAATAGCTAGTCATTTTCAAAGGCTCGTGCTTCGGTTCTGACAGCTTTGGTTTAAGCTGAGAGCTAATTGTGTGGGGCGTGTAATTCTGCTGAGCTCATCCATTTCATCCATCTCCAGTGAGATGATGCTGGTGCGGCCTGGGGTGGGTGGGCAGGCCAAAAGCTAGGATGAGCTTGTTGTTGATGGATAGTCACCATTTATGTTCACCAGAAGAGACTGGCAGGATCCTATGCATTCCTAACATGCAAAAAAGATGGTCAAGGTCTTGCAGCCAACCCTGAGGCTTGGCTTCTTAAGGGCACTGACAGTTGATCCTGATATGGAAGTGGAAACTTGTTAGTGGCAGGGCAGTCTTAATGAGGACCTCTCCTTTGCACCTTTGACACCCTTGATAGTCAGGTGCCTAAGCAACCAATAACAGGGTTTAATGATCATTTGTGTTCCAGGGACCATGAGGCATGAGCTCAAGTGTCTGCTTTAAGTGCAAAGAACCTGTTAGATCACTGACCATTATTTTTCTTTTTCTTTTGTATTTGAACAATGCCACCATGGCAGTTTAATTAGAAGACAGATAGTGTCACAGCACTTAAAGTTGATGACAGGCTTTCATCCACACGTGCCAATCAGCATCAGACAGTGGGGATGGCAGCACCCTGCTTTATTGTTAATGAATTGATTTTATTAACCTTCAGATGCTTGGATTGTTTTTAAAGATCTACTCACAGCAACTAACTGCAGCAATTTATCTGGAACATTGCATGAATTTGGCTTGAATATGCAATGAAGACTTCTGTTTCAAAACAGCAGCAGTGAACTTCTACAATCTATAATCAAACAATAGAATGATTTAAGGCACATGCTGCTAATTTGCCAAGCATTCTTGCCCCCTAATGTTGCACATTTAGATTATTTCCAATTTTTGAGCTTTATCTTCCGCTCTAGCTATTTCCTTAGAAATATTTCCACTGGTGGAATTACTGGATTAAAAGATGAGAGGCTGTATAAAACACTCATTATATTTTGTCAAATTGACGTAAACTTTCTGAAGAGCAATTTACCCTTCCACCCACAGCATATGAAAATGTCTCACCATACATACTCTCAAGAGCGCTGGTTACTACCTTTTAAAAAATTTGTAGTTAATTTGAAAAGAACTGATTATCTGTGAAGCTTGACATTTTTCCATAAATGATTTTTAGGCATTTATATATCCTCTGTGGATTTTCTGAGTTATTTGCTCATTTTCTTTTATGATGCTCATATTTTTCTTAATTTGTAAGTGCTTTTACATATTAAGAATTTGCAGGCTGGGCGCGGTGGCTCACACCTGTAATCCCAGCACTTTGGGAGGCCGAGGCGGGCAGATCACGAGGTCAGGAGATCGAGACCATCCTGGCTAACATGGTGAAACCCCATCTCTACTAAAAACACAAAAAATTAGCCAAGTTTGGTGGCGGGCATCTGTAGTCCCAGCTACTCGGGCGGCTGAGGCAGGAGAATGGTGTGAACCCGGGAGGCAGAGCTTGTAGTCAGCCAAGATCGTGCCGCTGCACTCCAGCCTGGGCAACAGAGCGAGACTCCGTCTCAAAAAAAAAAAGAATTTGCTGGTGGGCTGGACATAGTGGCTCATGCCTGTAATCCTAGCACTTTGGGAGGTCCAGATGGGAGGATCCCTTGAGGCCAGTTTGCAACCAGCCTGGGCAACATAAGACCTTTTCTCAACAAAAACTTAAAGAATTAGCCAGGCATGGTAGCATGTTCCTGTAGTCCCAGCTACTCTGGAGGCTGAGACAGGGGTATCACTTGAGCCCTGGAGTTGGAGGTTACAGTGAACCATGATAGATAGTGCCACTTGCACTCTAGCCTTGGTGACAGAGTGAGACCCAGCAAAAAAAAAAAAAAAAGGAATTTGCTGGGGTATTTTAATTAATAATTTTACAGCCAATGTCATTAATTAAGCTACTAATGATTTTCTTTTTGTTCTATCTTCATTAGGTTTTGGTATCAGGGTTATAAGCGTATCACAAATGAAATGGGAGACCTTTCTAGCTTTTCCTACAATGCAGAAATATATATACTATGTATTTAATAAACTTACTATACTATGTGTAGATATTTCTGTTCTTTTCTTTCTTTGTGTATGTTCCATATGTTTATTTTATTACTCTTTTTCTAACTTGAGTTGAATTCTTTTTTTGGGGGGTGGGTGGGGGTAGGGGCAGGGTCTCGCTTTATCACCCAAGCAGGAGTACTTTGGCACGATCACAGCTCATTGCTGCCTCAACCTTCTGGGCTCAAGCAATCCTCTTGCTCCACTATCCCCCCCTGCTTTTTTTTTTTTTTTTTGAGACAGAGTCTCACTCTGTTGCCCAAGCTGGAGTGCAGTGGCACAATCTTGGCTCATTGCAATCTCTGCTTCCCAGGTTCAAATAATTCTCCTGCCTCAGCCTCCTGAGTAGCTGCGACTACAGTCATGTGCCACCATGCCCAGCTAATTTTTGTATTTTTAATAGAGACAGAGTTTTACCATGTTGGCCAGGCTGGTCTCGAACTCCTGACCTCAGGTGATCCACCTGTCTCGGCCTCCCAAAGTGCTGAGATTATAGGTATGAGCCACTGTGCTCGGCCTCATGTTTTGATTTTTTTGTAGAGATGAGGACTCACTATGTTGCCCAGGCTGGAATTCTTTTTAAATAAAGGAAAATACTTAAACCTATAAAATTTCCTGGGTAGAGATTTGACCCTACACATTGGATATAAAAAGTTTCCACTTCCAATACTTTGTAAATAGTCCAATTTTCTATTATTTCTATTATTTTCTATTGATTAAATAATTATTAACTTTTAAAGGAGATTTGTTTTTTCCCCATAAACATGTGTTACTAATGTAATTTTAGTGCATTGTAGGGCAGGAACTTGCTTTACACAATGGGAAAATATAGTGGTATTTTCTTTGTGACCTAGTATAAGATTAATTTTAGTTGCTGAAGTTCTCACGATCTAATAGCTTAGCTTAACAGACTTTAGCACAGGCCTTTTTATTTGTGGGAGGCAGATTGTTGAGTCAAAGAGTACTCTTTTCTCTGAAATTCACGCTGTCTTCCCCAGGCCCATTGATGCCATTCTAGTTCCATCTCTTATCTCTCATTTGGACAATTCAGTAAACTCATAATTGGTTTCCCAGCCTTTAGTGTCTGCCACCCCATTCCTCCAAAATGTCAATAAAATACCTATCTCCTGTTCAGAAGGCTTTGATGCTTTTGCAATTTAAGAAATTGACGTCAAACATGTTCTTAATGATATTCACAGCTCATCCCAATCTCTCCACATCTATCTTTTCAGGCCCACCTGTGTCCCACCCTCAACTCCGCTGTCTCCATGTTCTAGCCGCTTCCTTGAGCTATAAGCTGTTGCCTGAATTTCATGACATTCTCACTTTACTTATGGAGGTAACATTTATTTTTTTTTTCTTAATTTTTTTTTTTTTTTTTGAGATAGAGTCTTGCTCTGTCACCTGGGTTGGAGCGCAGAGGCGCAATCATGGCTCACTGAAGCCTCAATGTCTGGACCCACAGGATCCTCCTACCTCAGCCTCTGAACAGCTGGGACTACAGGTGCAGCCCCATCATGCCCAGCTGATTTTTGTATTTTTGGTAGAGGTGGGATTTCGCCATGTTGCCCAGTCAGGTCTCAAACTCCTGGGCTCAAGCGATTGGCTTGCCTCAGCCTCCCAAAGTGCTGGGATTACAGGCATGAGCCACCATGTCTGGCCCTTAGAAACATTAGGAGACCTACTATAGACACTGGTGTAAATTTGGGATATGAAGGGGCTGTCATGTAGAATGAGAAATAATGACAGTTAGAAATATTAGCTTGGCTGGGCACAGTGGCGCATACCTGTAATTTCAGCACTTTGGGAGGCCAAGGCAGGTGAATCACTTGGGACCAGGAGTTTGAGACCAGTCTTGGCAACATAGTGAGACCCTGTCTCTACAGAAAATACAAAAATTAGCTGGGCGTGGTGGCATGCACCTGTAGTCCCAGATACTGGGGCAGAGGACAGGACTGAGGTGGAAAGATCGCTTAAGCCAGGAGGTCGAGGCTTCAGTGAGCCATGATCGTGCCACTGCACTCCAGCCTGGATGACAGATTGAGACTCTGTCTCAGAAACAAAAACAAAAACTAAAAAACCCATAAAAAATAAAACAACCTAATGTTTCTAAGACTTTACTCCTCTATCAAGTCACGTCTCCAGAGAGCCTCATTTTAAGGGGCACTCTTACACCTGATAGAAATACCTTCCCATAACTAGTATTTAGAGTGCAAGCTCCAGGCATAGACAGCCTCAGCATTCACTAAGCACCAGTGTGAGAAGTGGTCATGAGGAAAATACTCAACCTGCTTTCAAAAGCAGCATTTAAAAGTTCTTTTTACAAAATTTAGATGATCAATTTCCCTTGGCATAAAATGCATGGAAAACTGATAGCTATTAATAGCCTGGTGTGCTTTCAATTAAATTATTACAGATGTGTAAGCCATGGTGTCCTTCTCTTGTTTTGGCTACCAGAAAGCTCAGGATGCTATTTCTTCCAGGGCTAGCTTTTACAATGTGCCCAGCAAGCTTTGTGACTTAAACTGTTTCAGCCTCAGTTTCTTCATCTTATAAAGTGAAAGTAACCAACAACTACTTTGCAGAGGGGGGTTTAAGGAGCCAAATACGGTGTCTGGCAAATTTGTTCAACAAATATTTATTGACTTCTATGTATAAGACACTGCCCTCAGTGCTAGGGGTCTAATGACAGGTCCTTGCCCTCCCAGAGCTCACATTCTAGAGGGAAAGCCAGGACTAATAAGTACACAAATACACAGCTGATGGCAAGCAGACCACAGTGAGCACCAGGGAGGAAAGAAAGCAGGGACATGATGGAGGGTAACCAGCTGTAAGAGGCAACCTGTGTTAGACGGTACAGGTGGAGAAGACTGCTGTGTGCAGGAGAAATTTGCAGTGAGACTTCAAGGAAGAGAATAAGCTCGCCACATAAAGAGGAAACAAAGAGCAACCCAGGCAGAAGGAACAGAACAGCCAGGCCCCGAGGAGGGAAACCATTTGGCAGGTTCTAGGAGGCTGGTGAGGCTCCAGCACAGTGTGCAGAGAGAATGCTGGGAGATGAGGTAAACAAACAGTAGTGTGGCTAATAAGAATTGCTTTGCTCTAATGATTGCTTGCTTGTCTTAGTGGTTTTGTTATACCTGGGCCTTTTGTTTTAAGCAGTTTCAAATACTTTTGAAGTGACCAATATACAAATGAGATGAATATAAAGTAATTAATGAAAAAATGTTAAAGCTGACATTTATCAAGATCCTACTATATGATTTACATGACTTGAACATTTAATTCTTCCAATATTCTATATGGTAAATACTATTATTACTTTTTTTTAACTGATAAAGAAATGAGACGCAGAGAGTTTAATAAACTTACCAAAGCTGGCACAGGGAATAAGTTTAAGAGCAGGATTTGAATCAGGCAGCCTGACTCCAAAGCCAATGTCCTTAGACGCTACACAATGCTGCCTCTTCAGGTTACATAGCTATTGTGAATCAGTTACTTGATGGTACCCACAGGTCCTCCTGAGCTTCTAACAGTTATTGTACTCACTAGTAGCAAGAAATATGTTTGGAATTCATAATCTATAATCTACTATCAGGGATTCACATAGCTTCAAATTCTATCTATTAATAAGGAATAAGGTCTAATGTAGCATGAGAAAATTTCCCTCCCAAGAAAAATAAAGAACTCTAATTAACATTTTAATAATCATTCTCAACTTACAGAACTTATCCATTGTTAAATCCGTATCCATAAATTTATTACACAGATGTTTATGTAGGTCAGCTTGCAAATAGCTACTGGTTTGCTGTCCTGGGGATACCAACAATATGTGTGAAGGAGACACAGTGGAGATTGATTTCGTTATTTAAATAGTTCTGGTCAAAGAAAGTGAGCAGGTAGTCTGAGGGCTGGTAAAAATCTTTTTTAATTACTGATTTTTCCACATGGAGTTCTGTTTCAATCTGTAATCTCTGATGTACCCAAAGCCTCCCCAAGGCCACAGTAGTCATGCTCCCGGGCAGTATCTGCCATCCCAGCCACTTACATTCCCATCGTGGTTTGGGCAAGAGAGAGGCTTTCCCGCAGCCACAGCAGTGACTGTCTCCAGGATGGAAGACTCCTCAGCGTTGCTGCCTGGAGTTCGCTGCAGCACGTCCATCAGGTTTGTGATGAAGAAATTGTTCTGGAGCGCGGCCACCCCTTTCTCGGGCAGGATGGAGGTCTGGCGGCACACTGGGCAGGAGAGGGTTAAACTGTGGGCAGGAATGTAGTTCTGCAGGCACCTGTTGCAGAAGCAGAGGTGGAGAGCTTAGCACAGTGCAGAACCTCCACTTCTCACAGGTACCATACATGTTCTCAGTGACTACACAAGGTATTTGGCAGAAACTCCCATCCCAGTCTCCTTTACTAGGAAAATAATATTTCAGAAACCAACAGGTAAGCTGTACTCACACTAATGAGGCAAATGATTATGCTCAAGGAAATAAAAAATGTCATTGACTTTTGTAGTGTTTTCTAGTGCCTTGGCACACAAAGTGTGGTCCATGGATGAGCAGCGTCAGCCTCCCTGGGGGGTGCATTTGGTAGAAATGCAGAATCTTAGACCCTATCGAACACCTGCTGAGTCAGCTCCCCATGTGATTTGCATACATGTTAAAGTTTGAGAAGCACTGGCCCACAATATCTAGCAGTGGGCTCATAAATGTGTGGACTTTGAAATTGAAAGAAACACATCAAATATTTTTGTTAGCAATAAAATTCTTCTTACGTACAAAATCATAATGAGATATAAAAAACACATCAAAGTGGAAATATTTGCTTGAAGCAAGAATGGGACACCCAGAGTCAGAGCCACACCATCTCTTCTCCTTGTCTCTACTCAACAGGTATCAACTTAACTCATTTAGTTAAAGAAGTGTGTCACTAATAATGACTCACACATATGCTGCTCATTGAATTCAAAGTACTTCCAATGAGCCTATGAGATAGGTACTGTTATGATTCCTTGAGACACGTGATGCAACAGACAGAGACAGGCCAGCGTACTTGTCCAAGATACTTAGCTGGTCAGGAGCAGAGTACAAAGTACAAATTCAAACACAGGCAGTTTGGCACCATAATCTAAGCTCTCAATAATTAGACTATACAATTTTTTCCAGTACCTAGCCAAACAATTCAAAACACACCAACCTAGCCCCATTCCCCTTATTTTGCAGATGAATAGACCTGACATCAGAGACATTCACTGATCTTGTCTATGTCACAGAGGTAGCTAGCCCTGAACCAATACCAGACATGAAACAGCTTTTGCTAAGGTCATTAACGACGTCTGAATCCAGCAGATGTTTTTCAATTTTATCTTACTAGACTTCTGGGAAGTATCATTAAGCTTGATTATTGCTCTGCTCACCTTCCTTTTTATTGAAAAATTTCTCTTCCCTTGACTTTATGACACCACACTCACATGGTTCTCCTGTCTGCTCTGTCTTTTCTGAGTCAATACAGTTTTGAGTTAATCAAGGTTCCATTCATCATGAGACCTCTTCTCTTTCTGGAATATTATATTCATATCACAGGTGTGGCTACAAGCATCAGGCTCCCAAAATTATATTTCTTCCCACAGACATCTCCTTTGAGCCTCATTAACTGACCTGTTGACATCTTTTCTTAGATGTCTTGCAGGTCCTAAAACTCAACATGAACAAAACCAAACCCATTATCTGAACCCCAGACTGTATCCTCTCCCATTCCTGATGAATAGCACCTCCATCCATTTATTTAAACAAACCAGAAACTAGGAGTCATTCTTAAAACAGTAACTCCCTTACTGTCCTTCATTTTCCATATCCAACCCATCACCAAAGCATGTCCAAATGCCTACATATCTTTCTAACCTCTCCAGTTCTCTTCATGCCCTGCTATATAACCATCCTTGTACCCTCTAACAATTATCCACATTGCAACCAGAGTGACCTTCTCAAAACTCAAAGAGAGCCATTTAAATCTCCCTCCCACACCATCTGAGATGAAAGCCATGCCATGGTTTCCACTTCCACTGCTCTTACAACAAAGACAAAAATCCATATATGGCAACATGGATTACACATCTCATATGGCCTAGCACCTACATACTTTCTGTCTCTTCCCCTCATTTGCTGCATACCAGCCACAGTGGACTTATTTAAGTTCTTCCTCAGTGTTGAATAACCCTCTCACTGTAGCACCTCTCACTCACTATAGCAACCTCCCACTATAGCACCTTTGCACATACCTGAAATTCTATTCACTCCCCTTTGTTTAGTTAATTTTTACTCATCATTGGGGTTTCTGCGTAATCATCACTTCTGCAAGGAAGCCTTCCCAGATTAGGGCAAATTCCTCTATTATATTGTTTCCTGTATACTTCTGGTGTACAGCACTTGTCACTGGTTTAATTTCACATTAGTCTGAGCAATTAGGGGGTTAGTGACTGGCTCCTCCACTAGGCTGTGAGTTCCAAGGGGCCAGCAGCTATGTCTGGCTTTGCTCTCCTTCAAGCCTTTTGATGCTGTTTTGGAAGATGTGGGATAAGAGTGACTGTAAGGGCTGGGCGTGGTGGCTCACGCCTGTAATGCCAGCACTCTGGGAGGCCAAGGCGGGTGGATCACGAGGGCAGGAGATCGAGACCATCCTGGCTAACACGGTGAAACCCCGTTTCTACTAAAAATACAAAAAAAAAAAAAAAAAAAAAAAATTAGCCGGGCGTGGTGGCGGGCGCCTGTAGTCCCAGCTACTCGGGAGGCTGAGGCAGGAGAATGGCGTGAACCCGGGAGGTGGAGCTTGCAGTGAGCCGAGATCGCGCCACGGCACTCCAGCCCGGGCGGCAGAGCGAGACTCTGTCTCAAAAAAAAAAAAAAAAAAAAAAAGAGTGACTGTAAGGTGCTCACTGAGTAGCCAGTATGAATGTCCAGCAGAGGCTGAACATGGGGGTCCTAGAGCTCACTCTCCTGACAGTGAGACAAGCTGTAAAGTTTTGTCTCTGCATAAACAAAAATTTCCCCACCGGGCGCAGTGACTCATGCCTGTAATCCCTGCTCTTTGGGAGGCCGACATGGGCAGATCACGAGGTCAAGAGATCGAGACCATCCTGGCCAACATGGCGAAACCCCGTCTCTACTAAAAATACAAAAATTAGCTGGGCATAGTGGCGCATGCCTGTAGTCCCAGCTACTCGGGAGGCTGAGGCAGGAGAATCACTTAACCCAGGAGGCGGAAGTTGCGGTGAGCCGAGATAGCGCCACTGCACTCCAGCCTGGTGACAGAGCAAGACTCCGTCTCAAAAACAAACAAACAAACAAACAAACAAAAAACCCCATTTTAAGGAAAGTTGCCAGCACCTTCAACACCTTCAAACAGAAATCTTCTCGGCTGGACGCAGTGGCTCACGCCTGTAAGCCCAACACTTTGGGAGGCCAAGGTAGTTGGATTGCTTGCGCTCAGGAGTTTGAGACCAGCCTGGGCAACATGGAGAAACCCTGTCTCTATAGTCAGGCATGGTGGTGTGCACCTGTGGTCCCAACTACTCAAGAAGTTGAGGTGGGAAGATCTCTGGAGCCTGGGAAATTGAGGCTGCAGTGAACTGTGATTGTGCCACTGCACTCTAGACTGGGTGACAGAGTGAGATCCTGTCTCAAAATAAATAAATTAATAAATAATTAATAAAATAAAAAATAAAAGAAGAGGAAATCTGGCCAGGCGCAGTGGCTCACGCCTGTAATCCCAGCACTTTGGGAGGCCGAGCTGGGCAGATCATGAGGTCAGGAGATCAAGACCATTCTGGCTAACACAGTGAAACCTCGTCTCTACTAAAAATACAAAAAATTAGCTGGGCGTGGTGGCAGGCACCTGTAGTCCTAGCTACTCAGGAGGCTGAGGCAGGAGAATGGCGTGAATCCGGGAGGCAGAGCTTGCAGTGAGCTGAGTTTGCGCCACTGCACTCCAGCCTGGGCAACAGAGTGCGACTCCATCTCAAAATTAAAAATAAAATAAAAAAAGAAGAGGAAATCATCTCAACATGCATGAGGCTGGAACAATTTTAACACAGAGCATTGTGTAAGGACTTGCTGTAGCAGAATCTCACAAATCTCTACCACCAGCTATTGGGTGGGGAGTGGAAGTGGGTTGGGCTAGATCCCCAAAGAAGATAGCAGGGGCAGACCTAGGGCAGCCAGAGTGTTGCTTCTCACCTGTCAGAGTGAGGAAGTAGGACCCAAACAATAGATAGGCTGGACACTGAATACTGGGATATGGGGCAATTCTGCCAAGTTCAGACTGAGTGGCTCTGAATGCACTTCTATAGAGAGTATCAGCCAAGCTATGCCGACTGCTGCACATCAGGTAACGATCTTCCCATGTGTGCCCAGGGACACATGGACTATTAGCTGGTATTCATGTTTTAGGTGCACCCATTAAGGGGATGGAGGAATCACACTCTAATTATTTTGTAATATGAATTACCAAGCACTTAAGCCAAAGTATAAAATGAATAAAATAAAAAGTGCCCTATATACCACCACTAAAACAAACCAAAACCCATATACACAAGCACACGCACACACACAAAACCCCACAACAACCCAAAACAAACAAAAAAGCCACAACTACTAGTAACAAATCTACCTTCTCCTTCTATCCATCACCACCATGAAGGATATGGTTATTCTTTTGCAATTGAACCTTGCAAAGTAAATCAACTCAAAAAATGGTCAATCAGATAATAAAGACATGTTAAATCAGATATTTGTGTAATCAGCATAGATTTGAAGCCATTTGAAATACTGATTTCCAGTTCTATCACAGGAAGTAAAGCATTTTAAGTATGTATATTAAATAATGATAAAAATGTACTTAACAAAATGCTATAAAACACAATTACCATATTTATTTTTAAGAAAGATACATAACTTTACTAGGGAAATATTTATAAGTAAGATAAACTAATTACTAACAAACTTATGCTTAATTGCTTACATGGTAAGTTAAACAATGGGGTAAAAGTATATTTTGATAACTGATTAACGCCCCTCTCCAAAAACAAATACTCTATGAAGAAGATAAATAAGGAAGTCTGTTTTCACATACAGCAAATTACATAGTCAGGTAATTTATTTAATATATATTTTTTCTTTATCTAAAACATCATAGCATTCAAATGTGACATTAGTATGTGTCTGAAGAATCTTTGAAAAAGAAGCTATACCTTTTGAAGTAACAACTCATGTATGCAGATGTTTTACCTGATTTGTTATATGGGAGGAAATGATAGATTTTTTTAATTGACTCTGAAAGACCCTCTGTAGGGATCTGCTGTGGACAAAAATTGTTTCACAAAGAACAAAGGGAAGTTTTAAAAGATTTTTCAACTTAACATTCTTATTTAATGCTCCATCTCTTGTGTAAACGAATCAGTAGTTACTGGATTGCTTTCTCTTGCTTATAATGGTTTGAAATAAAGTAAATTATTTGCAACTCATGATTCTGTTTTTCAATGTCTGGCAGAAGCACAAGAGATTAGTTTTCTCTCAAAGGTAACTGTAGAATTCTGGGAAAGAATCCTGCAGTAGGTTGTAGGAGGTCAGCCTGCGAAACTCCCTTCTCCAAGCACAAAGGAGGCTTACCTCTCGCAGAAAGTGTGCAGACAGGGGAGAACCTTGGGATTCTTGTACCGTTCCAGGCATATACTGCAAATCAGAAACTGCTTGTCAATCTGGCGCACCACAGGACTTGGGATGTTGGTGCCTTCACTGGCCATCCTAGACCACTGACATGGGGGGCCGGCTGTCTTTGACCCTGCACGCTGCTGCTGTCAGACAGAAAATCAAAACAGAAAAACATATAATGATCTGTAGGTACAAGTCAATCACTGGCTCTTTCACCATAAGCATTGTGCTATAAGTAAAGGTAGAAGTCGGCCAGGTGTGGTGGCTCATGCCTGTAATCCCAGCACTTTGGGAGGCCGAGGTGGGCGGATCATGAGGTCAAGAGATCGAGACCCTCCTGGCTAACACAGTGAAACCCCGTCTCTACTAAAAATACAAAAAATTAGCCGGGTGTGGTGGCACACGCCTGTTGCCTCAGCTACTCAGGAGGCTGAGGCAGGAGAATCACCTGAACCCAGGAGGCAGAGGTTGCAGTGAGCTGAGATCGCGCCACTGCACTCCAGCCTGGGTGAGTGCAGTGAGACTCCATCTCAAAAAAATAAAAAATAAAATAAAAAATAAATAAATAAAGGTAGAAGTCAATGCCAGTGACCTCAAAATGACCAATAAGCCAACCCTTATTGCTGTACAAGTACAGTCAGCTCCCTGTTGTTTATTTTGTAAATCAATAAAATCCTCACATGTTCGCCAGGCAAACAAAACAAATTAAAAGAGGGCATGTTGTACAAAGAGGTATGCTCGCTGGGCTTCAAAGCAGTGGTAACTAAGGGGATAAATACTTTATATAGCTATGTCTGCTTATGCCTTTAGCCATGACTATATTTAAACATATATTTACCTTTCATATTCTTATTGAAATTGAATATGTTTTTCCAACTATCGTAGTTGAAGAGGTTGGACTGTGTCACATCAAAATATGTCACTTTGATATAAGGATTATTTTGAGCTGAAAGCTATATAGAAAGAACAGACAGAAAAGGACCTCTCTGCCCTTCCCCATCTGCCTAAAAGCAGAGCATAAATTTCTCTTTTGTAAAGGAAATTTCCATTTGTAAAGGTGCCTCTCTCTCCAGAGCCAGGAAGAGAAGTCTCTTAAACACTGAAGACTGCAAGGAGATGATCTTGCAAAATGATCTTACTAAACAAACCTTATCTACCATACATTTCCTACAATTTACTGCCCCAGGAGTCCAAACCCCTCTTTCTTTTGTCTAGGCAGTTCTCCGCAATATATTGTCCTTTGTCAAAATGGTATATAAAACCCAAAGAGGAGGTTGTGAAGCCCTTGATAATGTAAAATTAAAAATAGTATCAAAAAAAGTGTATGCCTTTTTCTCCCGTTAATCTGTCTTTTGTCACTTTAATTTATAGACCCTAGGCACATACTCTAGGAGGGCAGAAGAAAAGTTTTTCCTCCCCTACATGCTATTAATATGCATGGGGGTGAAAATTAGAATTTTAATTAAAGATTTTGTATATGGTTCAGAGTGTTTTCTTCAGGACTAAAGGTTTATAGATTTGAAACTAAAATATATTTGCTATGGGGTAGGGACAAAGGCTAGAGGTATTCCCTATAATTTAAAAGAAATATCTGTTGGTATTCATGTCTGGGCATTTGAAAGACCTGGTGAAGTGAATTAATTCAGAGAAGGTTTCAAAATGTTAGGGATCATGCCAGGAAAGGAGAATTAGAAGAGGGCAACACAGAAAGAGAAGACAGCAAAGAGTTTGAGAGCACAAGAGAGGAAAAAGTTACAACACAAAACACAGCTCCTTTTACCACCTTAAAGAATTCCTGGCTTCTACACCGAAGGCATAAACCAAGGCTGAGCTAAAATTTACCTCTTCATTTTCTAAATATTTGGTAAGGTGTCCAGAGCCCTCTAATTCCCTATGGAAATACTCTTTACCAAAAAGAAAATAAAAGACAGAGAGAAAGTGAAACTGCTTTTGCAAAAACTGTAACTGAGAAAATTATGGCAGTGAAAGAGATCAGACCTAACCGACTCCATCTTGTTTCTAACCTTTAAGCTGTCCTTGTTCATTCCCGGGCATAGGTTAAACTAACCTTGGGAAGGAATTGAGCTTATAGTTCGACTCTGAAAAAAATTGATAATGGCCCTTTTCCAAAAAGACCCCTTCTTGCCTAAGGACCAGTCTCCCTTTGTAGGACTAACAAATTAGCTACAAGATTAGAAATTAAGGTTTAGGGGCCATGCAGCCTCTGGCTGCAAGAGTCTGAACCTCCCTAAATTGCTCTTCGCGATAACAAAACTATTGTAAAACCAAAGATCAGTGCTTGAGATGTTTTGCAGAGCCTGCACTCAGTGGATCAGCTGACACCACCCAGACCGGTAATCTGGCTCAACAAGTTCCGTGATCCCACCCAGGAACAGAAGGCAGCAAGAAAACCTCGCTTTGACTCCTCTATGATTCCATCTCCAACCTGACCAGTCAGCACTCCCTACTTCCCCTGCCCCTACCTGCTAAATTATCTTTAAAAACTCCGATCCCGAATGCTCAGAGAGACTGGTTTGAGTAATAATAAAACTCTGGTCTCCTGCACAGCTGGCTCTGAGTGAATTACTCTTTCTCCATTGCAATCCCCTGTCTTGATAAATTGGCTCTATCTAGGCAGCAGGCGAGGTGAACCTGTTGGGTGGTTACGAAAGAAAGAAAGGGAAGAAAGAAAAGAAAGAAATAAAGAAGGAAAAGAAAGAGAGAGAAGGAAGGAAGGAAGGAAAGAAAAGAGGTTTAATATTTAATATGACCCTAGGCAGGAGGTCATACTATTATTCTTTATTCTTTATTATTACTATTATTTTTTGAGATGGAGTCTCGCTTTGTCACCCAGGCTGGAGTGCAGTGGCGCGATCTCGCCTCACTGCAAGCTCCGCCTCCCGGATTCACAACATTCTCTGCCTCAGCCTCCCCAGTAGCTGGGACTACAGGGGCCCGCCACCACGCCCGGCTAATTTTTTGTATTTTTAGTAGAGATGGGGTTTCACCATGTTAGCCAGGATGGTCTCGATCTCCTGACCTCGTGATCCACCCGCCTCAGCCTCCCAAAGTGCTGGGATTACAGGCATGAGGGGTCACACTATTATTCTTATTCTATAGATTAGAAGAAACAAAACAGAGGCTCAGTCAAGAAGTTTACCAGAATGCAAATCCAAGGAGTATATGTCTCTAAAACCCATGGCCTTTTCACTACTTAAACCACAACACCGCCCTTGACCTTGTGTTTTAAAAAGGCTGCACTACAGAAGCTTGGTTTACATATGACACTTTAACTTGGCCTGGTGCCTGTTTTTAAAGCTTGGAAATACTCCATATTTACAGAAGCAACACTTCTGTACTTTCTAAAGAAAACATTCTTTTCCAAATATAAATAATAGTTTTCCTTCCTACCAAGTCACCAAATTTTAAAAAAGCGTGTCAACTTTTATTAGGAAAATTCGGCTGCTGGCTGGTCCAAGTGCAGTGGTGTTTACAGGTAACCGATCACAACCAGTTACAGATTTTGTTTCTCCTTCTCCACTCCCACTGCTTCACTTGACTAGTCAAAAAAAAAAAAAAAAAAACCCAGAAAATTCTGCTGTTTATGTATGAGTATAGTTACAAACATGACACACCCATTTTCCAACTCTGTACCTTTTAGATAAGTTTATTAAAGATATGATTTTTAAAACAGGCTGGGTGTCATCTCTCATGCCTGTAATCCCAGCACTTTGGGAGTTCGGGTGAACAGATCACTTGAGCCCAGCAGTTCAAGATCAGCCTGGGCAACATGGTGAATCCCCATTTCTACAAAAAAATACAAAAAAAAAAAAAAAAGGTCGGGCACAGTGGCTCACACCTGTAATCCCAGCACTTTGGGAGGTCGAGGTGGGCAGATCACGAGGTCAAGAGATCCAGACCATCCTGGCCGACATGGTAAAACTCCATCTCTACCAAAAATATAAAAATTAGCTGGGCGTGGTGGTGCGCACCTGTAGTCCCAGCTACTCAGGAGGCTGTGGCAGGAGAATCGCTTGAACCTGGGAGACAGAGGTTGCAGTGAGCCGAGATCACGCCACTGCACTCCAGCCTGGTGACAGAGTCAGACTCCGTCTCAAAAAAAAAAAAAAAAACCCAAAAATTAGCCAGGCATGGTGGCACACATACATAGTCCCAGCTGCTCAGGAGGCTGAGGTGGGAGGAGTGCTTGAGCTCGGGAGGTCAAGGCTGCAATGAGCCGTTAGCATGCCCCTGCACTCCAGCCTGGGGCACTCACAGAGTGAGACTCTGGCTCAAAATAAAATAATAAAATAAAATAACATATAGAACCTTGTGAAGCACCTGCTATACAAGAGTGTCACATTCAGACAGAACTCACTGCATAGTTAAACGGTATAGGTATGACGTCTGATCAGCCACCATTATCTGCTAGACTTTCCATAGAGTGTCTCTCTAAAGTAGCTCATCTCTCAGGGGCTCAAAATGTTGAGAGCCTGTCTGTTTTCTTAACCACATCCCTATGACATCAGACTAGGGGAGGAATGGACTTGTCTGTCTTAATCAAAACCAACGCTGAGGGTTTAAATGACTGGCCCAAGGTCATTCAGTAAAATCAGTGAATCAGAAAGGTCAGATTTCAAGTTTTCTGCCTTATCTGATAAATTGATGACGTAAGTTTAACACTTCACTAGAGTGTGTGTGTGTAACTTGTAAAAATGATGAGTGCTCACTTTTGTAGCACTAAAATTTGAATGATACAGAAAATATTGCCCCTGAGCAAGAATGGCATGCAAATTGTGAAGTGTTCCATATTTTCTTTAAAAAGATGTTAAACTGGCCATGCGCGGTGGCTCAAGCATGTAATCCCAGGACTTTGGGAGGCCGAGGTGGGTGGATCATGAGGTCAGGAGATCAAGACCATCCTGGCTAACACAGTGAAACCCTGTCTCCACTAAAAATACAAAAAATTAGTCAGGCGTGGCGGCAGGCGCCTGTAGCCCCAGCTACTCCGGTGGCTGAGGCAGGAGAATGGTGTGAATCCAGGAGGGAGAGCTTGCAGTGAGCCAAGACATGCCACTGCATTCTAGCCTGGGCAACAGAGTGAGACTCCATCTTAAAAAAAAAAATAACAAAAAAAAACACAAAAAACAAAACAAAACAAAAAAAAACTTTTCCGTCGAAATCAGTTAAAAATAATTTTATTTTGAATAGCTTTTGAAATTTTTCATAGTACCCTTTGAAATAATCAGAGCCATGCTGGGTATTGAAAAAAGCAGAGAGAAAGCATCATATTGGACTTTATTCCTTTTTTTTTTTAACCTTAGAATTTTGGATTTTTGGCAAGAAAAAAATTTGTTTTAATCAAATGATATACGTTGACTAAATGAAATTTCTTGAGCCAATATTTTATGCTCTAAAGCCAAAAATGAAAACATTTCATTCTAACTTTATGATAATTATTGTAGTGGGTGAGAGCAAGTCTCTATATTGTAGTATTGTTAATTTGCATGGTAAATTAATTAAGTTTACTCCTTAACACTAATTTAAAATCATGACAGTATCACAGATCTGTCACAAGTGACCTGTTGAAGGCATCTGGATTTTTAGAACTCCAAGAATCGACACAAAAGGTTTCCAATCCCCAAAGATCCCCAGATTTGCCAGGATAATGATCCTTCCCTGGATACCCACACTAGGAAGAACATTTGACTACTCCTAATGGGACAATGTGCTCAGAAGAACTGAGGCACAGAATGAGCTAATAAGCACTGTGGAAAGTCTGAATCAGTCCGAATATGTCATGAGGAATACACTCAATATACAACGGCCTTCAATCAAAGCGTTGGGGCACTACCACAGTTTCTGGTCTCCTTGATTAAAAAAGCAACAAATGTTTTATATACATGCTTTGCTGGTCTCCTTTCCCCATCTTGTTTTCTAAATTGTCAGAGACCCTTCTTACCCACATAACCAGTGGAAGTCAGTGCACTATAATGAAAGAAATCAGAATATAGAACTGCTCTTCTATATGCTGGAGAGCTGCAAAACTAACTTCTGAAGGGATCCGTGTGAAAACATGCCTGGGGTGGACTTCGCCTGTAAAGAAGCTCGAATGCTTTTGGATGTAGGAACTAACATCAGACACATTGACAAAAAGCCAGTAGAAAGGAAATGGTAGCAAACGCAGAAAGAACCACTTTAAAATAATACAAATGGTCAACATTAGTTTGATATTGACCTTAGCCAAAAAGAGTTTTCATATGGAAGACTAGCTGAGGTTCCCTGTCTGTGGAAAACAAACAGCAAGACCTCTTACAAAGAAGCTCACTCCCCTTTGTCCAGCTCAGTGTCACCTGCTCAATCTGACCATTCTGTTCAAAATTGCATATTGCCACCAGTTACCTAGCACTGCTATCCCCAGTCCTTGCTAGGTTTTTCTCCGTAGCACGGGTCACCTCCTGTTATAGACTCCATGTCTGTGTCCCTCCCAAATTCATATGTTGAAGCCCTAACCCCCAATGTGATGGGATCAGGAGGTGAGGCCTTTGGGAGGTGATTAGGTCATGAGGGTAGAGCCCTTATGATGGGATTAGTGCCCCTGTAAGAGGAGATAAGAGGGAGACTGCTTTCCCACTCTGTCTGCTCTCTGCCATGTGGGCCATCTGCCTATAAAGCCAGAAGAGGGCCTCACTAGAACCCACCATGGGGGCACCCTGATCTCAGATTTCCTAACCTCTAGAACTGTGAGACAATACATTCTTTTTGTTTAAGTCATCCAATCCATGGCATTTTTGTTATAGCAGCTGGAACTAAGCCTTCCGACATACTATGTAATTTATATATTTTGGATATTGTCTCCGCCCTCCCCCTAGAATGTAAGGCCTACAAGGGCACAGATTTGCATCTGATTATTCACTGCAGTAGTTCCAGCACCTAGAAGTGTCCTGGTACATAGTAGACATTATCTTTTGAATGAATCAAACTAGCGAAATATAACATGGAAACGGACTTATTCACAGCAGCAGCAAAGAGCAGCACTTGCTGAATTCCATGATAAAGAGTGTGGTTGTTGCCGGTCATCTGAATGTTTGCACTTGACCTTGGACATTACCTGCTTCCCAATGTGATAGTCTTTTTTTTTTTCTTTTTGAGACAGGGTCTCCCTCTGTCACCCGTGCTGCAGTGCAGTGACATGCTCACAGCTCACTGCAACCTCCACCTCCGAGGCTTAAGTGAGAGTCCCACCTTAGCCTCCCAAGTAGCTGGGACCACAAGTGGGCACCACCACACCCAGCTAATTTTTGTATTTTTGTAGAGAAGGGGTGCCACTATGTTGCACAGCTGGTTTCGGACTCTTGGGCTCAAGTGATCCTCTCGCTTCAGCCTCCCAAACTGCTGGGATTACAGGCGTGAACCACCATGCCCAGCCTCCCATGTGATAGTCTAATGCTTAGCAACATAAACCATCATCCAGAGGGTAAACATTAGTGACATATTTTAACATGTTCATAGATGCAGAAAAAGAAACAGAACTATTGAGTACATGAAAGCGCCTTCACAAAAATTATGACAGTGAGAAACATCTGGCATAGAAAAATTATGACAGTGAAAGGAATCTGACATAGGTGACTCCATCTTGCTTCTAACCTCCATGCTGTCTTTGTTTATTCCTAGATGTAGGCCGAACTAACTTTGGGAGCAATTTAGTTTATAGTTTAACTTTAAAACAGGAATGATAACAGCCCTTTCCTGAAACAAGCCTCTCCTTGCTCAGGATCAAAACTACCTTTATAAAACTAACAAATCAGCCACAAGGTTAGAATTATGGTTCAGTAAGGAGCCATGTAGCCACAGGTCGCAAGATTCCTACCCTCCCCAATTGCTCCTACAGATAACATCACTATTGTATTGTGCAGGGTCTGGATTTTATTGAATAAATAAATACAATAAAAAATAAAAAACATCACTATTGTAAAACCTAAGATTGGTGTTCAAGATATTTTTCAGACCCTGTATTCTGATGGACCAGCTGGCACCACCCAAACCAGTAAACTGGCTCCACAAGTTTTGTAATTCCATCCAGGAAGTGAAGACAGCCAGAAGACAGCTTCGACCTCCTATGATTTCATCCCTGACCCAAGCAATCAACACTCCCCATTCCCTAGCCCCCTGCCCACCAAACTACCCTTGAAAAACCCTAGCCTTGGAATTTTGGGGGAGTCTGATTTGAGTAATAAAGTCCAGTCTTCCACTTAGCTGGTTCTGCATTTATTAAACTCTTTCTCTATTGCAATACTGTTGTCTTGGTAAATCGGCTGTATCTGTGCACTGGGCAAGAAGAACTATTGGGCAATTACAGACACATATGCATGAAAATAAAAAGCCTAAGAAGGTTGGCACATAAATCCCTTATTAATGGGGGCTTGCCAACTAAACAGAGCTTGTTGTGGGAAAAGCAATTCAATGATCACATAACAAAATCCTTGGGCATAAAAATATCCAGCTCCAGCGTTTCTTCCCTCACATCATCTCTGGTGTTTTTCCTGGCTCACTTTCTCAAATCTCCTACAATTTGGTGGCAATTAACCCCCAAATGCAAAAGAACTTGATAGGAGAAGCTGAAATGAGAGAAAAATGCCTATGTCCACAATTCTAAGATTTAGACCACATTTTCCATCCCAAATTATACCATTTAGATCAGAAAACTATCCACACTCTTTATTGCTGACACCACAGTGAGTAAGAGCAGGAAGAAAGAATGGCAGAGAAAAGCCAAAGTTAAATCGCTCTTCTGGAGAAGGGGAGGGAGCTGGCAAAATCTTGTTTGCCTGTTGTAGGGAATGTGGTAGGGTAACAGAGGCCAAGATTCTACTGAAAAACAAAATTTTAACATGTGATTTGTGGGTAAGAGGTCACATATTTGATTATACATCATCCTAAAGGTACTCAATTACATTCCTACAGTCTAATTTTATGGCATTCCTGCGTTATTGCTTCTCTTTGGTGCCACTTTAGTTGGACTTATTTATTAAGATGCCTTTTTTTTTCTCTCCCTAAGACAGAGTCTCCCTCTGTCTCCCAGGCTGGAGTACAGTGGTGTGATCTTGGCTTACTGCAACGTCCACCTCCCAGGTTCAAGTGATGCTCCTGCCTCAGCCTCCAGCATAGCTAGGATTACAGGTGTACCCCACCACAACCAGCTAAATTTTTGTATTTTTAGTAGCGAGAGGGTGTCACCATACTGGCCAGGCTGGTCTCGAACTCCTGGGCTCAAGCAATCCACCGGCCTTGGCCTCTTAAAATGCTGGGATTACAGGCATGAGTCATTGTGCCTGGCCCAGCCCATTTTTTATTGTTCTCATGCAGACATGCAAACATCTGCTTTCCAAGCAATTACAAATCTTCTGGTACATTTATAGAAAGGAAATCCTGAACCATTTGGATTATCTATAAATCACAGTATGCTACCCTGTACCTGCCAGAACATGTGGTATAAATTAAAACATGATGAAAAGGGTATTCTTAATTTTTAAAATTTCAGCCTATTATAATTTGCCTGCAATTGAATTGCATTGTTACTGAGGTCTCAATTAGAAGAAAAGAGGACAATCTTTAGTGAAATTAAAACAGGGTGACCCATTTCCAGTTAAATCAAGCCTCTATCCCAGATGGGCCATTTTGTAAATCAGAAGGCTAGATGCATTATCTTTCCTGATGATGATGATGATGATCATGATGATGATGATGATGATGTGTGTGTGTGTGTGTGTGTGTGTGGGGGGGGGGGTGGGTGTGTGGGTGGGTGTGTGTGTTTTGGGGGGAAGGCATTCAGAAGCCATCCCCTTTAACTTTTGTCTTCAGGCAGGGTGTGTCCAAGCTCTCCAAGGTTCTTTTTCTCCTTATTTTCAGAGTCAGATATATGACAGCTTCCTCAGATGAACTGGTTTTTACCAAATGGAAGCTGATTTTTAAGCTGAGCCCCTGACTTGTCTTTATGATATATCATAAAGACATATTTCCCCTACCTCTTTCTTTAGTATATAAAGAAGGCCATTGCCTCACCTTTGGCAGCCGATTGTTAAGATTAGGCTGCGTCTGTGTGGTGGAATGTTAAGTGGTCAGGCTAATAGACATTCATCTCACAGCACTCTGGGACAGTCAAGATGCTCGGGGTCTCCTCTCTCCACACCCATCACTTTGCCAGGTCTCCTCCCTTGCTTTGCTTGGGGACTACACAAAGAGGCTAAGTATTCTGGGACCACAAAAAAAGGTAGAGGTCAGCAAGGGGACTAGGTGCTGGTACCAATTCTAGGGGTTGGAAGAAACTAGCAAGAAGGGAAAAGAGAAAATTATTTCACAACAGAACTAAGAGACACAGCTCTACATAATAGGAACCTCCTGTTTGCTCCTGGTATATACGAAGCACATTATTTAATTCTGTTGTTGATTAGAATAAGTACTTAAATTAATAATGTTTAAAGACAATAACAAAAAGCACTTAATGGAAAAATAGAGGCTGTCGAGAATGTGAAGACCGAAGAGGTAAAGTAGAAGGGAATAGAAACATTTGCATACTAAAAGCAGAAATCTGTTTCCTGCAGTGATGCTATTTGAATACTTGGCTCATTATTTTCTCACTTTCTGGTCCAATCTAAAGCTCCAATTTCTATGAGGAAATCTAATCCGTTAAATTCAGACCATCTGCACAATGAAAATATTCAGAAAACCCTAATAGCCAACCCTATAATGGAGCAAATTCTACTCTGAACTACAGCCTTTATATAAGTAATAAAGGGACAGAGATGGCACCAGAGATTAAAGAAAAAGGCTATCACAGGTATGTGCAAATCATCATTTTGCCATAGTAAAAAGTAATTGAAGTCATATTTTTTGAAGAAAAAACTATGACAGTAAATAATTTGGCAGCACATTTTTTAAAATTCAAAAGTATTTCTCTTCTACACATTTCAATAATACCTCAAATATTTGGGTAGTTTTAGTTTTATAAGAGAAATAATTAAAAGAGGCACAAGGGAGTCTTAGAAATTGCTACATATTTGGGATTTTCCCCTACCTAATAAAAAGAGATAAAAGAAAGCCCTAAGTATGGAGAAATTAACGCCTAAGGATACCCAGATAAAGAACATTTTCATTTCTTAGTAAGACAAAGAATGAATGTTTTAACTTTATTTCACAAGCAACAAAATCCATGAAGCTTTTGTTATAATAAAAAAAAATTAAGTCATTGCAGGACTATAGTATTACCTATGGAAAAAACGTGTATAGATTTTAGTCTTCTTTTAAAAAATGTGTGGGTTATATATGCTGCATTCATATATCTTGAAACAGCACGTTCTATCAGAGAAAATTTTTACATTCAGCTGTGTTTTAACCTTTCCAATGCAAATCACTTGTGTCTTCCTAGGAGAAAATTGGACAGAAACACTTAAAGGTTTAGGAAGGGTTACTACTCCTGTCTCTGCATCCGAAAGCTGCTTTCTCATACCACAGCACACATGAAACTTCTCATTGTGTGCTGCTTGGGAGGGGCGTGCATTATTTAACATTATAGTGGGTTAGGAACAGTGGGGCTCAAGCCTCTGCCTGAAATAATGAAAGACACCAGAAAACAGATTCACACTAGGCAGAACTGAATCCTAACACTAAGACGTCATTTGAAGAATTCTGCATGAACAAATGGCTCTCCTTACATATAAACTGGAGTTTAAAACCTTCTTTTAAAACAAATTTTCATAAGGAATAAAACTGCTGTAACATGATCTAAGCCAGAGAAACAATCTTTTAAACACCTCATTTTGAAAGCTATTACATTGAAACTGTCTTTTCCTTAAGACAATAATACCATTTTATCTTTTGGTTCAGAAATCCATTTATTAACATTCAATTTTTAATTTAAAACAAACTGCCTTGCTACTTGCTCTCCTATCCCCCCAAAAGAAGGAATAATGTCAGGGTGGGGCATACTTGTAGAAAAAGCTCTGACACAAAAATAATCCCCACTGTTTCAGGAAGCAAACCTAAGGACCAACCCAAAACCCAAGGGTTTTTTTTTTTCTTTTTTTCTTTTCCCTGTGTAATGCTATCATTGAGCTCCACCCAGATTTGACTGTACTTCAAAGACAGGAAAAAAAATTGTCAGAAAAAAAGCAAATTATCTCCTACATGTTTGTTTGCTGGCCCTCAATGGCATTCAGAATTCGGAGGGTCGAGTCATGCATTATGAATGAATGGGTTTCCAATGGTAACTGCCAGCCATGGAACTCAACCCCAGGATTCTCTAATAGAGGACAGAGTGGGGGGAGGGTCGCACGTTCTCCTCTACCCTGGGGCAGCGAGGAAGGAATCCTGCAAATCAAATATTTCATCTCCATGTTTGCACCCAACAGAGAGATGCAGGGGGCAAAATTCTTCTATTTAAAACAAGCCAAGATACACACTAAAATAAAGACTGGTAAAAATACAAATCTAGTCAGATCACATTAGAACTTGATAAGAAAATCTTGCATGATTTTCTCCCCATACTTGTTAATTTGGTGCCTTTGTTTAAGCAAAGAATGGGTCTGCATTTTACAGCTACAGAGGATGCAGCATCACCATGAGAGATGAAGGGAGAAAAAAGAACCGAGAGAGCAGGAGAAATCAGTTATCCACCTGGCACAATACTAAGCAGTCTGAACATTTAGGACCTACCCATTTCTGAAGACAAACAGACTAACCAACGAGGCAAAGAATTAAATCCTCCCAAGTCTGTCGCTGCAGCTACGCGGCAATCCAAAAGAACAACGCACGTTTCTGCTAACACTTCAAGTTGGGAAGCACCATGCAAAGAGACTGGTTAAAATTCCCTACCATGCAGTGCAGCCATCATCAGAAGCCCAGCATATCTTCTGCTCTAAGTAGTGATGTGCCAGTTCATGCACAGAACAGAGGAAGAGAAAAATGGAGGAAATGAGAGAAGGCTGGAAGTCGGCAGGAATGTTTCTGGGTCATTAACAAGTGGAAGACCCCCTTCAGTATTCACACCAATCGGTCTTGATCTTACAGGACATCTTTTTCTCACTGAGCGTCTGTTGAAAAGACTGCAGCAAACCAGGCAAGGGATTATGGGATAGGGATGCAGCAGCGAGCTGCAATGAGATTCGTGGGTGGCTTGCTTTCCCTCTGAGTCAGCAGTCAGCTGTTTCCATGCTCTCGTGCTGGGCCGCTGAGCTCCATCACCAGAAAGTGACTGCAGGATTCACCAGGGGAGAGGCGACCAGTGCAGTCTCCGTGCAACGCAGCCGGGGCAGGTACAGGGAGTGCTACAAATCAGACGAAGGGAGTGCTGGGACGCAAACGGTGAACGCAGTGAGAATAGATTCTAGGAAGAAACTGGGCATATGGTACCTCAATATGAAAAGTTCACATTTAGAGAAGAGCTTTGCGTGAGTGTGAGAGCACACACTTGCTCGTTAGAAAGAGAGACGACTGATTTCCTTAGATGTCTCAAGTAGCTTTAAACACATATCATAATTTTTTTAAATGCAAAAAACAAACAAACAAACAAACAGTCCAGTTCCACAAGCCCCTACTACTTTTCCTCTCTTGGTATTTACCCCAGGGCAGGGTCTATAAAGTACGGTTCCACAAAGTCAAATCATGCAATGACATTTCTTTGCTTTTTGTGGTTCTAATGATTCAGAGAAAAATCATATGGTACATATTTTGATTCGGGGATAACCAGACCTTGTTCTTCTTCTGATCATGAAGTTTTCAGTTAAAAGTTGAGAAACTTGACAAATAACATAACTTAATTTCCTGCCAAGTCATTAAACTTAGTTGTAAAAGGTATAAATAATGTAAAAATGATCAGCAAGTAGCCATATGATAGTGATTAGGTCTCCATATTACAAATAATAATTTAGAATAAAAAATCTTACATATCAGAGTAGAATTCACAACCGTTCCTTTTTCTACAACAATAAACGCAGGGAACAGTATTGCATCCTATTCCTTGGTTAGTTATTAGTTTCAAAGGGATTGCTAATAATGTTTATTTTAAAAAACTGGGCATCTGCATATTTGATTACATTAATATTTATCACATTCTTTCCACGCAGTCAAGCATTACAGTGAGCCCTTGAAGGGGCCTCAGCTCTGCAGAGCAGTGGTGATTACCTTTGGTGGTAGTAGGAGGAGGGGGATCACAGAGAATACAGCAAAATTGACAGACCCCAGAAATGCACATACATGCCAACTTTGGCGTGCCATTTTAGGTGATACACAGTTCTCAAAATCCCAGTTAACACCCTATTTTAGAAGTTTTGTGGATTTTTTTAAAGCTTCATTGAATTGTAATTCACATACCATATAATTCACCCATTTAAAGTGTACAATTTAATGGCTTTTAGTATATTCATAGATGTGGGCAACTATTACCACAGCCAATTTTGGAACATTTTCATCATCTCAGACAAACAAACAAACAAACACCCAACCCATACCCTTTAGCTATCTCTCTCTTCCCTCCCACATCACATCCCCACAGTCCTAAGCAATCACTAATCTACTTTCTGTCGCTAAAGGTTTCCCTATTCTGGAATGGAATCATATAATATGTGGTCTTGTGTGTCTTGCTCTTTTCACTTGGCAGAATGTTTTCCAAGTTCATCCATGTGGTAGCATGTGTCAGTATTTCGTTCCTTTGTATGGCTGAACGATATTCCATTGCGTGAATTTAGCACATTTTGTTCATCTGTTCATCAGTCGATGGACACTGGGTTGTTTCCACTTTTTGGCCATTATGAACAGTGCTGCTATAAACATTTGTGCACAAGGTTTTGTGCGGACGTATGTTCTGCTTTAGAAGTTTACAGTTTAATTAGGACCCACTTCTAAAACTGGAAGCAGGCTACCCCCACTGAGTTTTACAAGCCTAAGACAGGCCATCAGACAGGTGTCTGACTTACTACAACAGGAGTCCTTTCTTCTTCTCATTCTGCTACTAAGCCTATCCCAAAGCCAAATTCATCAAATGCTGACCCCGCCCCCCAGCACATTCTTTGTCCTGATCTCTCTCATTCTCTTCTTCCAGTCAACCCAGATTCTTGAGACCTATAACTAGACCAGGTCTCTGTTTTCTGAAGGTGGAGAAGTGGGAGAGATCTTTGGTCTTGTTGCTGGGCTTCCAGCCAGAGGATGTTAACTTACTCATTCAATCATTCATTCCAATGAAGACTTGTTGAGTGTCATGTGTTCCAAGCACTGAGTAGGCAATGAGGATACAGAGAAGAATTTAATATTTCTGAGCCCTCAGGGAGGTCACAATCTAGTGTGGGAGATGGATTAGTAAGCAAGCAATTGCAATGCAGAGTGGTAAATGCTTGAGAGCAAGAGGAAGCAAATGCTCTGGGCGCCCATAGAAGGGATACACAGGGCCAGGGAGGTGTGCGGGGTGTGCGGAGCATTTCAAGCACTGAGTGCAGCACAGTCAAAGGCATGAGATGGTTCATGGGACCAGCGAGTAATACCTAAGTATAGCTGAAGCCTGGGGTAAAGGTGGAACAAATGCAGGTGATATCTGTTTCTGATCTTTTACCTGGAATTGGGAATATTTTTCCCCTGGAAATAGCATTACATAGGATAGCTGGGTTTCAAACACCCTCACCACAATGGCTTAACTACTATATGGGTTAAATGGGTTTTGGGGGCTCAGCTGTGAATCTAACAAACACACATAATATTGCTTATTATAGGAAAATGCAGCCTCATTTTTAGCATATGTCTTGGCAAATGAGTCCAACTGTTTATAAGTTGGGGCTTGGGTAACCGTGGGAGGCCCCCACGGAAATGCCAAGCATCATCTCCTTGGCACTTCCTGAAAACAGGTAGGTAGATGGTAATAGTGGCTGCTGGTTATGCTTCTGAGTTGGAGTTTCCCATATTGTGGCCTCAAGTGGCCGGACTCGGGGGTCTCAAGGGCAGAGAAGAGCCCAGGATTCTTGGGATTACAGCCACTGCACACCTTATTGACTTCTTGGAGCTGTCTTGCCTCTCCCCACTGTTTCCATCCAGCTGAATGGAGATTAGAGCTAAACTGCCATCAGCCAGTCTGACTATGATTTGTGCACTGGAGAAGTATACAGACAGTGCCTATGCATAAGAAGAGGATGTACGCTACTAAATTGGGATTGGCAGGAGCATGAGAGATAGCGATCCAGTATTTACTGACCCTGTATGATGTGCCAAGTTCAATCCAATGCACTTTATATACAGTCTGCCTATCCCTGCTCAAGAAAATTTATCCCAGAAAATGAACATCTTAGGATGGCATACAAAGTAATTTACAATCCGGCATCTGCTTCCTGATTATTTTCCACCTTCTGTCCTCCCTAGTCACACTCTGTTCATAAGACATTCTGTTACTGGAAAGCGGTCCCGATCCAGACCCCAAGAGAGGGTTCTTGGATCTCCTGCAAGAAGGAATTCAGGGCGAGTCCACAGTGCAAAGTAAAAGCAAGTTTATAAATAAAGTAAAGGAATAAAAGAATGGCCACTCCATAGACAGAGCAGCCCTGAGGGCTGCTGGTTCCCCATTTACATGGTTATTTCTTGATGATATGCTAAACAAGGGGTGGATTATTCATGCCTCCCCTTTCTCGAACATATAGGGTAACTTCCTGACATTGCCATGGCATTTGTAAACTGTCGCAGCGCTGGTGGGAGTGTAACAGTGAGGAGGACCAGAGGTCACTCTGGAGGCCATCTTGGTTTTGGTGGGTTTGGGCCGGCTCCTTTACTACAACCTGTTTTATCAGCAAGGTCTGTATGTTGTGCCGACGTCCTATCTCATCCTATGACTTAGAATGGCTTAACCATCTGGGAATGCAGCCCAGTAGGTTTCAGCCTCATTTTACCTGACTCCTATTCAAGATGGAGTTGCTCAGGTTCAAACACCTCTGACAGTTCCACATGTATTTTTTTAGCAGTGGCTCTCAGCCAAGGAATGGTACCAACCCCTCCCATGGGGTAGTAGGGTGTGCATTTGGAAATGTGAAGGGGCACTATGGCTGTCATACCCAGTGTGTGTGGGGGTGGGTAACTACTAACATTTAGTGCCTATGTGTAGGGATGCCAAACCTGCTCCAATGCTTGGGAGAGTACGTTAAAAGTACATCTGTCCCCACAACACTAATGTCAGTAGCATCTCCTTTGAGAAACACTAATCTCTAGGCTCACTTACCACTTGTTCTGCCAGGAACACTCTCAGCCTCTCCTGCCTCCTGCCCCTGGTTAACTTCTTGCGCTCCTTTAGAACTCAGCAAAGCCACCACTCACTTTAGGAAGGATTCTCTGAGTCTTCCTCTGATGCCCAGATCCTCCCACCCACAGTCTGGATTGAGTACCACTCCTGTGTACTCCACAGCATTCTTGCTAGAAACTGTTGAAGGTTCCATCTTTTACCTTTAATTCACTAACCCTTAGTGCAGTGCCTGTCACATACTAGGTGCCCAATAAGTAGATAGGGAATGATGAAAGTTCTATGAATGAACAAATGACATAATATGACATAAAGGTGAAAGTTCATCTCAGAATTAGTTGGATCAGAGACTGTTATGGATAGGCAATTCTTCATATCTGGTAGTTTATGATTTAGAAGGTACCTTCATAGGCCAGGAGTGGTGGCTTACGCCTGTAATCCCAGCACTTTGGGAGGCTGAAGTGGGTGGATCACAAGGTCAGGAGTTCAAGACAAGCCTGGCCAAGATAGTGAAACCCCGTCACTAATAAAACTACAAAAATTAGCTGGGTGCAGTGGCAGGTGCCTGTGATCCCAGCTACTCAGGAGGCTGAGGCAGGAGAATCTTGAACCTGGGCAGCAGAGGTTGCAGTGAGCCGAGATCATGCCACTGCACTCCAGCCTGGGTGACAGAGTGAGACTCCATCTCAGAAAAAAGAAAGTACCTTCATAGATTTTCTCTTTGATCCTCAAAGCTAACCCAGAAACGGGTAGAGCAGGCATTGTTATTTTAGTGGAAATTGAGATTTAGAAAGGTAAAGTGACCAGCCCAGGATGGAGTAACCATAATGTAATAGAGGTGAACTAGAGTCCAGGTCTTGTGGCTGGCACCGTTCCTCTTTCAGTATGTCACCTGCCCCAGGATGTGCAAGAACAGGAACAGTAATCAGGCAACTCCAGAGTAGAACAAAGCCAGCTAAGTAGAGAGGTGATGTGTTTCAGTGTGAGATAGATATAACCAACTAGAAGAGGCAAACAAATCAGGAGCTTATAAACGCTGCCTAATGCAATCATTTCATTTTCTGTGTCTCTGATTTCAACAAGCTTTATTGGGGTTGGAGGAGGCAGATAGGGAGAGATTAGTCAACAGATATAAAGCTACAGTTAGATAGAAGGAATAAGTTCTGGTGTTCTATTGTACAGTAGAGTGACTACAGTTAACAATAATGTATCGTAGATTTCATTTTTTAACTTGTATTTTTTGAGACAGGGTGTCACCCTGTTGCCCAAGCTGGAGTGGGAGTGCAGTGGCGTGACTGCTGCTCGACCTCCTGGGCTCAAGCAATCCTCCCACCTTAGTCTCCCCAGTAGCTGGGACTACAGGCGTGTACCACCATGCTAAGTTAATTTTTTGTATTTTTTTATGGAGACAGGGTTTTGCCATGCTGCCCAGGCTGGTCTAGAACTCCTGGGCTCAAGTGATATGCCCATCTCAGCTTCCCAAAGTGTTGAAATTACAGGCATGAGCCACTGCACCTGGCCTGCATATTTCAAAATAGCTAGAAGAGAGAATTTTGAATGTTCTCACTACAAAGAAATAATAAAGGTATGAGGTGATGCATATGCTAAGTACCCTGATTTAATTATTACACAATGTGCATCCATATGGAAACATCACACTGTACCTCATTAACATGTCAAGTAGAAAAAAATTTTAAAGATATAAAGAAAAACAAACATAAAAACTTTATGAAAAGTATTGCCCAATGGTTTTATGAAAGAAGATGGTAAGAAGTAATTATTTCCAGCCTTCAGTTCAGTCATGAGCAACTGGAGAGGAAGTATTGTTATGATGGATTTCACAGTTCAGCACTCCAGGTGTGGCCCTCAAAGCCAAGCTCCTTCTGGACAGTCCAGACTCTCTGTAGTCAGTTTGATTGAGTGGTTTGGTTTGGACCCCAAGAGGCCGAGCCCCTTCCTCTCTACTGGCAGTAGCCCTGGTGAGGCCTCCTATGTTTAGGGGTTGGGATCATTCATTAGTGGCTGTGGGGGAGGTTTTAAGGACAAACAGGACTGTCAGGAAGTAATGGTGAATGAAGCAGAAAGGACTTTCTCTTAAGCATCCTTAAAAGAGAAAAGGTGCAAGTTGGCCTTAACCTATTGGGGTTATGTGGATAGGAGTAGATTAATTGGGAACCAGCTGACCCAGTTCCAACCCAAGAATTCACACCAGAAGTGGCCTGGCCTTCAGATGACCCTTTAATGTTATACATTGCACAAGTGATTGTGTGCCAGGTGGTATACAAGGCACTGGTGACAAAAAAATAAATGACACAAACAGAACCTCTCAAAATCACTCCTGGGGACTGAGTTATCTGCCTTCAGCTCAGAGTCTCAAGGATCAGGATAGCCCTTTGCAGCCGGGCTGTATTTGCAGTAAAGGTGACCCAGGTCAAGCACCCCTGACTCCCTGCCCAGTATGTTTCCCACAGGGAGCTGCCCCAAACTGAAGACATATCCAGGTGGGATCTGCCCAGCACAGAGCAGAGCAAGACCATCACTTTGCTTGCTCCAGGCTCTATCCTTCTATTAATTACCTCTGAGGTCCTGGCACTTTTCTCATATTGACTCATATTGGACATAAATTCATGCCCAGCAACCCTATCCAAGGAGGAATTTTGGTTGGTCTGGTATCATTTATTCTTATGGAACTCAGGATGCTTTTTTTTCTAGGTACTAACAAACCATCCCATTAATATTCCTTCTCTAGCATTACTCTTGATAGGGAGTTCTGTAGTTTTGTAGAAAAGACTGAAGTAGGCCTGGTGTGGTGGCTCACGCCTGTAATCCCAGCACTTTTGGAGGCCAAGGTGGGCAGATCCCTTGAGATCAGGCGCTCGAGACCAGCCTGGTCAACATGGCAAAACCCCGTCACTACTAAAAATACATAAATTAGCCAGGCATGGTGGCGCGTGCCTGTAGTCCCAGCTACTTGGGAGGCTGAGGCAGGAGAATCACTTGAACCCAAGAAGCTGAGGTTGTAGTAAGCTGAGATGGGGCCTCTGTACTCCAGTCTGGGTGACAGAGTGAGGCCCTGTCTTTAAAAAAGAAAAGAAAAGAAAAAAAAAAAGACAAGCAAAACACAAGGCTCTGCCATGCACTGATTATTAAATGCCCAAGTAATAACATGTCTACTCCTTCATTATTCTTTGTCCTGCTCTGACTGTAACAAAAAGCAAAAGCACGCAAACACAAAGCTCTTTTGTTTCGCCCATTGCTTGGCCTCGAGAATTCAAAGTTGACTCTATCTATCTTGAGTATACCCGGAATGTAATCTCCCGGTGCTAACTATGGGTTCCTGATTGCATCCGTGTCCACATCGATGTGCACATCGGTATCAAGTATTGTTTTTCTCTTAAGCAGAGCTCCATTACCACACTTCTCATTTTAACAATTAAATTCAAGGCGGTGTCAAGTTCCTGCTTGCCTCACCAGTTTACCTTGTTTAATTAATGCAGTGGTTTTGACTACAGGGCTGGGATTTAAGAGTTCGGGAGTCTCCGTGGGCGACTGAGCTGGTGGAGGCTGAACAGAGGCCCCCAGGGCCGGGGCGGGAGCAGGGAGGTGGCCGAGGCGGGAGCAGGGAGGTGGCCGAGGCGGACGCGCTGCTAATAATGCCTGCCTCTTCCACACATGCTTTCCTCTCGGTCCCAGATAGTGGATTACTTTTAGACCAACATGTAATTCAGAGAGAACCTCGCAAATGTTCCTCTCTACTGACCAAATCACCCGACCTCTACGATTCCATCCTGCGGTCATAACCACCGACCTGGGGAAATCTCAGACAGCCCCGGCCACGCATGCCAGGCGGAGCCCTAGGGGCTTTCACCCCGCAGGCTCTGCCGGGGCCCGGGCTCCATAGCAACAGGCCCCGCCCCGAGGCGGGAGCCGAGCTGCGCTCAGGCGGAAGAAAAGAAGGCGGGTCCCCTCCACCCAGATGGCGATTGCGCGCCGGTATTCCGAACCTCTGTCTTTCCCCCACCCCCTCTAGGTTTCCTTTTCTAACCTTTTTGTCTCACCAGGAAATAGAACCACTTTGTAAAAGAACTGATTCAAGTGGTGGCGATGTGGGGAAGAGGAGGGAGTAAGGCCCGCGGTGACAGCATTAAAAGCTGGGAGCCCTGGGGATCGCCCCCGCCTGGCCCTCCAGCAACAGGAGTTCTCCCGACTGTGGCCTTTTCCCGTGTCCGGGGTCCACAGCTCTTTGCCTGCTAACCCTGGAGGGTTCTAAGCCGATGCGCCCATGCTGGGGGTGGGACTTTCTCCGAGTAACATGCTTGGGTTTCCATGCTTTGAAACCTGGAGGTGACACTGAAGTAGGAGCCTGGGCACCTTGGCAGAGGGAGCTAATCAGAGGACAGGGGAATCTGACACCATCCTCAGAAGGCTGCCCCTCCAACATGTTACCAGAAGAGTATTTTCCTAAGCAACCTGCCTGGCACTACAACTCAGGGTCACTTTCATCCACGATTAGAATCCTATGATGAAAGTCAGAATGCATCTGCGATTAAGGCACGGGCTCTGGAGACATATCTGGATTTGCTTTATCTGCAGGTTGCTCCTTGCCTGTCTGTTAGCTCGTTTGTAAAATGCTACCTCCTAATGCCATTGTGATGATTAAATGATCCAGTGTGTCACTGTCAGCCCCATGCCTAACACACAGTAAGTCTCAGGTGCGGTAGTGGAGAAGAGGATGGGCTCTAGAGCCAAGAATGGGTTTGGATCCTGGCTCTGCCACTTACAAGTTGTATAACCCTGGGTAAGTAATTTAACCTGTATTCCTCAATTACCTCAAGTGTACGGGGGATGACAAGGGTACTGACTACATAGCGTTGTTAGGAGAAGGAAATGGTTTGTTTAGTCTATGTAAAGAACCTGATCTAGGCCGGGTGCGGTGGCTCACGCCTGTAATCTCAGCACTTTGGGAGGCTGAGACAGGTGGATCACCTGAGCTCAGGAGTTCAAGACTAGCCTGGCCAACATGGTGAAACCCTGTCTCTATTAAAAGTATAAAAATTAGCCGGGCATGGTGGCAGGCGCCTGTAATCCCAGCTATTCAGGAGGCTGAAGCACAAGAATCGCTTGAATCCCAGAGGCGGACGCGCCAGTGAGCAGAGACTGTGTCACCGCACTCCAGCCTGGGGGACAGAGCGAGACTCCATCTCAAAAAAAAAAAAAAAAAACACATGATCCAATGCCTGATGCATCATAAGCAGTCAGAACATAAATTATTACTATCATTATTATGGCCACTACTAGATTTATGAGTTCCTTTAGAAATGACTGATAATTCACTTTTTTTACTCCTGGAGCTGGGCTCATTTAAGGATTCAGTAAGCATTTGTGGGGTTTTTTTGGGCATATGAATAGTTTAATAAAACACTACACTTCATCACCTTTTCATAAGCCAAATAAAATACATCAATAAATGATAGCGAGCAGAATCATGCAAAATCAGAAGAGATATGCCTATACAGTTTTTTTTTTTTTTTTTTTTTTTTGAGACAGAGTCTCACTCTGTTTCCCAGGCTGGAGTGTGGTGGCGCTATCTCAGCTCACAGCAACCTCAGCCTCCTGGGTGCAAGCAATTCTCCTGCCTCAGCCTCCTGAGTAGCTGGGATTACAGGCATGTGCCACCATGTCCAGCTAATTTTTTTGTATTTTTAGTAGAGACGGGGTTTTGGCATGTTGGCCAGGCTGATCTCAAACTCCTGACCTTAAATGATCTGCCTGCCTCGGCCTCCCGAAGTGCTGGGACTACAGGCGTGAGTGACCGCGCCTGGTGCCTAAACACTTTTATCACACCAGGCTGGACACAGCCTCCCTCTGCATCCTCACCCACTTAGCACTGGTGTCTCCCTGCTGTTTTTGACACAGCTGAGAGGCTGCAGTGCTACTTTGTTACTCTTGCTGAGGTCTCACACTAACTCTAGTCCCAGGCCAGTCCCAGGAAGGAAGAGAGTCTGTTCATGCCTACCTGCCACTGGTTCTCATGAGAAAGAAACCTGGACTTTTGTGCTGGTCAGCGGCCTGTGGAAATGAGTCCTCAGTGGCCAGCATCTCTCCCTTAGAGCCAGCAGCCTTCTTAAAAAGATCAGAAGAGAAATGATTCCTTTTGGTCCCCTTCCAGCGTCAGTTTTGCCCTTTGATGTAAGTCATCGTCTCTGGACATGAGAACGGGAGGCCTCACTTCCACATCCTCCTCCAAATGAATGCACTCTAAACAAACATTGATGCGCCTCTCAAGGTTGGCATTGCATCTGGACCAGTGCCAGGAAGCCACAAGGCCACCAGAGGCAGAGGGGAAGAGCAAGGGCGGAAGAATAGAAGTCAAGCAGCAGCAGATGGAATGTGTGCACGGTCAGGTGAGGCCTGACCCGAGGGTGTTGTGAGCCCTTGGTCAGGGTGAGCCCAGTGCCAAGCAGAGCCATCCATGACCTTAGGGCCAATGCTAGGCACCCTGACTCTTCCTTGATAATGTCTCTCATCCTCTATTCTTCCTCCCCCTTTCTCCCACCCTCTTTCCTACTCCCTATCCACTTCATTCAACAGATTTTTAACTTAGCTTCTACTATGTGCTAGGCACTGTGTTAGGAGCCACAGATAGTCACTATCCTTAAGGAATGTACACATTCTCATAACAGAGACAGATACTAAATCTCAAATAATAAACTAAATTAAATTACTTGAAATAGAAGTTAATTAAGCTTCAGACAATTAACAATTTTTATCTGTGGCCTCTACTTCAGACCCACCTAGGAAATACAGGCATGTTGGTGTTCTGTGGTGGATAAGAATCCAGGCTCTGGAATCAGACAAATGTGGGTACAAATCCCAGCTCTGATACTGCCCAACAGTGTGATTTTGGCCAAATTACACCACCTCTCTTACCCTCCTTTTCTTCATCTGTAAAAAGTAAAAGAGATACTTTTTACTTTTTAAAAGAGATACTTTTTATAGGGTTGTTATGAGGATTAAACAATGCCCAAAAGATGCTTAGCACGTTGCCTGGCACATAGGAAGACTCAAAATATGTGAACTATTGTTGCTGTTTAATTATACAAGCAAAGAGGTCAGCAAACCTTTTCTGTAAAGGGCCAGTATAGCAAACACTTTATTGACTTGTGAGTCAATACAGTATCCGTTGCAACTGCCCAATTTTATTGTAGTGTTAGAGCAGCCATTAACAGTAGGTAAAGGGGCTGGGTGTGGTGCCTCATGCCTGTAATCCCAGCACTTTCAGAGGCTGAGGCAGGCAGATTGCTTGAGCTCAGAAAATTGAGACCAGCCTGGGCAACATGGCAAAACCCTGTCTCTACAAAAAATACAAAGAAACTAGCCGTGCATGGTGGTGCACACCTGTAGTCCCAAATACTTGGGAGGCTGAGGTGGGAGGATCGCTTGAACCCGGGAGGAGAGGTTGCAGTGAGCTGTGATTGCACCATGCACTGCCATCCTAAGCAACAAAGACAGACCCTGTCTCAAAATAAATAAGTATATAAACAAACAAATAAATAACAGTTGTTAAAGGAATGATTATAACTGTGTTCAATAAAATTATATTTATAAACACTGAAACTTGAAATAATTTTCTCATGTCACAGAATATTATTTTTCTGTTGGTTTTTTCCAAATTATTTAAACACATAAAAACCATCATTAGCTCACTGGTTGTACAAAAACAGGCCGTGGGCCAGATTTGGCTCACAGGCCATAGTTTGCCCGCCCCTGCTCAAGCCTAACAAAATGGCTGACACACCTTTAGTAGATTTTGCTTCAGAGGAAAATCCAGTTGGTGGGTCTGTAATACCCTAACTCACTGTCTGGACATTAAGACACAACCTGGTCTGACTAACAACATTATAAACCAACCCAAGGATAGCAAAAACCTCGTAAATGAAAAACAATACCTACAGTTTACTTGTGCATAAGCCAAGATAAGTAAGTAAACAGAACTTACCATTGGCTTGTGCAGAAGATAAGAAATGGAAAAGATAATCAGTTCCTTAGACGCATGATCACCCTGTGTTTTGTAGGTGGAGGCAAGCTGCTCCTGACTGGTGCAAGAACTGACTGTGTGTGTACTTTGCTTCTCAGTGCTGTGCACAGACACGTGCAGCAAGAACCATCTCAGAGGGTCACAAGCCCCCTAGATTTTACCCACAGAAGATGGTAGAAAAAAGAACCTGTGATGAATGAAGAAAGCTGGGGAAAATGAGGGAAGGCAGGAGGAACCTGCCAGAAACAGGCCAAGTCCCACCAACATGGAAATCAGATCACAAATGATTTAGCTGTAAAACAGGTATCCCAAGTTATGCCATGTAATTCCCAATTCCATTCTTTCCTTTCCTTCTCCCTTTCCCTCTTAAGTATCTGTGGATAGAAACAGGATGTTATGTTTTACTTTCTCCTGCAATGTAGGAAGATATTTATTCTCTAGTTCATATCCAATTATTTGCAGGCCAGAAATTCTTTCTCTAATAATATTAAAATATGTACCTGTTCCAAAGACACTGCAATTAATAAAGTTGTTTCCCTCAACCCAGAGGAAATGCAAAGCTTTCTTATAAATCCATTCCAAGAATCAAATTTTTGTACATCTTCAAAAAACTATGTGTTGCTAGGTGCAGTGGTACACACCAGTAATCTCAGCTACTTTGGAGACTGAGGCAGGAGGATTGCTTGAGCCCAGGAGTTCAAGATCAGCTCGGGCAACATAGTGAGGCCTCCTCTCTAATTAAAAGAAGAAGAAGAAGAAGAAGAAGAAGAAGAAGAAGAAGAAGAAGAAGAAGAAGAAGAAGAAGAAGAAGAAGAAGAAGAAGAGGAAGAAGAAGAAGAAGAAGAAGAAGAAGAAGAAGAGGAGGAGGAGGAGGAGGAGGAGGAGGAGGAGGAGGAGGAGGAGGAGGAGGAGGAGGAGGAGGAGGAAAGAAGAGGAAGGAGAAGAGAAGAAGGAGGAGAAGAGGAAGGAGAAGGAAAAGGAGGAGAAGAAGAAGGAGGAGAAGAAGAAGAAGAAGAAGAAGAAGAACAAGAAGAACAAGAAGAAGAAGAAGAAGAAGATGGCAGTGGCACAGTAGCTCATGTGTGTAATCCCAGCACTTTGGGAGGCTGAGGCAAGAGTATTGCTTGAAGCTAGGATTTCCAGACTAGCCTGGGCAACATAGGGAGACCCCATTTCTACAAAAAAATTTAGAAATTAGCAGGAAGTGATGGCGCATGCCTGTGGTCCCAGCTACTTGGGAGGCTGAGGCAGGAGGGTCACTTGAGCCCGGGAGGTTGAGGCTGCAGCAAGCAGTGATTGTGCCACTGCTCTCTCTCCAGTCTGGGCAATAGAATGAGAGATCCTGTCTCAAGGGGGGGGGGAAAAAAAAAAAGGAGGGGGAGGAGGAAGGAGAATAAGAAACCACATATTATCCATGCCTAGCCATTTTTACTAGATAAAGAATTTGCTTATCTAGCCTGATTGACATGTTGAACTGTCCTCAAGGTCAGATGTCACAATAATACCCTCTGACTTAGTAAGGGCTCTCCTCTGGGAAGAACATGGCCCAGGTACAGATGTCTCCATCCTTAATAGTTTGAGTCATAGATAACAGCTGGCTGCCTATCAGGTTGCCACTTGGTTTTAACTACTATCTGCTGAAGAAAGAAAGCAAGTCTATTACCTGAGACTTCTGTCAAAAGCAAAAAGTGAGGATCTGGGATCTAGCAAGGATGTAACTGCATCCAGTGCTCCCCATCCCTAGCCATGAAGAAGCAAAGCCCACAGTCAAGGAACCTGGCACTGCTCTTCGTCTTTGCCCTGCCACATGGCACAGCACTGGTACTCTCTCAACGAAAAGAGTCACCCCTTCATGTGGATCTTCAGTTTTAAACCCAACAACCTGAATCAAGGGCATAAACTCCATCACCTTCTCTATCACTTTCCAATTGTGTGGGGGGCTTCAGTTCAGTTTGGCGGTACTGATAGGAAGCTTGGGGGCTCCACCCTAGCCTCAGGCCTACCTCCTAGTCCACTTCCCTCCTTGCCTTGGCAGGGCCTCTCCACCAGTAATGAAGCAGGAAGGCAGAAGACTGTCATCCTTTCATAGAATCAGAGGTGTGTTTGAAGTTGGAAAGGACCTTGGAGGTGACAGAGTCCTGTGGTTTTAAAGCCATGAAATCCTTTCTCTAGAGAGCTGCCCGGGCCCTGGGGCCCCTGCCAACATGCTCACCTCCCACTCATGCTGCCTCCACCCCCGCCCATCTCTTCAGGACACCTGGTGCTCAGTGGAGATATCCAGTTTGATCACCATTGTATAGACAAAGAAACAGAGAGCTGGGGAGGTGATTTGATCCCAGCCCCCACCATGCCTTACAACCTGCAAGTGGCAAAGCCATTCGCAGATCTCAGGCCTAACTCCGAGTGCCTGCTGCTCTCCATCTGCCCCAGCGTCCTCTCTTTACAGGCAGACCCAGGGAGCTGGAGGTCTGTGCAGGCTGCCTGAGTTTCTTTACAATTTCAGTAGTTCTGTCGAGCCTGTTCCACAACAGACACAAATGGGAATACAACAAGCAAAGGTCTTGCTAAGTGAGACTAGAAAACGATGCTGAGGAATAGCAAATAGCTCTCATGCTGCAGCTGGTCTGCTTGAAGAGTTAATGGTTAAGAGTTTATAAATATGCAAACACCAAGGTCGAACAGCAGGAGTTCCCAAGATAGCAGAGAAACAGGAACCTACCACAAAGGATTATGGTACTAAAAGGTTAAAAATCCGCCCATCCACATGGCAAAGGGCAGGGAATAAATAAACCACGACATCCTGTTAGAGGGGGATTCACAGAGAAGGCAGACTCCTGGGAATAGGAAAGAAAAAAAAAAAAGATACAAGACAAAATAGACCAAGGCTAAGTACCAACTTTGTGTAGTTAAGAATCCGCATATCCTCGGAGTGACCTTAACAATAAAAATCCAACACTAAAATAAACATGTAAGAGCGGAGTTACATCATTAGCAGTTGTGCAGACTGTTATGAAGCCTTTTAATCCGGTCAAATTGGTGAGCAGGGTGAAGTGATAAAAGCACACAGATTTATTCAAAGGACCCACGTGGTTGGCATCAGATGGCCAGCATGTTCCAGCACCTTGCCTGCCCCCTGTTCCATAATGGGCCTCAGTAGAATTCCCATTCTATTTTTAATTAGCTATTAACACATGTTTGTTTGCCCCCAGAAATGGGAAAACCCAATCTTCATTTAAACTTAGACTATAAAAGTTATTCATTATAAAAACAGGTTTCATTTCTATTTTTCTGTTTACTCTAATGGCCAGTGCTCTCCTAGCAGCATCCTGGGACCTTTATCCGGCATACGTGTGGCCTCTCCTCCGTTCTCTCTGTACTGTTTCTGGCTTTTCAAGAATCTGTGCACCCGTTTCCTCAGGTCGAAATTCTGAGATAAGTTCAGAAAAGGAGGCCGCCTTGTTTTAGTTCATGGCTAAATGAATGGATCTTCATGAGCAACGAGGCGCTCTTAATGCAAGGTTCCCGCTCCTCCTAGCCCTGCTGTTGCTCCTGCTCCCTGGGTTCTCTGCTCCTGGGTTCTCTGCTCACATGCTCAAATGCTGCCTCCTCTCTGAGGCCTTCCTAACCCTCCTGACTTAAGTGGGTGTGCCCCTTTGTTATGTATCACTCTGCCCCCTTTGAATCCTTCATGGCAGTTGTCACAGTTCGTAAAGGAATATTTGTTTGTTTAGTTAGAGGTGTCTCGCCCACAAACCTGTGACCTCCATCGGGGAGGGGGCAGGACCATCCCCCAACGATGGTGCAGCACAAATGCAGTCTTGGCACATGGCTTCCAACAATGTGCGATGAGGAAGGACTGGGTGTCCAGCCTGCCTAGACATTAGCCAGAGCTGTGTGATCAACGCTGCTCTGGAGAACACAGCCTCCTAGACCAGGTACTCCTGTGAGACACCTCAGAACTACTTGTTATGATCGGACATCTGCTAAAGATCCCTTTGAGCTCTTGTAGAAGGGATCTGTTAGGTGTAAGCAAGATCATCTTAACCTACTTAAGAGTGACACATACTCTACAGGAAAAGGTTTTTTTGTTTGTTTGTTTTTCTGAGAGGGAGTCTCGCTCTGTCACTCAGGCTGGAGTGCAGTGGCGCAATCTCGGCTCACTGCAACCTCCGCCTCCCAGGTTCAAGCGATTCTCCTGCCTCAGCCTCCGGAGTAGCTGGGATTACAGCTGTGCGTCACCACGCCCAGCTAATTTTTGTATTTTTAGTAGAGACAAGGTTTCACCATGTTGATCAGGCTGGTCTCAAACTCCAGACCTTGTGATCCGCCTGCTTCGGCCTCCCAAAGTGCTGGGATTACAGGCGTGAGCCACCACGCCCGGCCAGGGAAACGATTTTAATATACTTACTGAAAATATTCTCCTCCAGTCATTGAGGTATGCTTTATAATATATTTACATGGTTATATGGTTATTGGATACATGCAAATACTGGAAGTAATAAAATTAAAACAACTGTTTAAATATTCTGTAGTTAACTCTTGCTTTTTCATGTATTCTGAATTCATGAGCTGTTAAAATCTGGAGAGCCCTAGAAGCGTAGGTAGTAACCTTCTACTGATAATAGAAGCAGTGTAGGAAAAGACACCATTTACCCTAAACTAAGTCCTTTCACAGTGGCTGAAGGTAGTCTAATTACTAAACATTATTTGATTTTTGTTTTAAGTAGGAGAAAAATATTTACTGTTTATGCAAATATGTAGTATAAACTGTGATACAAAACCTCTTCCTTCCAACTGGGAGTCTGAAAACAATATTGAAAAGAAAACACTACCAAATAAGATATTGTGTCTTACTTTTATTGCCTGGCTTCAGGTATTTGCAATATTATTAAAGGAAAACATTTTCAAACATAGTCTACCAATTCTTATGCACAGTTTGGCAGCGATAATCTTTTGTATTTAAACCAAGTAAGGAATTGTGGGTATGAGTATGATATTCAGCCTTTATTAGGGATCCTACTTACTGCTGCAGAAAGTTAGGATGCTGGCCAGGCGTGGTGGCTTATGCCTGTAATCCCAGCATTTTGGGAGGCTGAGACGGGTGGATTGTTTGAGCCCAGGAGTACGAGACCAGCCTGGGCAACATGGTGAAACCCTCTCTCTACTAAAAATAGAAAAATTAGCTGGGCGTGTGGCGCGTGGATGCAGTCCCAACTACTCGGGAGGCTGAGACAGGAGAATTGCTTGAGCCTGCCTCCCAGGAGGCGGAGGTTGCAGATAACGCCACTGCACTCCAGCCTGGGTGACAGAGCGAGACTCCATCTTACAAAAAAAAAAAAAAAAAAGAGAAAGAAAGTTAGGATGCTGTCATGCATAGACATTTCATATTGCTCGAAAATGTTGTTTCTTATTAAGGCAAAGACGAACAAAGGAGACATGTATATACCTAATAAAAGATGTTATGTGTTGAAGAGAAAGGAGAACAAGAAAGGCAAGAGAGAAGAAGACAGAACGAGAAGAAAACCTGGTGCAGGCCACTTACTTCTAACATTCATGTATTCATTCATTTATTCCACTTTCATGCAATGATGATGCAACTGCTTACTAGACACAAGGCACTTTTACACTAAAGGGGATGTGAAGCAGTATCATGGTGATTGCATTCTTTAACACTTACAAATAGAGGATAACTTTCTCTCTTAGTTAGAAAGGAATAGAAAGAAAATAACAGAAAGGCAGAGAGAGAGAGAGAGAGAGAGAGCACTATCTTTATGATAAAATCTCCAAAACAATTCTATCAAAGCCAGAGTTCTTTTTTTTTTTTTTTTGAGACGGAGTCACGCTGTGTCTCCTAGGCTGGAGTGCAGTGGCACGATCTCGGCTCACTGCAAGCTCTGCCTCCCGCGTTCACGCCATTCTCCTGCCTCAGCCTCCCGAGTAGCTGGGACTACAGGTGCCCGCCACGACGCCTGGCTAATTTTTTGTATTTTTAGTAGAGATGGGGTTTCGCTGTGTTAGCCAGGATGGTCTCGATCATCTGACCTCGTGATCCACCCACCTCGGCCTCCCAAAGTGCTGGGATTACAGGCGTGAGCCACCACGCCCGGCCGCCAGAGTTATTTTCTAACTAAGGAGACTGAGCACTAATCCTGTCAACAAGGCCTCAGCCACCTCTCATGATCTTATCTAACCCTAATCACCTTCCAAAGGCTCCGTCTCCAAATACCGTCACAGTGGGGTTAAGCCTTCAACATATGATTTTGGGGGGATTCATGAACATTCAGTCCATAATAGAGAGCCCTTAGGTTTCTGTACAAGACAGTCTGTCTCTTCTGTCTCTGTGACCCCATCTCCTGGCCTCTTGCAGTGACTTAAAGCATCCAAACCTCTTCAAGTGCTGGACATGCTGCAATTCCATGACCCAATCACAGGACATTTAAGCACAGCAGGTCTAGTGCATGCGACTGGAGCTGGAATTGCTACATTTCTTGGCTCCAGGCTTGTTGCCTTACAACAAGTCTTCTTTAAAAGACTTAAAATGCACTCATTCTATGCCTCCAGAGAATCCTGGGTTATTCCAGTTCTCTCTTTTTCTTAAACCGTTATACCTTTATACATGCTTTTCCTCTCCCTGGAGTCCAGTCCTTTCTTCCCTTGCCAGAGATTCATACGATGCTTCCCAGGGCCAATCTCAAAAGTACTTAGAAGTCAATTTTTGGTCATTGCCAATATATTCTACATGTCTCTCCTGTCTCCAGTAAAGGAATGTGTGATTTTTCACAACCGCTAATTCATTACCTTTACCTCCATGAACTTTGCTTGGGTACAAATTGTGAAATGTGTGATGTCATGTGTCATGCTTTATTAATTTGGAGGTTAGTACTTAACGAAACATGTAAACAACTGAGAACTTGCAAATCTGCCCTAAAAATGATGTGTTAATTGGCTTATGGACTGGTTTCTAAGCATTGCTTGGAGGGTGGACTGACACACACAGAAGCCACTGTCACCATCACCTTCAAGCTCACCCTTACCCAGGGGTTAGATAGGGAGAGGGGCAGAAGGACAAATAAACAAGAAGGCCCAAATTCCTGGGCCCTTTTTCTTGGAGGTAAGAGGTTCAGGTTCAAAGATGAAAGAAACTGAGCTTTGGTTCACCTGGACTCAGAACTGGCTCCTGAGGTCATGCCACTTCCACTCCCCACAATGGCAGGTCACTTACCACACACTCCCACAGAAGCTTTCAAATGACTAGCGAAGGTGTAAGTCACAGAGGGAGGGAGCTGGAGAGCATACTACCAATGGATCTTCTGTTTTTTTGAAAAAAAGATACAATTAAGTTGTAATATTTGTATAATATTTGTATAACCATTTGTATAACCATTCATAGATGTCCTGACTTTGATAAAGTAGAAAGTATGTATGTATACAACTACCACTCATAAATGTGTTTATGTATTTACATTTTCACATTTCATATATTTTGACTCTTTTTTTTTTGAGTCGGAGTCTCGCACTGTCGCCTGGGCTGAAATGCAATGGCGCAATCTCAGCTCACTGCAACTTCCGCCTCCTGAGTTCAAGTGATTCTCCTGCCTCAGCCTCCTGAGTAGTTGGGATTACAGGTGCCTGCCACCACCCTCGGCTAATTTTTTGTATTTTCAGTAGAGACAGGGTTTCACTATGTTGGTCAGGCTGGTCTCAAACTCCTGACCTCGTGATCCGCCCACCTCAGCCTCCCAAAGTGCTGGGATTATAGGCATGAGCCACTGCTCCTGGCCTCTTGACTCTTTTTATTAGTATGCACACTCCTAAGTAACTAAGAGCCATAAACAATAGCATTAAAGGTATATTAGTACTAAAATTAATATTAATAATCAATTAATCAAAAATGCCTACAACAATGTGGTTATAATATGGTACTAATGTTTACATGCCTAATTGCTAAATGTAGCAACTCCAGCTCCAATTGCATGTAGAAGAAATATATTTAAGAGTCAAAAGACAAGTTAAACCTTAATTTCCCACACCCCAACCCCCAAAAGTTAAATTAGCAAGCAGAAAGCACAACCAAATCTAGCTGATTTTCAATTCTATTTGTTTCCTCAAACACTTATGAGAAAAGACAAGCAATGTAATGTCCTTGATACTGTAAGTTTACAAAGATGTTTAAGACATAATCCTCTGGCTGTGCGAGGTGGCTCATGCATATTACATGAGCACTTTGGGAGGCCCAGGCAGGAGGATTGCTTAAGCCTAGGAGTTTGAGACCAGGCCTAGGCAACATAGTGAGACCCCCATCTCTACCAAAAATTTAAAAATTAGCCAGGTATGGTGGTACACACCTATAGTCCCAGCTACTGAGGAGGCTGAGTTGGGAGGATCTCTTGAACCCAGGAGGTCGAGGCTGCAGTGAGCTGTGATTGTACCACTGCACTCCAGCCAAGGTGACAAGAGTGAGACCCTGTCTCAAGAGAAAAGAAAAGAAAGGAAAAAGAAAAGAAAAGAAAAGAAAAGAAAAAGACACAATCCTCAGACTCAAACAACTTGCCATAAAAAAACAAGTATGTAAAGAAACTGCTGTATAAAGGACAATCTTCTCCACAAGAAAAGTCCATAGTGGGTTGCTGTGGGATGCAAAGCAGAATTGAGGACAACTACTACTGTTTGTTTAAAAAAAGTAGATCACTAAAGGTTCTAGAATTGTCATGTGGTAGCATTTGAGAGGGCTTTAGTGGGTTTGTGGGGCTAAACAGAAAGAGCCAGCATGAATAGGCATACAAGGAAATGAGGTATGGGGCACAGTGAGGGAGTAAGGAGCCTAGTTTTCCATGGTATGAGGTACAAGGTGAGGATAAGTAGAAGAAAAGGCTAGAACATGCAATAGAAGCCATGTTGGGGATGGCCTTAACTGTATCCATGCATTCCCATGCTGCTATGAAGAAATACCCGACACTGGGTAATTTATAAAGAAAAAAAAGGTTTAATTGACTCACAGTTCTGCAGGACTGGGAAGGCCTCAGTAAACTTACAATCATGGCAGAAGGCACCTCTTCACAGGGTGGCAGGAGGGAGAATGAGTGCAAGCAGGAGAAATGCGAGATGCTTATAAAACCATCAGATCTCAAGAGAACTCTCTCACAATCATGAGTACAGCATGGGGGAAACTGCCCCCATGATTTGATCCCCACCGGATCCCTCCCACGACACATGTCACATGGAGCCCTCAGGAGACTTAGAATCTAGGGGGAAAGAAGGTAATCATAGTTTAGGTGGTCAAGAATTCTGATGGAGGTGAGCACAGGATGTTGGCAGGGTCCCGGAGGAGGTGACACTTGGGTTGAGCCTTGAGGGAGGAGTAGGGCTTGGTCAAAGGAAGAAGTGTGGAAAAGGTAATCTGATCAGAAGGAATAGCTGGTGCAAAACTGCAAAGCTCTTCAACAACCTGACACATTCAGGTCTGTAAGAAGCTCTAGAAAGAGGTGAATTGAGCCTTCTTTAAAAATGAAAAAGAATCACAGCCATTTATTAACTACTCTGTATGTGCTGGGTACTATTCTATACACACAAGAATTCATTTAATTCTCTTAACTTGGCGGGGCACCATGGCTCACACCTGTAATCCCAGCACTTTGGGAGGCTGAGGCAGGTGGATCACTTAAGTTGAGGAGTTCGAGACCAGCCTGGGCAACATGGTGAAACCTCATCTCTATGAAAAATACAAAAAATTAGGCAGGCATGGTTGTGCCTGCCTGTAGTCCCAGCTACTTGGGAGGCTGAGGCAGGAGAATTCCTTGAGCTCGGGAGGTCAAGGCTGTAGTGAGCCGTGATCATGCCACTGCACTCCAACCTGGGCAACAGAGCAAGACCTTGTCTCAAAAAAAAAAAAAATTATCTTAACTCTATGAAGCAGGCACAGCTTTTCCCATTTTACAGAGGAACAAACTGACTTTGAGTGCTTCAGAAATTTGCTTCTCAGAGTCACACAGCTGTCACCAATGATTAGTGACTTCAAGCCTACATCTTTCTGACTGGAAAACCAATTTGTATTAAGCCCTGAAGGATGGGAAAGAGTGAGTCATACAACAAAAAAGTGGAACAAGCATTCAAGGCAGAGGAAACCTGAAGACATATGTGTGTTAGTGGAGGAAGACCAACTAGAAGCAGTTTGGAAGCACCACATATGAAGTACACAGCTGGGGGCAGCAGAGGGGTCTGTGTGCTCGAGGGTGGGACAGGGCACGGGGAAGGTTAAGAATTGGAGAGAGAAAGTGGCAATTAATTGAGTTCCACTTTGGACATGCTGAGTTGGAGATGCATGTAGAACAACTGCCTGGAGATGTCAAATAGCTGCTGAGTTATAGTTCTAGGCTCAGAAGAAAGGTCTGGGCATTGAATAAAAATTTGACCTATAGATCTAGGCAGGAAAACAAATCATCATCACAAGCATTGACTGTTAACCAGGCACAGCACCTAATGCTACCTATGCATTTTCTGTTTAACACTCTCAACAGCCATACAGAGTAGGTAACTTATGAGCCTCATTTTACAGACAATGACTCTAAGCCACAAGGACATTCAGTAGCCTGCCTAGGGTCATAAAGGATCTGCATACTTCTACATTCAGTTTCCAAACTTTTGTGACTGAGATCCGCAGCAGAAATGTATTTTATGTTGCAGTCCAGTAATAGATACATATATTTCACTGAAACAAAGGTTGCATGAGATCACATTTAGCCCGATGCCCTCTGCTATTTCCTATTCTATTTCATTTTTCAGTAAACTGGCTGCAACTCACTAACTTGATTCACAACCCGCTCATGAAGCCCACAGTTTGAGAATCGCTATCCAACACCTTCTTTCCTCCCACCCCTGAATCACAGTGTGACTGCAAGGATAAAGGGAGATGCAAGCAACATCATAGATGTCAAGGAGAAAACTGCACTTCTGAGTGGTTGTGAGTCTTGAGCATAAAATGATGAGAATTCAATCTCTTCTGCCAAATAATGCCCCAAGGACATGTCTGTGGAAGCTAGCTCTTCCGCAGTGACTCATTTACACCTGTCAGGAGTATTTATGGGGATTGAAGCCATTATTGCTGCCAAGCTTTCTCACTGTATGGTGCAGGAAAAGATGCAGATGCACTTAACTTTGAAGAATTTTAAAGTTGTTAGTTCTAAAATTGCTATGGTATTACATTAGAGCAGGATTTGGGCACATATCCCAAAGCAAAGCAGCCCGGTGCCTGTACTCCCCTTGCATGTAATTCCTGCAAACAGTGATTGCAACAGGAAATCATACCTCCGTGGCAGAAATTATGCAATGCAACATTTAACATCTCTCTCAGCAGGAAATGGTTTTGCTGGCAGGAGTTTTGGAATTAACCATAAAAAGATATCATAGACCCTGAATGTATGCATCCATCCTTCCTTCTACTTCATAGGAAGAGAGGAAATGTTCCTTCCCACCAAAATTGAAGCATTCTCAGTGGCCCACCTGCCTCCCTACCACCTCCACGCCTCACTCCTTCAACCCTTTCCTCTTTAACACCATCATCTCCTCCTTTCCCATGGGTTTCTTCCTTTCTGACTTCAAATACACATTGGTTTCCTCTAAAAAAACAAAAAAGCACCTCAGCAACAAAGAATTTTGGGGGTGATATAATTGGTCCTATCTCAACAGTAGTCATGGTTACAGAACTATATTCATTTGTCAAAATTCACAGAATTGAACATCAGAAAAGGTGAATTTGACTGTAAGTAAAGTAATCAATATCTCAAAAAGAAAACCCCACAACTTTCCAATAAAAACCCCCCACACCATTTTCTAAATCCTGCCACCCTGTAATTATCATCTGACTTCCTTCCTTCCTTTCTTTGGCACTTTCTTTTCCCCATGTCCTCATTTTAGCTAAACCAAAGTCTTCTCCCAGTCGTCCCTCTTCTCCTCCCACCTTCTACTGGAAACTCTTTTTCTTTGGCTTTGGAAGTAGAGAACTTTACCATTTCTCCTCTACTTTAAATGCTTCTTATCCTTATTCTTAGCAATCTTCTAACTCCGGGAATTTGCCAAAACATCAAGCCACTGCTCTTCTCCTACATTCACTCACTCAGAGGCCGCACCCACTCTTGTGATTAGATGACTGCTGGAATGCATTTGACTTCCAAATCTATGTCTAGAGAGGGGGCAGCTGGCTTAGGTTTCCAGTGGCCCAGGGGACAGCTCCACCCGGCTCTGTCACCACCTCCAATTCAGCACCTGCAGCTCTGAGTCTCCCCCTGCTGCCTTTGCTAGCCACTCTCACTGGAGTGGCTGACCTTATCACTGGAGCTTCTCTCCCAGGGCCAGAAACCCTGAAGACACCACTCAGCCCCTAAGTCAGGTACAAAGGAGAAAGGAGACATGGGAATGTTCTGTAAACTGTTATGTTCTAGACTTAACGACACATTACCATTGCTACTACTTAAATCTTTTCAACTCTTCCTTTGAAATGTGTCTTGATTTTATCTACTTTTCTCCACCCCCGCCCCAACCTATGGCCTCTAGTTCCCTCCCTTCCTTCCAGCATATTCTGCATGCTGGGGTCAGTCCACTCTCACTAAAACACCTCTTTGCCTCTCACTGTGCTGGTCACGACTCAATTTTTTTTATTTTTGAAAATTTATTATTTATTTATTGTTTTGAGATGCAGCCTCACTCTGTCACCAGGCTGGAGCGCAGTGGCATGATCTTGGCTCACTGCAACCTCTGCCTCCCAGGTTCAAACGATTCTTCTGCCTCAGCCTGCCAAGTAGCTGGGACTACAGGCGTGCGCCACCACGACCAGCTAATTTTTGTATTTTTAGTAGAGACGGGGTTTCACCATGTTGGCCAGGCTGGTCTCGATCCATCTGCCTGCCTCGGCCTCCCAAAGTGCTGGGATTACAGGCGTCAGCCACCTCGCCTGGCTACTCATGACTCTTTAAAGGTGGCTGTTAGAGTTGAATTGTGTCCCCCTCCCTCCAAAAAGATATATTGATGTCTCCCAGTACCTCAGATTGTGACTGTATTTGGAAATACTACAAGTTGAGTATCTTTTATCCTAATGCTTGGGGCCGGAAGTATTTTTGGATTTTGGTTTTTTTTCATATTTTGGAATATGTGCAGATACTGACTGGTTGAGCATCCGCAATCCAAAAGACTGAAATCCGAAATGCTCCAATGAGCATTTCCTTTGAGCATCATGTCAGCACCCAAAATGTTTTGGACTTGGAGCATTTCAGATTTTTGGATTTGGGATGCTCAACCTGTACAGTGTAGGTCTTTAGGGAGGTAATCAAGTTAAAATGAAGTCATTAGAGTGGGCCCTAATCCAATATGACTGATGTCCTTACAAAAAGGGGGAATTTGGACACAGAGACAGGCATGGAGGGACGATTATGTGAAGACACAGAACACTATTTATAAGCCAAGGGAAGCGTGGGACAGCCGGATGCTAGGACAGAGGCATGGAGCAGATTCTCCCTCATGCCGCCACCCTTTAGAGCACCTAAGCATCAAGTCTGTATTTCTCCAATAGGCACTGAAGATCCTCTTTGATTCCACCTCCTTATTTCACCTCAATGCCCACGACTTCCTTGCCTAGACCTGCTCAGTCCCTCCTCCCATCAGATGTGTCTGGCTCCTAATCCCTGTCTGGAAAATGACTCTCCACCTTTGCTTGGGTTGTTCCCAATGCCCATTGTGCCCTTCCCACTTCCCTCTTCCATCTAAATCTTGCACATTCTTTAAGTTCTAACTTTAGTCCCTCTTCCTCAATTATATTATCCTTGATTTATTACCTTATTGTGTTCTCTCTCTTTTCTGAACCATCATTGTACTTAATGTCTGTATCATATGAGTTGACACTTGATTGTCTTGTTCACATGACTCCCTAATGGTTTCCTATGTGATATTCTTGGGTCTAGAGTTAAATTTAAAGTAAACAATCTCTATTGAAAACCACTTTTCCAGACACTTTCCTAGATTTGTTTTCTCAACAAAACATCCTTTCTTCTAGAGCTTCCCACAATTCTTGTATCCATTTATCATATGTCAACCAATCAAGTATACTTGAGCGTGTATTTTAGTGAGAAAGACATCCTAGGTGTGAGTCCTGACTCCCCCTTTACTGGAAAAGTCACTTGACTTCTTGGAAACTTAGTTTCCTCGCTTCTAAGATGTTACCTCTCAGGGACATTGTCAAGATAAGATGGAATTATTTCTGTGAAAGTGATTTTTAAACAGTAAAGCCTTGCTCAAATGAGAGGTTAAATCATTATTATGATCTCAGTTCCAAGTGAGCTCAGCTAGTTACCTGCTATGTTGATGAAATTATAGGCTTGAACCAAGTGAGCTGGTTCTTCTAGATTTGTGCCACAGGGGCCAGTAAATTTCATAACTAATAAAAATTGATAGGATGGATGGAGAAAACTACAAAGCATATCCTGGTGGGTCAACAGGGTTATCTTCATAAATAAAAGACAGATAGCATACTGTCACCTCAATCTCCCTTAAGGCATGCAGTATCCCAGATTCTCAGGAGAAACTGACAGTCCCCATATTTCCAGCTGTGGTACAATAAATCAACAAGGTAATATGTTATGCCTGAGACAAGTGTTTGTTTGGTGTGTTTTTTGTTTTTGTAACTGAATTCTACTGGTTTTGAGACTGAACATGGGCTGGGTGCAGTGGCTCATGCCTGTAATACCAGCACTTTGGGGAGGTGGAGGCAGGCAGATCGCTTGAGCCCAAGAGTTGGAGACCAGCCTGGACAGCATGTCAAAACCCTGTCCTGCAAAAAATATACAAAAAGTAGCCAGTCATGGTGGCATGCACCTGCAGTTCCAGCTACTCAGGAGGCTGAGATGGGAGGATCGCTTGAGCCCTGGAGGCAAAGGCTGCAGTGAGCCATGATCAAGCCACTGTACTCCAGCCTGGGCAGCAGAGCAAGACCTTGTCTCTTAAAAAAAAAAAAATAGTGTGGATGGCAAACGTATTGAGGCTGTAAGTACCGTAGCAGTCATCATGTGTAAAATTCAGAAAGCCAGGGCCTAGGCCCCTAGAGACTGAAAGACAGATCTAGGACACGGGCAGGGGTGTATGTGCCTTGCCTTCTTCTCTCAGGTTAGCCTGTGAACTCCTGTCCCCCTCGGCCCCCATCAATAGATAGTAGCTGAATGAACTGGCTGAATAAGGAAGATTGAAGACTAAACTCTGCAGAGGTAGAAAGACCTGGCAGTACTTGGTGAATGCATTTATCCAAGGGACTTGAACGAGAGAAAATGCTTAGAAAAAAAATCTAACGAAAGAAATGTATTTAGTTCTATCGAGATTTAGTTTTAGCATGGAGTATACTGTGTGCAATAAGCACCAAAGATGCCAAGAATATTTTGTACTGCATTACAAATGAAAACCAGCTTCCGTGCAGATGGGATTCAGAATTTCATACCCTGGCAAATCTGTCTTCCTTCTATTACAGAAACTACTTCAACTGTTCCAAGCAAATGCTTAATAATTATTTCCCCTTCTTGATGTTTAAAGGCTTTTTAACAAGAAAAATGAATTTGATTTCTAGTAGATACTGTTTAAAAATTCAGAATCTGGCCAGGTGCGATGGCTCATGCCTGTAATCCCAGCACTTTGGGAGGCCGAGGCAGGTGGATCACCTGAGGTCAGGAATTTGAGACGAGCCTGGGCAACACGGCAAAACCCTGTCTCTACCAAAAAATACAAAAATTAACCAGGCATGGGACCTGTAGTCCCAGCTACTTGGGAGGCTGAGGCAGGATAATTGTTTAAACCCGGGAGGCGGAGGTTGCAGTGAGCAGAGATCGCACCACTGCACTCCAGCCTGAGTGACAGTGTGAGACTCTGTCTCAAACAAAACAAAACAAGTCAAAACGAAACAAAAAAATTCAGAATATTTGTTTAAGTGAAACAATATATGTGGACTACAAGAAAAATGCTTATAGAGGAAATCCCTAAGAAATCGAATTTCTTTGTCCTTTAATGAAATTGTGTTAAAAATGAGTAAAATATACTTTCTTCTCCAAGGTCTGTAGCTTAAGCAGAGACTTTAGAGTAAATGTCACAAGAAAAACCAGCACTTTGCACAGGGCCCCACGTACCCTCACTCCCACCTCTTCCCTTTCCAGGCTCCCAGATCTTTTCCTGTTGTTTTAGTGGGTGGTTTGTGGTCTCTGAGTGGATTTTAGCCTTCAGTCATCGGTTGCTTTATACGTGAGGTTACTAGATTGAGACACCATTTGTGGGGGGAAAAGGATGAAGGATACTCAAAGGCTAATTGCTACTTGAAGGCAGAAAATAGGGAAAAACAGCAAAAAGACTGCAGTTAGCCTCTGCTCATCCTTCCTCTAAATAAATGGTCACTTGATTGTACATGACTATGACTGCCGCGTGACCTGGGGCAAAAGAGAACATTTATCATTGAAGGCTCATTTGCTGTACAGCGTGTGTGCCACAACAGATGGACAAAGCATTGTTTTTATAAGATGGAAAGCAGCATTGTAAGAAAGAATTCTGTTTAATGGTGGCAGGAGTCTGGAGACCATATTCTGTAACTGTTGAATTGAGTTTTGATTGCTGGCTTTGTTATTGGCTAAGATTGAGAAGCTAAAGATACCCAGTTATTGCCATTTGTTTTCTGCAGCAACCCAGATCCGAACATCCAGAATACCCTCTACGAAACTGTATAGATTAAGTGTTATCTTTTAGCGAGCCACATTTAGTTTTTCTCCCTGGAGTTACTTTTAAAGCTATTCAGGACAGCTCATCTTAGCCATCAGACCCACACATGGGGTAAAGTGGCTGAGGACCCATGGGTACTTCTGTTCTAGAGGTCTCAGGAAGTACTAAGTATAGGGCCAGGATTTGGGTGGTGAAGGAAATGGAGTGACAAGGATGATTCATACTTGGAAGGAGAGGAAGGACAGGGTGTCAGATGAAGCATCCACACAGTTGACAAGGGTGTTTATGGATAGAGAGTAGCTGATCCTGTGGCCTTCAGCCCATTTGGGTACCCTTTTATCCACTTTCTGTGGGTGACATCTCACTGGTCACGCTAAATAAGGGGATATCCAAAATGTTTACTTCGCATAAGAGGTTCACTTTTATAATCTCTTTCTTGGACTAACATGGTAATTATTTTGCCTTCCATAAGCAGAATCCAGTGCATTGGAGGGAACCCTGGACATATGCTGAACAATAAGGAGAGCCAGCTGCCCAATATCTGCAAGGAGATTGTTCACAGCCAATACCGAGGAGAGTACTAAACACTGAGATAGATTTTGCTGCTGCTAAGGCAAACTATTATAATCTTGAACTACAAAAAGCGGGGGAGGGTGTGGTCAGACAAGTTCCAGCCCTTCCCCTTCCCCCACCATGACTCTAGTTCACAATTTTAATTCCCAGGAGAATCACAACTGAAGCAGACTACCCAGCTGAAAAGAGAGACGTGCACCCTCCATTGTGTCCAATAGCTGAGGACATACGGGCAAGCTAACGAGATGCAAATCCCATTCAATGTGGCTAATGCCCTTTTTATCCCTAACCAAAGACCTAGAAAACTCATTCAATTTGGTGGTTTTCTAATATAGCTTCCACACCATCGTTGAATGTGCAACACTAATTTAAATAAATTGCATGTAGTCAGCAAAAGAGACAGTTCTGTCTTTGTGTAGTCTGAGAGGCTATTTTGGCGATTAAAGAGACCCGATCTCATCCTCTTAATTAAGGCAAAGCTCAAGCCTATCTACTATTCACTCTCAAGCAGTGTTTCTATGATGGGTTATTTTGGCGCTACCCAGGGCCACTGTTGAATTGTCTGGTAGCTGAGGAGAGGACATTTTAGGAATAGAACCGTGCACTGAACAAGAGTCTTGGGGTTAAGTAGCAAATGCCACTTCATCCAGGTAATGCTGAAAGAGCCTTTTACCAACACACCTTTCACTGCCAAAGGAAACAAATTTTAGGTTGGGGCCAACTTGATTCTCTCAGAAAGTGTTTGTAGCTGAACCACTGCAGAGGGTTCTACCACAGCCAGAGCTGATTTCCTCACTGAGGAAAGACTTGAGGAGCTCAGAGAACAGGAGGGAGAAGGATGCTCACTAATGCCTAAAGGTACCACCAGGACTTGAAAATTCCTTCAAGACTTGTTCTTTGCCTTTTAGGCTATTGTACTTTCCAGATCATAAGCAGGGGGCTCAGAACATAGTATTTGCTCAATAAATCCTTGTTGGCTAGCAGACTGGGGCATGGGCTTGAAAATTATCTTTCCTTTCTTCTACCTGATTGGGCAGAACATTCTAAAAGGAAACTTGTTCTAATCTTTCACATTTTTGGTCTTAGATCTCTCTTTTCAGGAGTCTTAATCTGAGAGGCTTTCCAATTTGTTTGCTTCCTGGTCCTCAAAGTCATCATCCCCGAAGGTCAGCAATGAGAGTACTAAAACGCTAGTCCTCATCCTAATGGGAGATAAGTAGGTCAGCAACTCTGTGCCTCTCTTAATATTTTAGGTTGGACCAATGACTGCATTAAACTAAAAAAGGCGTCCCTCAAACAGCAGACATTCTGAAACCTGAAAAACACTTACACTGAAGAGATGTCAGTTTAAAAGGGTATTCATCTCTCAAAACTCCAACTGCCTGCAGCATATTTCTACAAATTGCCCTTGTTCCAGAAGTCAGCATGTCTTAGGTTAGTTCGTTTTACTGCAGTTAAGACAGAAGCAAAACCTGTATCCACAGCTTCTATTTGAGCACTTCTAAACAGTCTTAAATTAATAAAGATGCTGACATATATGGTATTTATTTTAGACTCAAGAACACATTTTAGTCTCTTGGGCCAGCCCTTCTGCATAGACAAATTTCATCTACATATACAGTATATTATGAAAAAGGAAAATATTGAAAATTCTAGGGAGAGAATATTTCTGTTCAAGGATTAAGATGAGATTCAAAGGCAGGACATAGGCCAGGCACAGTGGCTCGAGCCTATAATTCCAGCACTTTGGGAGGCCAAAGCAGGAGGATTGCTTGAGGCCAGGAGCTCAAGGACAGCTTGGGCAACACAGTGAGCCACTGTCTCTACAAAAAATTTAAAAATTAGTCGGGTGTGGTGGCACATGCCTGTAGTCCCAGCTACTCGGGAGGCTGAGGTGGGAGAATAGCTTGAGCCCAGGAGTTGGAAGATGCTGTGAACCATGATTGTGCCACTGCACTGAAGTTTGGGTGACAAAGTCTCTAAAAAAATTAAAAAAGTAAAACCACAAACAACCAAAGGCAGGATATGCAAAAATAATATAGCGTTACATAGGAAATAACTATATTAGTAATACAAAATATTTGCCAACAAAAGCTCACTTTCTGAGATTTAATTTCCAGTAAACCCTCTAACCATACATAAAAGCTGAGTGTCTAGTAAATAGTGGCTCAAGGTCATGAAATTCACTCCCCTTAATTTCCTCTCTACCTATTTATCTCAAAGGTTGCACTTGCCAATTCTTTTAACCCTTAAACCAAATACTACCCATTTCAAAAGACCTGTCATTTTCTTCCAGAGAAAATACTAAATTAAACTCATAGGTGGACTTTTTCAGACATGCCAACTAACAGGTCAGGCTGAAGGTCTAAAATGTAAAAGTATAAGAAATAATGTTGGGACTAAGTATGATATTATGCCAGCCTTTGCCTCAAGCCTTTTAAGATAACATTCACAGAATAGCCTCTCAAACAGACATTCTAAGCAGGAAGTCTTTTCTCAAGAAACCAAAAAGGAAAACCATCATTGTTCCTGTCTTCATCATTAGTAGCAGCATCAAAAGCATTTGCCAGGTGCTGACCCGCCAGCATAAACTTTTAGTACCTGTACAAATCAAGCTAAAGCTGTCTTTGGGAATTTATAATCTAAGACATATTTGATATAAACCAAGCAGTGTCATTTTTCATGGAGTGGTGAAAGAAGGAGAAAGTTCTGATAATGTTATTGCACCAGGATTTCAGGGCTTCAAGATGTCATTTTCAAAGCTTCCTAGGGCCTTGCTATATTACCCCGTTGAGTTATCATCATTGAATAGGCCAAATTCTTACCAATCAGCACTAGGAGAGGTAGTGAGTAACTGCTGCTCAGAAAAGGCCAAGTAAACAGATCATTCCTGACACACAAAATAACTATCCAACCTCTTTCTAGAGTAGTCAATGGTCAGAAATTGAAAGGATAGAATTCAACCCAAGGACAGACTAAAGAAAAGGTCAGAGAATAAGATGTTAATTCTCACTGAGACTATCTAACCCATTTATATTTAGTGTCTTATAACAACTTCCTTCCATTTGTATTTAAATTTGAAGTAGAAATCAGGAAGCTGTGCAAGTCAGCATTAAAATGATGATGCAAGAAAAATATTCAAGATGTGAGTGTGATGCTTATTTTTGACAGATACAATGGAATTTCTAGTGGAGGATTTAATCGACATAGAATTTTCCAGGAAAATAAAGGCAGGAATTGGAAAAATGTTCTCAGGGAATACTGATAAGAGACAGTCATCTAAACAAACCTTGTCAGTGATGGTATCCTAGATTCCATGATCCAAAGTAGAGTTATGGTGGGTAGCTAAATGGGATTATACAGAAAAGGATAGAAAGAAAAGGGAGGCTGCCAGGAAAAGAATGAGTTAAAAGAATGAGTTAATGAGGGCAAATGGGATGTGGTGTTCTGTACCTAGCCCAGAACAGGCCAGATTACCTCACCTAGAAGACTTTTCATTAGTGTAGATGGCCCTGCCCAACTCAGCCCTAAGGGAATCCATATTTACCCTAAGGGAGAAGGGAGGTGGAGTTCATTTTAATTGATCCTTCATTGTTATATGAACCTAAGTTGGAAAGGGAAGGAAATGCAATGTGTATCACAAAGAATTTAATCAAGTACTTTCTATCTCTAGTTAAGGGTGAGGTAGTCAAAGCCTTCTGACTCACCCCTGCTCTTTTGTTTCTTGGAGCTGAAGGGCAGGTACCAGTTCTGCCAAAGATGAAATCAAGTGGAAATTTGAGAGGAAAGGTCACGTGGAGCTGGGAAGCAGTGGACCCAGCACAATACCTCCTCCCACCCCCTGGGAAAGGAACCCTCAATACAAGTTGTCAGGCAACAACTCTTAACTACATTCTAAAAATATTGATGTAAAATTTAATCTCCATTTTTAGAAGAAAACAATGAAAAAAGGCATAGATGTGCATACTGCTGCAAGAACAACCCCTCACACCCTAAGGGGCTAGCCTAATCTTTGGATGGCTGGAATTCTAAGTGCTCTAAAATTAACTCTTTAAAAGTCTTTGAATCTAAAGCTGTCTCTGTTCCATAAATTAAAGCTGGTGATTTCCCGGGAAAGCAAAGGGGCCTGGTGGAAGGCATCAGTTGCTCCATGGGGTTGGATTACAGGTCGGAACGAATTTGGGGTTCACAGAATGCTTTGGATCTGACAGGCATTTAGTGAGACGAACCGTCCTCCACACTCCCAGCTTTTTATCTACTTTGTCAGCGGCATGCAGCTTTCAACACCGGGCAAGTATTTTCAGAATACATACACCAACCAGAAAGAGCCCTGCAAACCCTCAAAAGTCACCATCTCCCTGCTCTAATAAGCCCGAACTGTAGTACGAGCTGGGGCAAAGAATAAAAGAGGAGGCTAAAGGAAGGAAAGTAGTTTTAGGAAAATGACCAAACATGTTTTTAAAGAAAAAGAGGAAGCCGATCTTTTCAAAATTACTACAGTCCTGCTTTCAGATTGCTCAGTATCTTTTTTTCTCTGCAAAATGACTTTGAAAGCTATCCTGCATGACGCGGGTGACTGAGGACGGCAGAGGTCCGCGACTCCCGGGAGAGCTCCGCGGGCAGGGCCTGGGAGCCGCGCGGCGTCCAGGTTCTGCTGCTCAGCGGCCCTGTTGCTGACAGCTCTGCGCCGCGCCGACCCACTGCACCCGCTCCAGGCCGGCTGCCAGCCCCGCAGCGCCCGTCCGGAAATGGACTCTGGGCAGGCTTCCCGCACGCTCCGGCCACCGGACCTTGCCCGGGCGGGAGGGTTCCCAGGGCACAGCCCGAGCCACGACTTACTACGAGACGGCGACTCGCTTCGCGGGAACAGCGCGCGCTCCGGAGTGGCCTGGGCCTCACCCCTCGGGCCTGGGCCTCGCTGCGCGCCCAGCCAGGGCCGAGGTGCCCTAGCTCACGACATCAGGCAGCGGGCAGGCGACCCAGGACTTCGCACCCGCTCCTCTCCGCCTCCTCCTTCCTCCCCCGCAGCCGCCCTTCTGCAGCCTCAGGCGATCTGAAGGTGAAACTGCTTTATCTAAGGCCGTTTTCTGAGCGAGCGGCTCAAGTAGTAAAAACAGACCAGAGGAGGAAAGTCGGCCTCCTGGCTGGACTCTGAATGGCTTTCACCGGGTGTCCTCGGCTCCAAATGGCTCTCTGGTCGGTCATTTCCATTCTGTGCTCAGGCCCAGAGCAGTAAGACATCTGTTTTCCATCAACCGCGAGGCAGAGGCAAATCCTGGATTAGATGTCGCCCGGCGCTCGCAGCATTTTCAGGCCCGGCACGACAGCTAATCCCCGCACAAAGAGCATGAAAACAAACACGCAAGTTGGTGCCCGGTTCCAGAAAGATTTCCCTGTGCGATGACTAAAGGCTCCTGCAGCCAGCCTCCAAGATGGGCCAATCGCAGCACAGCGGGGCAGGAAAAGGGGGTTGGCTCGGTTTTCAGGTCTCCTGAAAACGCATCCTCTTCCCCAGTCCCGTAAACACAAATGCAAACACTGTCCTTTCAGGGGAAGTGAGTTCAGCTTGACGGGGCTGAGAGAGCTGAAACGGGCCGGCCTCCATCATGACAGTTCATTATAAGCAAGCACAGCTCCTGAATGTGAGCGAAGAAAAAAAATCTCTGCGTTTCCTTCAAGTGAATGTTAACAAATGAGTCAAGTATGATACAATCAGTCCTGCAAATGATAAGTCATGACTGTCTCTTTAGGCCTTTTTACTCCGTAAAAGAAGTTGGAGTAGGGACCCTTCCTCTCTCTCTCTTTCTTTCCTTCCTTCCTTCCTCCCTCCCTTCCTCGCTCTTTCCTTCCTTCCTTGCTCTTTCCTTCCTTCTTTCCTTCCTTCCTCTCTCCCTTCCTTCCTTCCTCCCTTCCTCCCTCTTTCCTTCCTTCCTCACTCTTTCGTTCCTTTTCTCCCTCTCCCTCCCTCCCTTCCTTCCTCCCTCCTTCCTTCCTTCCTCCTTCCCTTCCTTCCTCTCTCTCTTCTTTCCTCGCGCTTTCCTTCCTTCCTTCATTTCCTCCCTCCCTCCCTTCCTTCCTCGCTCTTTCCTTCCTTTTCTTCTTTCCTTCCTTCCTTATTTCCTCCCTCCCTCCCTTCCTCACTCTTTCCTTCCTTCTTTTCTTCTTTCCTTCCTTCCTTCCTCCCTCCATCCTTCCTTCCTTACCTTCCTCCCTTCCTTCATCTGTCACAAGGCTGAGAATACAAAGCTTGAAAAAGCATGAGTCTACTTTCAAGGGCCTTATCTTCTTTGGGGGGCAGAGGGGAAGGTGGGGAGGGACGACCTACAATTTCAAAACACTATGAAATGATAGAAGTGTATGGACAGAGGGTTATAGGAACATAGAAGCAGGAAACGAAGAAAGGCCTCCCAGAGGAGGCTGCATTTGTTTGGTTTTTTTGTTTGTTTGTTTTGAGACAGGGTCTCGTTCTGTTGTCCAGACTGGAGTGCAGTGTCACAAACATGGCTCACTGCAGCCTTGACTTCCTGGGCTCAAGCGATCTTCACATCTCAGCCTCCCCAGTAATTGGGATTATAGGCACACCGCCACACTTGGACATTTCATATAAATGAAATCATATAATATGTGTGGGCTTTTGTGTCTGGCTTCTTTCACTCAGCAAAATTTTTTCAGTTTACTCAGGAATCCACGTAGCATGTGTCAGTACTTCATGACTTTTTATTGCCAAAGAATGTTATATTATATAAATACACCACATTTTGCTTATCTGTTTAACATTTGATAGACATTTGGATCGTTTCCACTGGTGGCTAGTATAAATAATGCTGCTATGAACATTTGAATGCAAGTTTTTGAGTTGACATATATTTTCATTTCTCTTGGGTATTTACCTAGGAGTGAAATCACTGGGTCATACGCTAATTCTATGTTTAACATTTTGAGGAACTGCCAGACTGTTTTCCAAAGCAGTTACACCATTTTACACTACCACAAGTAATGTATGAGGGTTTCAATTTCTTGGTGGGTGTGAAGTGGTATTTCATTATGGTTTTGCTTTGCATTTCCCTAATGACAAATAATGTTAAGTATCTTTTCATGTGCTTGTTGACCATTTGGGTATCTTCCTTGTAGAAATGCCTACTGAAATGTTTGCCCATTTAAAAAAATTTATTTTTAAAATTAGGGTTAAATATATATAACAAAACTTACTATTTGTTACATCAAAATGTATATATACTGTGAACAGTACATTTACATTGTTGCAAAACCAACACTATTTGCCCATTTTAAATTGTCCTTTTAAACTTGTCTTTTATTGTTGAGTTCTCACATTCTGGATGTGAGTTCCTTATCAGATGTGTGCTTTGAAAATATTTGTTCTTATTCTACGGGCTGTCCTTTCACTTTCTTGATGGTGTCCTAATAGTCTTTAATACATTTCTTTTACTTTCAGACTAACTAGAGTTAGTCTGTTGTCAGAAGCTAAGAACACTCACAGATGCACTGTGTCCTGTTAAATGCCATCCTTTTCTATAACAACCTGTCTCTCATCATATCTTCTATCCAATATTGCCTTAGAACTTTGATTTTTTTTTTCCTAAAGCTTTTCTCATTCTATCTGAATCCCACCTACGTCTTATATTTACTGGGCACAGACTCAAAGCATCAGCAGTCACCACCAACACAATTATGAGCAGTTACCAGTGGCCTTCCTATTTATTTCCCACTTCTAACCCAATTCTGGCTCAAAACCCTGCAGTCAAGGGCAATGAACTCCCCGTCTCTTAACTCCTTTTACACTGTTCCTCCCTTTCCTCAATTACATTGCCATAGCCACATGGGATCTTATGAGATCAACGTCCTATTTAATCTCTGGATCATCCTTAGTGCCCAGGACAGGGCTTTGCAAAATCCTGGATTACAATAAATGTGTATTAAATGGAAATGAATCTTGTGCTCTATTTCCTTCATTTTATTTTATTTTACTCATTTTATTTATTTTTATTTTTTCGAGACAGGATCTGACTCTGTCACCGAAGCTAGGGTGCAGTGGCACAACCTCGGCTCACTGCAACCTCTGCCTCCCAAGCTCAAGCCATCCTCCCACCTCAGCCTGCCGAGTAGCTGGGACCAGAGGCATGTGCCACCTCACTTGGCTAATTTTTATATTTTTCAGGGAGACAGGGTCTTACTTTGTTTCCCAGGCTGGTCTTGAACTCCTGAGCTCAAGTGATCCACCCATCTTGGCCTCCTAAAGTGTTGAGTTACAGGCGTAAGCTACCGTTCTAGGCCCATTTTTAAAATTCTAAAATAATATTTATGCAGTCCTTGATTTTAAACTTTTCTCTCAATGGCCACATGTGGAAGATGAGGGCCTGAAACTGGGTTTCAGGGCAAATCTGTGGTGTTCAATTTAGGAATGAAAAGGTGGAATTCTTTTGCAAAATAATTTTTAGAAGTTTGTGAGATGGTCAAAGAAGGTAGGGCTTCACAGATAAAGTTCTCAGGACCCATAAAGGCACTAAGTAGTATTATTTGAGGGATCAGAAGTCTAAGGTGAATTCATTTCCTGGTAGGTTTTTTTCTGGCGGATCGGGCTTTATGACTGCCACTCCTCAACAGTTGGGTCTGCTTCTTGCATGGCACTCTGAAACTTTGGATTCCAGACTAACTGAAATGCACCTCTTTGAAATAGCTGGAAAGAGCCAGTTTCATTCTGTCATAAGATCAACCAATGTTTACTGAGCACACACCTTATGTAAAACACTACCCTGGGCACACAGAGATATGAGATTCGTTTCCTATAGTAAGGAGTTGGATGACTAATGGGTGCTATGGTTAAGATAAACACAATTAACTATAATCCAAAGCAGAATGGGGGGGGTCAGGACAAGGACAATCATCTGTAATCCAAAGCAAAGCGGGGTGTTTTACTCTCCATAATAGAGGCATAAAAAACTGTTTTGAGAATTCAGGGAAGAAGTAATCACCTTTTTTTTCTTCTTTGAGTAGTAGAAAAGGCTTCCTGGAGAAGGTAGGGAAGGAGAACTAGTCTTTTGCCTAAAAATTTACAATTTCTACACCACAATCCTTACTCTTCAGTAACTCCCTTACTAGTTGGGAAGAAAGTCATACATACAAGTGGCTACAACTCAAGACCATATATGAAAAGACTCATTTGGAAGGGTCACAGAAAAATGAGAGAGCACTTCCTAAAGCCCAGGAAATACTATACGGAAAGGGTAGACTTGTAGACTTGACTTGGGACCTAAAAGATGGAAAGGATGTATTAAAATGCATGTTTTTGATAAGAGGCAATTAAATATTCTAGAAAATTTGGAAAACCCATAAAAGTATAAAGAATAAAATAGATCGGGCACAGTGGCTCACACCTGAATCCCAGCACTTTGGGAGACCAAGGTGGGAGGATCACTTGAGCTCAAGAATGGGAGGCCACCCTGGGCAACGTAGAGAGACCCTGTCTCTACAAAAAGAATAAAATAATTAGCTGAGTGTGGTGGTGCATGCCTGTAGTCCCTGCTACTTGGGAGGCTGAGGTGGGTAGATTGCTTGAGCCCAGGAGCAAAAGGCTGCAGTGAGCTGTGATTGCACCACTGCACTCCAGCCTGGGTGACAGAGCAAGACATAAAATAGAAATCATTTACAGATCCACTGCCTACAGATAAATCCATTGCCAGACATACAATATGCTTAATAAATATTTACAATTGAATAGGTGAATAAATTATATTACCATTTATAGTCTCTATTTTTTCTTGTACGCAACTGCTTTTTACAAAGGTGGTACCAATTTACATTCTCATTAGCAATGCATGAAATTAAGATACACATATTCACCAGCAGTGTTATTTTTAAATATTTGCAAATGATAGGAAGAAAATAATAACTTCCTTCTGAAATTTAGATTTATGGGATCATTGGTGATGTTGAACATTTTACATATGATCATTAACCATTACTATTTCCTTTAAATTGCCTATTCATGATCTTTGTACATTTTTCTTTGGAGAACTTGGAGAAAATCTGAAATTTTCTCAATCTTGGTTCCCCTGTGGCTATGACTGTGTGAACATCCTGCCATGGTAAGTGTGATTTACTTTCTAAAAATAAATTCTTATCCTTATTCTCTGTCTCTCCCTGCTCTCCAACATAGCCTCTAAACATAGCCAACTGCTTCATCTGGTGATCAATCAAAGAAATCATGATTTGTTGCAACACTGGAAGGACATCTTGGTGGTGTGAGAATTACTGAGAGGCAGTATGTTCAGATTGTCAAGCATCACTGAGTCACTATGACTCTCTTTTTTAAGTGCTGGTTTTAGAACTTAACTTCCTCCTATGCTGTAAAATTAAACTTCACAGCAATTCTTGCACTGACTCCCTCAGTTTCAACTGACCTGCACTTTCTTGCCTTTGAAGTGTCTGTTCCTGCTGAGTCTGGGGTGGCCTTTTCTTCATCTTCCCCTGTCCAAATCTTGCCTGTTCCTGACGAATTTCAACTGGTACCCATGGATGAGAATGACCTCTTTCTCTGAATCCCATATACTTTGTATTTCAGTGACAGCACTTCCAGCCTCCTGGGTACTTGGGTTATCTGTACATGTACAGATACCTCATCTGCTTATTACCCTGTATACTCCGTGGGGAGTTTATGTCTTCTTTATGTCTAGGGTCCCATAATTCAATTAGCAGAAACCCCAAAACATTTTACAAATTAAAAAATAAAATCATGTCATTTAACAGAAACATGAGCAGAAAAAAAGAGCCACTTTGAAAGGAAAATCAAAGCTTAATTTTCAGTTGTATTGACTGTGCTCATGGTAAGATGTTGGGGAGAAATAAAAGTTCATCTAAACAAAGTTCATCTAAATCAAAGAACTCACAGAATCTCATTGCTGTGGCCTGAATGTGTGCCTCCAACTTTGTATGTTGAAACTTAACTGCCAATGTGATAGTATTAAGAGGTTGGTGCCTTTAGGAAGTGTTTAGATCATGAGGGCTCCCCTTTCATGAACGGATTAATGCCTTTATAAAAGGACTTGAGGGAACTAGCAAGCCCTTTTGTCCTTCCATCCCCTTCACAATGTAAAGACGCTCACGGCACCACCTTGGAATCAGAGAGCAGCCCTCAGCAGACACCAAACCTCCTGGTGCCTTGCTCTTGAACTTTCCAGCCTCCAGAACTAAAAATAAATTTCTATTGTCTATAAATTCGCCAGCCTCAGGCATTTTGTTATAGTAGCACAAATGGACTTGGACATTCATCTTGAGAACTTCTGGGGATAGAAACTAAGGGAAGCATTGAGAGACATGCCTCCTTTTGTCAAAAGAATGTACAAGCTGCCCTCTTATTCTGCAGCCCTTTAAACCCTCTGCAGGAGAGGAACAGAATATCATGAAAGTTGCAACTGGAGTCTAGGGACTAAGGAAGTGAACTGGGACAAACAATTAATTTTAGATTGAACATAGAGTCAGCACAGGAAAGTAAGTACTAAAATAATATTAAAAAATAGCTGGGAAATTGACAAGAAAATTGCTACTGGCTTCCATTAGAGTAAGAGCATACTTTCTTGTAATATTTTCTTGAAATGATGATACATTGATCTTCTTTGACTAATCCATTAGCATAGAAAGATGTTTCTTAGTCTCCAGGGATGCTTACTCAATAGAGGCTCCAGGTCACATTACAGAACCATACACTGCTTCAAACCAAATATTAAGAAAGAGCACATGACAAAGCCAAGACAGAAAGAGAACAACTCTCTTTGGAGTCTTGGTGATTTTTCTCAATTGCTTGCCAAAAATCCCACTCATCATAAATCTGCTTATTTTTAATATGTGTCAGGCTTTTGAAGTTTCCAGCTAAAAACCTCATTTGCATAAACCAACAACAAAAAAATAAAAACAGGCAAAAAAGTTTTTTGAACTGTATTGCTTGGGACTAGTGTGACTGAATGTTTAATTCTCAAATTACAGATGAAAAAACAAATAAAAGGAACCATGAAAGGGTTTCTTTTGAAATCTTCTATCCACAGTGTGAAAAAAAATGATAATTGATTTATTTTCTTATTCTTTATATTAATCATAGATTTCAATGCCTGTTTTTAATTTCCAAAAGGCTATATTCCATATGGAGGGGTTTTATTTAAGAAACCTTTTTTCTTGCAAACCCCCATATGTTGAAATTTTTAATAAATATAATTCAAAAACAGAGAAGTGCACAAATCCTAAGGCAACAGCTCAACGGAATATCACAAAGGGATAGTAACAGGGTAAAAACACCATCCAGAACAAGAATTGGGATATTTCAAACACTCCAGATGCACCCCTCCCTAATGTAGTTTTGAGCTTTTTTTTTTATAGAAATATGATAAATGGCAGCAAGAGCCCAGATCAGCCCACAAAAACCAGAAAATGTACTTGGACTCTAGCAAAACGGCACCACATCAACATCAATGTTTCCATGGGGAAATGCATTTTCAGCTCTGAACAGTGATCCCAGGGTGCATGCCCCAGACTCATGATCCTTGAACCCCAAGGGTTTCCAATGTAGGGATTCTTGGTGGGTGGGCCTATGTGGAGGAGAGGAGGAGGTATGTCTAGATCTCAGTAATCAGTTCCCAGTCTACATCAGCTTCAGGGTCTAAACAAGAGAAAGTGGCACTTTAGCCAGGCATATGCCAGGTATACTGACTTAGGAAAAAGATGTCAGTTAGGGGTTCTAGTGAGGCACTGAAGTGTATGTTCGAGTTAGTGTGATTTGCAAGTTGCATCTGCCTGTATAATAGACATTCAAGAGAATTAAGAAATGTACATTTAGGGAACCAGTGTGGGTGAAGAATGCTAAGTGAGGCTAGTATATAATTGTTACTTCTGTTGCAATGACTGATCGTTGTAGATTTTCTCTTTAACACCTGATTCCAATTAAAAGCAAGCATTCTAATGTTAATAGCTTAACATTGAAAAAAGAACCTACTACAGCAATTTTATTGTGTTTTCTAGTAGTTTCCAAAATCCTCAGAAAATAAAAAACACCTAGTATGCTTGTCAAAACACAGATTTAAGGCTCCAACCCAGACCTCCTAAATCAGAACTTACCTAGGGGAGGCCTGATTATTTATGACGATCTAGCTAACAACACCTCTTGGTACTTCTTATCATCAGGAAAGTACAAGAAACACTGGCTTGGTCTAAGAAATACGAAAGAGGCATGTGTTCAGTCAAAAGTGCAACATAAACCTTAGTTGCTGTTGTCGTTATTCATAATGATGAAAATGATGTGGAACGCTGAGAGGCTGCTTTGGACAAAAATTTTCCGTAGGGTAAACAGTTCTGGTTCCAAATTTTCTTTATTGTTTCTTTTGTTCCAAGATTCTGAGTTACAAAAAGCAATTTTACAGATACCTGATACTGTCTTCAGCATATTAGATAGTTCCTCTTAAATAAAACTTGCATTTTAAAATGGACAGAAAAGAGTTTGACCCTCTTAATCTCTTAAATCCAAGCTCTCCTCAACACTATGCAGGTTATTGGAGGCTATGCTGGTCAGGTTTTACTGCCCAGGGACTTAGAGGGGCATCTCCATTTATCAGTGGCTTATCTAACTTTTAGAGTCCTTGATCAATTACACAGTGCTCATGGAAATGCAAATGAGCATGATCAATCAGTGTTATTGAAAAGCACTTTTGTAAGATGTATCAAAAACCTTTTAAATGTTTATATCTTATGCTCTAGTAATTTCACTTTAAAAATCTTTCTTCTTGAGGTACAATCAGAGGTGTGGTCACAGATATTGTCTAGACACTATCATAAGAGTACCAGCTCTGGGTTTCAATGCCAGCCCATCCACTTTTTTTTTTTCTTTTTTCCTCACTATGTCTTATGGTGCTAAGCTGCCACTTTCTAATTGTGCAATCTGGAACAAAATATGTAGCCAACTGTCCTGTGCCTCGTTTCCCTCTTCTGTTAAATGGTAATAATAGTAGGTTTGTTACAAAGATTAAATTCGTTAAATAGTAATAATAGTAGGATTTGCCAGGCACAGTGGTTCACACCTGTAATCCCAGCACTTTGGGAGGCCGAGGCGGGTGGATCACCTGAGGTCAGGAGTTCAAGACCAGCTGGCTAACATGGTGAAACCCGTCTCTACTAAAAATACAAAAGTCAGCCAGCCATGGTGGCATGCACCTGTAATCCCAGCTACTTGGAAGGCTGAGGCAGGAGAATTGCTTGAACTCGGGAGGCAGAGGTTGCAGTGAGCCAAAATCGTGCCACTGCACTCCAGCCTGGGCGACAGAGCGAGACTCTGTCTCAAAAAATAAATAAATAAGTAAAAAATAATAGTGGGATTGCTACAAAGATTAAATTAATTAAGATGCATAAAGAACTTGAAACAGAGCCCATCACTTTGTTAGCGATTCGACAAATGTTAACTATCATTATAAGCTATTATTGCAAAAACATTCATTGCTGTATTATTTGTGATAGAAAAAAATTGAAACAAGTTAAATGAACAGAAATAGAAGCATGAAGACATATTTTTGCACATTCATGCAAAAGAATATAATGTACCCTGGAGGCATCACATAATGGTTAAAAACACAGGCTCTGGAAACTGAATGCTGGCCTGCCCCTGACCAGCTGTGCGGCTTGGGACAATTTTCTCAACAATCTGAGCCTCAGTTTCCTCACCTGAAAATGGAGAAGAACAGTAATAGTGGGCTGACTGGCTCATACACATAAAGCACTTAGAACAGTTCCTGGCACACAGTCATTGCTTCATCAGTTAGTCTCTCCACTTACAGTCAAGTTGGTAGCCTGGCAGACTGGTGATATCTCATGCACACAAAGCTTCCCAGGCAGTAGCTGTGAAAGTACATGCCCTGGTAGGAGATGAACTGAACAAAGCCTAAATTTCCCTTTGTATGAATAGACAAAATGACTGATGCAAGCCCAGGCCTGGAGGCTACGTGCACAACCACCATGCAAAGGAACTGGAAAGAGTTGTTTCACTGCAGTACCAGAACAGACTGCTTTGATTAAGAGAAAAAAGAAAAGGGAATAAAGAAGACAGGCCCCCAAACAAAACCACCCACCAAAGCCACAAACAAGACTTGGCAAGAGAAAGGAGCTGAAAAGGCTTTCCTAAATCTCCAGTCTGCATCCACCTCTTTTCTTTTTCTTTCTTTTTCTTTTTTTCCTAGAGACAGAGTCTCACTTCGTTGCCCAGGCTGGACTGCAGTGGTGCAATCACAGCTCACTGCCTCGAACTCTCAGGCTCAAGCAATTCTCTCTCCTCAGCCTCCTGAATAGCTGGGACCACAGGCATACACCACCACGAGTGCAGCTTTCTTACATGGAAATATTGCGTAATGGTGAAGTCTGGGCTTTTAGTGTACTCATCATCTGAGTAATGTACATTATATCCAATAGGCAATATTTCATCCTTTATCCCCTTCCATCTTCCCACCTTTTGGAGCCTCCAATGCCTATTATTCCACTCTCTATGTCCACATATACCCACTGTGTACCTCCCACTTATAACTGAGAACATGCAGTTTTTGGCTTTCTGTTTCTGACTCATTTCACTTAGGATAATGGCCTCCAGGTTCATCCATGCTGCTGCCAAAGGCATGATTTCATTCTTTTTATGGCTGAGTAGTATTCCATGGTGTATATGTACCACACTTTAATCATCATCTGTTGACAGACACTTAGCTTGATGACTTTGCTAAAGGACAGCTTTATTTCTCATAAGGGTTGAAGCCTGCAGAGAGGCCATTCTGACAGGCTGGGAAATGTAGCCTACCGCCAGAAGCTAGAAGCAAGCACTTCCTCCTCACTGAGTTTTTGAAAGACTAAGGGAAAGAGAATAGAGAAGGGATATTTCCATCTACCGGGGAAAAGATGTGCAGTAACAAACCATCTTGGGAGACAGCCTTCTCACAGATTTAGAAAAGTATATTTAAATTTTGATGAAACTTTTCAAGTATTAAAGTTTGAGTTACAAGCACAAGAGAGGATAAAACAAATCCAAGCAGAGATTCAAATTGTCATATAAGAATTTGTAGGCTGGGTGAGGTGGTTCATGCCTGTAATCCCGCACTTTGGGAGGCCCAGGTGGGCAGAGTATTTGGGCCCAGGAGTTCAGAGACTAGCCCAGGCAACATGGTAAAATCCCATATCTACAAAAAAATAAAAAATAATTAGCCAGGCATGGTGGTGCATGCCTGTAGTCCCAGGTACTTGGGAGGCTAAGGTGGGAGAATCACCTGTCTGGGAGGTGAAGGCTGCAGTGAGCCATGATTGCACCACTGCACTCCAACCTGGGCAACAGTGTGCAACCCTGTCTCAAAAAAAAAAAAAAAAAGAAAAAGAAAAAACAAAAAAGCAAGCAGGCAAGCAAAAACAAACAAACAAATGAACTAAGATCTGCTCCCATGTTACCCCACCTTGCTCCTAAAGGTTGGATGTAGTTTCTTTTATCAAGGAGCAGGTTTACAACCAGCCTTGGAAGCCTGGAAGGTATTGAGATGTTTCTCTGACCCAGTAACCCCAATTCCTAGAAAGGACAGGGATCAGCAGTCACTACACTCTTCTTCCACCCAGCCCTGTCCAGAGCTGACCTCAGGTTACCTCACTGTCAGCAGCACCCCCTTCCTCAAGGACCCTGCCCCCAAAACCACACCTGGAAGCTTGAGACACCACCAGGTCGGTGTGCAGATGGCCGCTATGGATTCCTAGTGAGCATGGCTTGTGAGAAAAAAAGGCAGCCTCATATTGGAAGCCTGTGTTTCCTGAATGCCCCTGGACAGTGATGAGGAGGGGTGGGTAGGCTGCCATTGCCCCATCCCCTGTCTCCTCCCAGCCCTCCAGTGACAGCTCAGACAATGGTGCCCTGCATGTCTGGGTTTACTGCATGTGTTGAGTGTGGGAAGAGGGCTGCTTTTTTCAGATCTTGTCACTATCCTTCCTTGTCACAGTTCCAACACGGCTTCTGGGGCTTCTAGGGTCACTGCTGCCTTATGGGGTCTTTTCATTTTCTTTTTGTAATGGCCAGCATTAATATTTATGCTGTGCCTCCAGTATGTCCAGAACACACAGAGTGTCCAGGAAACACAAGAGCTAGCCTCACTGAAGTGTATTTAAAGGGGCCACATTTCTAAGAAATCACTGATTGCTGCTGTTTCGTTAAAAATGCTCTCAAGAAAATAGAATCATCCAGTGAAGAGCACAAATCAAGAATCAAATATTTTGAGAGCTCTAGTTCCTTCCTTTTGGTCCCCAGTGGAATAACCTGCATGTCAGTGAGCTATTAAAAGGATTTGGCTCCATTTGGCATTCCTGGAAATGCAATTATTGCCCAGTTGCCTGTGAAACATTTGGGGACCCATGAAAAAGATGGCCTTGCAGATTTCACAGGACTTTTGCTGCGAAAGAGACTCCTCAGCAACATTTTGCTTGATGTCCCTACATTTAAAATTAAGTCACCCAGCCCAGGCACGGTGGATCACACCCGAAATCCCATTACTTTGGGAGGTCAAGGCAGGCAGATCACCTGAGGTCAGGAGTTTGAGACCGGCCTGGCCAATGTGGCAAAACCCTGTCTCTCCTAAAAATACAAAAATTAGCCATGCGTGGTAGCAGGTGTCTGTAATCCCAGCTACTTGGGAGGCTGAGGCAGAAGAATCGCTTGAACCTGGGAGGTGAAAGTTGCAGTGAGCCGAGATCTCGCCACTGCTCTCCAGCCTGGGCAACAGAGTGAGACTCCATCTCAAAAAAAAAAAAAAAAAAAAAAAATTAAATCACCCAATGTGGCAACTAGGAATATCTTGGAAAACTATATGGATTTGAAAGTATCTTGAAAAGCACAAATGCTGTTTATGGTGCATGATTCTGAGATCAGGTTACAGCTTTAAAGTTCAGTTGAAACTCTATTTTATTCTCCTGCAAAGAGTGAGAGAAGTCATATGGAGGAAAAAACCCATCCTTGGAAGGTCTCTGGTGGGATATACTTAACTACTTACCATATCAAAGAACACACATTGAAAAGTGCCAGACCAGGTTTAGAGTGAGGCTTTGAGGGTACTACAGATTTAAATGTCTTCCTCCCACACACTAAGGAATAGATCTCATTTTTCAAGTTGGTAACGTTCGTGAAGTCAGACACTGACCCTTTGTCTCCCACGGTTTCTAGAGTCAACAGTTTGAGGAATTTCATTGAAGTTCTATTTGCATAACAGTTGCAAAATGTGAAGTGTACCATTCCCTCGGTTCCAACTTGTTAAGTACGGTACTTGAAGGCACAGGTGGACAGTGGGCAAATACACCTGGTAGTTAAAGACCTATATATCAGGAAATGCTCCCTTAAAAAGCTGAGCAGGACTGGAGGTGTGATAAGGGATCTTGTACCCAGCATGTGCCTTGAGGTGAGACTATGCATATCTAAACAACTCCCAGGGCCCCTCTAGGGAGTGCAATTCCAGTTGAGTTTTCTGATTCATCTTCCATCTTTTATGGGGGTGGGTCCCTTGAACATATCGGAGTGATAAAACAGCATGCTAATAAGTGTGGGAGGTGGTGTGAGTGTCCCTTGTTTGAAAATTTAAGTAGATTTAAAAATTCTCAAATGCAAGGGATTATGAATGTAAACCACATTGGTGTTCCATTACTCTAGTTAGGGAGGCATTGGGTGCACCAAGGTCACCAGGCTCCCTGCTCCTTACGTGCCTTCAGGGGCCTGTCCACCATTTTTCCTGATTCCGCTGTGTTAGATCTTTGGCTGCTGGACCTCAGTTTTCCCAGGGTTTTTCATAAAATGGGCCTGGTGAAGAAATGACTCCAGTCTTGTCAAATCTTAGGAAGAAGGAATTGATGCTGGATCTTCTGAACGAACACATTTCTTTGTGTGTGTGGATATGGTTCTCAGTACCCACCCACTGCTCCAGATGTGCTCCCAGCTCCAGACCTTGCCTTGCAGGCTCACACTTTTGTAATGTATGGAAATTGTAAATGTTCTCTGCTTGGAATCCTCTGGAGCATCATCTAGAAACCTCCATCGGGATGGATGCAGTGTTCCATCTGGGAGGGAAAAGGAACGACCCCATGCCAAGCACTATGGAGGGCAGTCTACATGTTCTAGCTTTCCATTCTCATCATAGCCCGATAAGGCAGACAATATCGTTCCCATTTTCAGGTGAGGAAAACAAGAACTGGAGAGGGTAAGTGACTTGCCCAAGGTCACTAGCAGTCAACCAGCAGACCTGAGACTCGAGTTCAGCTCTGTTTGACCTATGTTCTGGTCTTGACACATCTACGGGATATTATATTTTCCATACAATTTACTATGAAAATTTTAGATAGTGACAAATTTTACATAAATGAGTTTTAGATTTATTTATTGTTTATTAAATAATAAAATTATTTATTATAATTTTAGATAAAGATAAATTTATCTAAAATTGTGTAATTTCTTTGTGTAAGAAATTACACAAATTTCTTCTTGTGTAAAGTAACCAACTTGAATGTATCATTACCTCCTGTGAAAATAAAAAGTGTACTTTCCTTTTGAGACAAGGTCTTGCCCAGGCTGGAGTGGACTGGCACAATCATAGCTCACTGCAGCTTCCACCTCCCAGGCTCAAGTGATCCTACCGCCTCAGCCTCCTGAGTAGCTGAGACCACAGGTGTGTACCACCATGCCCAGCTAATTTTTATTTTTATTTTTTAGAGACAAAGTCTAACTATGTTGCCCAGGCTGGTCTTGAACTTTTGGCCTCAAGCGATCCTTCCACCTTGGCCTCCCAAAGTGCTGGCATTACAGGGTTCACCACTGCACCTGGCCAGAAGTGAACTTTTCAAACCACACACAAGACCCATCTATTATTCCTGGATGAGCCTTCAACATGGATAAGCATGATCAGCAAGGAGCTCAAGGGTGATTTCAAACCATGTTTAACTTACGGCTCATGAGTTCCTCCGGGGAGATTTCTGTCAGATCTAAAGTCATAGACAGAAGCTAGAATGGACTTTGAAGATCATGCCTCAGGACAGATAGAAAACCGTGACCCTGAGGGACTCCCTTTTCCAGAGCCACCTGCTGGCCAGTCCCGGATGGAGACCAGAACGCTGATGTCCAGCCCGCCCTTCTTTCCACTGCACTGCATTCTCTTAGCATTTCCTTTATCCAATGTCACCAGTAAATCAGAGAGACATTTGGTAAACTTAGATGGTATTTAGGACTGTCGTTAGATGCTGGTAGCAGTCATAATAAAATAATTAATATTCACTGAATATTTGCTGTGCACTGAGTGCTGTATAAGGAACTTTGATGCATGACCACATTTAAACCTCACAATCATCCAGTGAAACAGATTGTCATCCCATTATTTGGCTGAAGGAATACAGACTTAGGGAGATTTGGTAACTTGCCCAATAACATATAAGTAAAACAACGAAAGTGAGGCTGGACTCCAGGTTCGTCTGAATCAAAGCTCTTGCTCTTAACCCCTTGTTTTTAAACCCGTGTTCTTTGGCTTCTGCCTCTGTGTGTCGTCTGTCCCCCATCGGCCACCGCACCGCATAGGCCTACCAGTGTGGCTGGCCCTTCCTGGAATTTAGCGAATTTTACAGATAAGGGAACTGGGGCACAGAGAGGTTAGGGAACTTGCACAGAGTTACACAGTGAGTAAGTGACCTGAAGTGTGAATCATGAGGAAGGTGTGATATTGTGATTTATAATAAGAAATATATATTTGGTCTTGTCTCTGCTTCCTGGCACATAGTTCTTAAAATCCTTGCAATTGGCTGGGCATGGGGGCATGCACCTGTAATCCCAGCACTTTGGTAGGCTGAGGCGGGAGGATCTGGAGGATCGCTTGAGCCCAAGGGGTCAAGGCTGCAGTGAGCCATGATCATGCCACTGCACTCCAGCCTGGGTGACGGAGCAAGACCCTGTCTCAAATTTAAAAAAGAAAGAAAGAAAACCCCTTGGAATGTACAAAGTGATAAAGAGCCTTTTTGTATGCTAATGAGATGATTGACGACTGAGGGCTCCCAGATTGCCTCTGGAGGGGGCTGGTTGCCAGGGGAACCAAGCAAGTGATTAGAGAGTTGGAACTTTCAGCCCCTTTCTCCCTACTCCACCCATACACACCCCCTGACCCTGTTTCCAGGGAGCAAAGAGGGGCAGGAGGTTGACTCAATCACCGATGGCCAATGGTTTGATCAATCATGCCTTTGTAATGAGGCCTCCATAAAAACCCAAAGGAGCGGGTCTGGAGGGCTTCTGGATAGCTGAACACATGGAGACGCTGGGAGAGTGGCGCCCGGAGAGGACATGAAAGCTCCAAGACCCTCCCTAGCCATCTCTTCACCTGGCTGTATGTATTCATTCAACTGTATCCTTTGTAATACCCTTTATAATAAACTGGTAAATGGAATTAAGTGTCTCCCTGAGTTCCGTGAGCTATGCTAACAAAACAGTGACCCCAAGAAGTCAATCTCTGACTTACAGCACAAAGTTAGACAAAGTTACACAGCTTGTAATCTACCTGAGGAAGGATCGTGAGAACTTCTCATGGATAGCCAGCTAGTCAGAAGCACAAGTGACAACCTTCAGCCTGCAACTGGCCTCTGAGGTCGGGGCAGCCTGGTAGGACTGAGCCCTTAAACCTCAGGGTCTGCACTCACTGCAGTTAGTGTCAGAATTGAGTTAAACTGTGGGACACCTACTTAGGTGGGAAGGTGAGAATGCATTGACCTGACCAAATGGGATTTGTGAGGCCTGCGGTGGGCCTGGAGGGTGAATGATGCACACCTGTCCTTTCCCTTTGGAGCCTCCACCCCACCTGGGAGAGTCAAAAGTTCACTGGCAGAGTCAGAATTTCCATTCCTTGTCAGGACCTCCTCGTGGGGTGACTCATCCCTCTCCAGGGCTCTAGGACCGCACCAGGAGAACCTGGCCTCACTTAGAGACTGCCTGTTTTCATACAATGGGTTCAAGCATTCATGTTGCTTGGCGTCAAATTCATTTGAAAAACACCCTTTGTATTCTGACTTAATACCTCCAGGATCCGCAAACAGCATGGTGGCTTTAAACAAGGTGTACCTAGATAATAGATACAAGTTGAGGGAATTTGGAGAGGTGGGGAGACTTTCAAAGCATTAAATGTATTAAAGTCCCATGGTTCACCTCTAGCTTTATGTAAAAATTAAACCTCACCTTTTCATTTTATCAGGCTCCTGTCGATAACAAACACAAACCGCAAGTTCACTGACTCCACACCACGGGGCTCACCAGAAACTTATCTGATCAAAGCTGCCGTAGGTGATTCTTTTTTTCAGCAGGAGGAGGAGGACTTTCTAAAGCAACTCCCAGGACTCGAGATGTTGTAGCCCCCTCCCCACCTTACAGGTCGCAATGACAGCACAACCCTTTCCTTGCCCTTTGCGCACCCCGTGAGCTACGACAGGTGCCTCACTGAGCACCGAATGGGCCAGCCAAGAGATAAAGCAGGCACCAAAGACCGGTGCCTGAGTGGTTTTCCACCCTCACCCATTCACACCCCGGAAACCAGCAAGCACCCCGAGGTGTGGCTGGCTGAGCCCACATCAGGCTTCACCCCCGACTCACATGGCGTCCCCAGGCTCTGCTGACTTCTCACTTGGGTAGTCAAGGACAAACGCTCTATTCACCTGGGGCTATTTCTTCATTCCACAGTCGCACGGCAGAGGGACATAGTACCCTTTGAGCACTTTTATGGGGCAGTAAAACTTTACAGTCTCCTGTCTGCTCTAAACTGTTCCCACATTTCTGAATAGACCTATTTATAACATGCAAGACTACTACAGTTTGCCCTTTGAAAATACTAGCAGATATTAGGTCCTTTCAAATGGGGTCGACTGAGTTACATCGGCTAGCAGCTGGCTTACAGAAACCCCGGAGAGGCCCAGCTAAGCTCCTGACTGTGACTACCTATGTTAGGAAATAAAACAGCATTTGAGTCTCACAACATCACTGGAACTGGCCTTATGCTTTGCCACATTCATGTTGCTTTGGTGTCAAATCCAGCTGTGTCTCTCCCTCGATTTTTTGCTTCCTTACTCCCTTCCTGCCTGGATTAACAGAGCTCACTGTGAGCTTTGTCAGCAAATCCCAGTCTTTTCCTTCCCTCTTCTGCAGGGAAAAAATTAAAACCAGGAAAAAGTAGCAACCCAATCACAACTTGTTTCTCCCAGCCCCGGATTAACCAGCTGGCCCAGAAAAAGAATTATCCCACATTGAGAAGCGTCCTTACCTGCGTTCCATAACGGCCACTCCTGTGCATCGAAGACCAGAGCCAGCCTCCTCCAATCTGGGGACTTAGCTCCCCGCAGCCCGCAGACAACTGGGCCCATTATAGTCATCAAGCTGCCGAGTTAAAGGGTGGCCCTTACTAAAATATAAACAGCTAGTCAGCACAAGCCAAAGGGGCGGGGCTACAGTATCAGGGGACAATGAGAGCCAATGATCAGCCTCTTTGGGCTCTGTTTGCTTAAGATATTGTGTTTCATTCCGAAGTAGGGGAGACGGGAATGAGAAACACTGAAGAGTAAGGGCTGAGTTATCATCTTTACAGCCCCCAGTAGGAAAAGCGTCCAAGTTGAAAAGTTTAAATCACTGCCCACAGAAGACCAATTTCAGGAAAGTGTTTGTAGACTGCACACATAATAATATGTATTTTTAAAGCCACAGATATTTATGTTGCATTAGCTATCTGTTGTCTTCCGGGGTTAATAAATGTGGTATTCATGAGGTCAACGGGAGTTTTTCAACCAAAGAACAAAGGCCAAGAAAGTTAGTTTGATGACATGCTTATTTTATTGAATATACTATCTGATCAGGAGCACTCACCTCATCTACAGAGCAAACACTTGTTTGATTGGCACATCTTTATTTTATTTATTTATTTATTTATTTATTTATTGAGATGGAGTCTCGCTCTGTTGCCCAGGCCGGAGTGCAGTGGCACAATCTTGGCTCACTGCAACCGTAGCCTCCTGGGTTCAAGTGATTCTCCTGCCTCAGCCTCCTGAGTAGCTGGAATTACAGGAATGCACCACCACACCTGGTGAATTTTTGTATTTTTAGTAGAGACGGGGTTTCGCCATGTTGGCCAGGTGGGTCTTGAACTCCTGGCTTCAAGTGATCCGCCCGCCTTGGCCTCCCAAAGTGCTGGGATTACAGGAGTGTGCCACTGCGCCTGGTCTACTATTTTTTTTTTTTTTTTTGAGACAGAGTCTTGCTGTGTTGACCAGGCTGGAGTGCAGTAGTGTGATCTCAGCTCACTGCAAGATTGGTACATCTTTAGAACCCAGAGATATGGATTTATTGTATGCCCAAGTCAGCAAAATGGCTCACATTTGATGTGTTTATGTTCTTCTTCGTGTGTGTGTGTGTGTGTGTGTGTGTGTGTGTGTGTGTAGAGATGTGGGTCTCACTATATCACCCAAGGTGGAGTGCAGTGGCTATTCACAGGCACAATCATTGTGCACTGTAGCCTCAAACTCCTGGGCTCAGGTCATCCTCCTGCCTCAGCCTCCCTAGTAGCTGGGATTACAGGCTTGCACCTATAATCATGCCAGACCATGAGCATTTCATTTGATCAAACATATCAGAAGTTCAGTATATTTGGAAGAAGGCAGGAGAGCCGTGGCTTCTTTCTGTCTCCCAAACTTAACTAAATTCCACTTTTTTTTTTTTTTTTTTTTTTTTGAGATGGAGTCTCGCTCTGTCACCAGGCTTGAGTGCAGTGGCACAATCTTGGCTCACTGCAACCTCCACCTCCCAGGTTCAAGTGATTCTTGTGCCTCAGGCTCCTGAGTAGCTGGGACTACAGATGCGCACCACCACGACCAGCTAATTTTTGTATTTTTAGTAGAGACAGGGTTTCATCATGTTGGCCAGGCTGGTCTCAGTCTCTTGACCTCGTGATCTGCCCACCTCGGCCTCCCAAAGTGCTGGGATTACAGGTGTGAGCCACCGCGCCCGGCCTTAAATTCCCCTTTTAAAGCTATTACAGCAGCTTAACCTTCCAATGCCCTTTGATAATAACCAAGAACCAGAAAGTAAACTGTAGGGCTTTTTTTCCTTATATGATTTCTTTTTTTTTTTTTTTTTGAGACAGAGTCTCGCTCTGTCACCCAGGCTGGAGTGCAGTGGCGTGATCTCGGCTCACTGCAAGCTCCGCCTCTCGGGTTCAGGCCATTCTCCTGCCTCAGACTCCCGAGTAGCTGGGACTACAGGCGCATGCCGCCATGCCCGGCTAATTTTATTTATTTATTTATTTATTTTTTAGTAGAGTTGGGTTTCAGCCAGGATGGCTGGATCTCCTGACCTCGTGATCTGCCCGCCTTGGCCTCCCAAAGTGCTGGGATTACAGGCACGAGCCAACGCGGCTGGCCTCCTTATATCATTTCTAAATAATACACTGAAGTAAAAATAAAGTTAAGAGTTGTTTGGTTGATTGTGTGGCATTGCATAAATTATAGGCATACAAACTGTGAAAAGTACAGTCATTACATTTGAAATAGTTTCATCATTTATAAAGTGATATAGTAGTTATCAAAATGAACACAGTAGTTGTCAAAATGAATTATCAGAGAAAAATGTTGAAACGTATTTATTTTCCGCAAACTTTTTCTCAAGCCCTTCTGATTATAAAAATAATAATCCCCAAATGCCATCCTTTCTAATCTATATTAGTTTGAAAATGTTTATGATTCTGCCACTGGTGTTTAATTTGTATTAAAGTAAAATTCCTCCAGAACCTTTTCTAAATGATGTATGAGGCTCCTTCTGGCCCTTGTATCCTTCTAATTATTTCAAAAGAGCTGTTACATCCATACTTTCACAATTTTGACTTTAAGGTACAGGTTACCTTCCTGAAATAATCTAGTTTTCTTCTAAGGTGTGTGAACCCAGAAAATCTGAGACAGCTCTCAATTAACCTAGAAAGTTTATTTTTCCAAGGTTGAGGACACGCCCGTGACATAGCCTTCACAAGTGTTAGGATCCTGTCATTTTAAAAAGCTTCAGGACACCATGAGCAGCCAAAAGAAAAAAATCGATAAATTGGACTTCGTTAAAATTTTAAATTTTTTCTTTCTTTTTTTCTTTCTTTAGAGACAAAGTCCTACTCTGTCACCCAGGCTGGAGTGCAGTGGCCAGATCATAGCTTCATAGCTCACTGCAGCTTTTACCTCCCATCCTCAAGCTATCTTCCTGCTTGGGCCTCCCTAGTGCTCAGAAACCACAGCACATAACCAAAATTAAAACCTTTTGTGCTTCAAAAGACATTATCAAGAAAGTGAAAAGACAACCTATAGAATGGGAGAAAATATTTGCAAATAATATATCTGATAAGGTTCTAGTATCCAGGATATATTTTTAAAACTCCTGCAATTCAACAATAAAAAGACAAACAACCCAACCTAAAGATGGGCAAAGGTCTTAAATAGATATTTCTCTAAGAATAATACATAAATGTCCAACAAACACATGAAAAGATGCTCAACATTAGTCATTAGGGAAGTGCAAATCAAAAACACAATGAGGCTGGGCACGGTGGCTCACGCCTGTAATCCCAGCACTTTGGGAGGCCGAGTTGGGTGGATCATCTGAGGTCAAAAGTTCGAGACCAGTCTGGCCAACATGGCAAAATTCTGTCTCTACTAAAAATACAAAAATTAGCCAGGCGTGGTGGTGCATGCCTGTAATCCCAGCTACTCGGTAGGTTGAGGAAGGAGAATTGCTTGAACCCAGGAGGTGGAGGTTGCAGTGAGCTGACATCATGCCACTGCACTCCAGCCTGGGCAACGGAGCAAGACTATGTCTCAGAAGAAAAAAAACCCAAAAAACCAAATGAGACCAGGCGTGGTGGCTCATACCTGTAATCCCAGGAATTTGGGAGGCTAAGGCAGGAGGATCACTTGAGCCCAGGAGTTAGAGATTAGCCTGGGGAACATGGTGAGACCCGGTCTCTATTAAAAAATAATAACAATAATAAGGAAAAAAAAAAAGAAAAAAAACCACAATGAGGTGCCACTTTACACCTACTAGGATAGCCATATATATATATATATATATATATATTTTTTTTTCTTACTAAAAAGGAAGAAAACAAGTGTTGAGGAGGATGTGGAGAAACAAGAACCCTGGTACATTGCTGGTGGAATGTAAAATGGTTCAGCTGCTGTGGGAAACAGCTCTACAGTTCTTCAAAAAGCTAAACATAGAATTACCATATGAGCAAGCAATTCTACTTCTGGATAGATACCCAAAACAATTGAAAACGGGGGCTCAAACAAATACGTGTACATCCCATATTCATAGCAGCACTATTCACAATAGCTAAAGGATGGAAACAGCCCAAATGTCCATCAAAAGATGAATGGATAAACACATTGTGGTTATATACAGTGGAATATTTTTCAGCCATAAAAAGAAATGAAGTTCTACAACAAAGATGAATCCCTAAAACATTATGCTAAGTGAAAGAAGCCAGACACAAAAGGTTGCATATTGTATGATTATGGGCAACACAGGGAGACTCCCTTTTCTAAAACAATTTTAAAAATTAGCTGGCCGGCTGAGCACAGTGGCTCACGCCTGTAATCCCAGCACTTTGGGAGGCCGATCACTTGAGGTAAGGAGTTCGAGACCAACCTGGCCAACATGGAGAAACCCTGTCTTTACTAAAAATTCAAAAAGTAGGTGGGCGTGGTGGCGGTGCCTGTAATCCCAGCTACTCAGGAGGCTGAGGCAGGAGAATCGCTTGAACCCAGGAGGCGGAGATTACAGTGAGCCAAGATCATACCACTGCACTCCAGCCTGGGCGACAGAGTGAGACTCCATCTCAAAAAAAAAAAAAAAAAAATTAGCTGGCCATGGTGGTGCCTGCCTGTAGTCCCAGCTACTCCAGAGGCTGAGGCGGGAGGATCACTTGAGAACAGGAATTTTAGGCTTCAATGACCTATGATGGTACCACTACACTTCAGCCTGGGCAACAGAGCAAGACCCTGTGTCTTAAAAAATATGATAAAAATAAACAATAAATAAATAAAAAGAGGATTTATTAAATGAATTCATCCATTATATTTGTGCATCACTCAGCATCTATTAAGCTCCAGGCACTGTGAGGCAGGTGGGTGCCAGTAGACCTGCTTGCACCCTTTCTATGGAAGGTAAGGAAGAATGCTGTTTTCCAATGCAAATGAAAATAATAATAATAATAACTGACTAAGATTTATTAAGAAGCATTTTAAATGTCAAAAAGTGTAAGTGTGGAATAGGCACAGGCTGGCAGCAAGTCAGAAAGCCACTCTGCAAGCAAACAGATTCGTTATAGTACTAATAGATATCATTCCTACCCTCTGTAAACTCTGGGTATATAATGACCTGCAGATTATGTTTGACATTCTCAGTGAGTTTCCTACTTCTTTCAGCATATATTTCATTAAAATCAATCAAGAAAAGAGAAAGTCACAAGTTTTTATCTGGGAAGGACTATATTTGAACTCAGTTCATTTTAACATAGGTAAACCCCTTGGAAGGTTGAAACAGGAAATGAACTGACAACGAGGAGGAAGAGGAGACTTTGAAAACATGGAAAGAAGACTTTGCCAGAAATTTCATCAAGAAAACACAATTCTGTAGAGCTGAAACTGTCTGACAAAGCTGTTTCACATATCCCCGGGGCCTATTTCTTTCCTGATCATCATATTACTTAGCATTGGCCTATTGCTGTTATTAAAAATAATAAACAAAATGATTACAGAGGCAGATGTGTGTTCTTTGAAAAGATGGAGAGATGACATCACTACTTTCTAAATTTCGAACCATTAGATTATGCAGTTCAGAAAATTGCTACATGCCCTTTGAGAATGCTCATCATCTAATTAAAATTTTACCCTTGATCCAAAACAGCTACCTCTTAGTCACCCAACTCTTGGCAACCTGAAGCCTCAATTACCCATAAGCAGAGCTTCACCAAACCCTTCTAAAGAGCCAAAGCCCAATTAACTGACTTAGCTCAATATCCAGTACTGCACTCATTATCAAGTCCCTGATTTGCCAACATACAAAACACTTTACCAGGGGAAAACATTAAATTGCTTTCTGATTTTTAAAAAAATGATATACACATAAAACTATATTCTCATGTCAAGAGACCATATAAATATGGTGAATGGAACTGGGTGAAGTCACAACAGAGGCCCTTTGGATAATACATAGATGAATGGTGTACTAGTCCGTTTTTACGCTGCTGATAAAGACATACCCGAGACTGGGAAGAAAAGGAAATTTAATTTGACTTACAGTTCCACATGGCTGGGGAGGTCTCGTAATCATGGTGGAGGGTGAAGGGCATATCTTACATGGTGGCAGCAAGAGAGAATGAGGGGGAAGCAAAAGCAGAAACGCCTGATAAACCCATGAGATCTCATGAGACTTATTCACTATCATGAGAATAGCACAGTAAAGACCAACCTCCATGATTCAATTACCTCCCTGTGGGTCCCTCCCACAACATGCGGGAATTCTGGGAGATACAATTCAAGTTGAGATTTGGGTGGGGTCACAGCCAAACCATATCAAATGCTCAGACCTCCTAAGTCTCAGATGATTCTGGAAATCACAAATCTCTAAGCTTAAATTATGTGTTTTAGAATCCTTTAATTTCTTTTTTAAAATAATAAAAAGAATATTGTCTTAGTCTATTTGGGCTGTTATAACAAAATGCCATAAGCTGGGTGGCTTATAAGCAACCGGAATTTATGTCTTACAGTTCTGGAGGCTGGAAGTCCAAGATTAAAGTGCTGGCAGATTCCACATTGGTGAGGGCCTGTTTTCTCATTAAGAGGCAGCTGTCTTTTTGCCGCCCTCACAAGGTAGAAGGGGCAAAAGAGCTCTCGGGTCTCTCATTTATTTATTAATTTTTTTTGAGACGGAGTTTCGCTCTTGTTGCCCAGGCTGGAGTACAGTGGTGCAATCTTGGCTCACTAGAACCTCTGCCTTCTGGGTTCAAGCAATTCTCCTGCCTCAGCCTCCTGAGTAGCTGGGATTACAGGCGCCCGTCACCACACCTGGCTAACTTTTTGTATTTTTAGGAGAGATGGGGTTTCTCCATATTGGCCAGGCTGGTCTCGAACTCCTGACCTCAGGTAATCCACCCGCCTCGGCCTCCCATAGTGCTGGGGTTACAGGCATGAGCCACTTGGTCTCTTTTATAAGAGCACTAATCCCATTCATGAGGATTCTGCACTCATGAGCTAATCACCTCCCAAACGCCCCACCTCCTAAGACCATCACCTTGGGGGCTGGGATTTCAGTGATGGATTAAGGGAGGACACAAACATCGAGTCCATAGCAGATGCACAGGCAGCATGGCTTGATAAAGAGGGGAGCTAGACACTTAGCCTTCAGTGACATTGAAGGGCTTTGCAAATAGAAGGAATGAAAGCTGCAATCTTTCTTGGCTTTGATGAAGCTTTTGATTTTGTTTTGCTTACCTGTTCCTCAGTGCATTGCAAATTATGGATAAAAAATACTCTTAGGTTAACTCACAACCCATTAAGGAGGTGAAAAGTTCTAAACTCATTCCATTAAACTTACTACCTGGAAGCTCCATATTTATTATTCTACATAATTTCTTCATATTTCTTTGAGAAAGAAAGTGGTGGCAAGGCCTAAAGTCAGTTTCATATGTAGTCAGACAGTGAAGAAGATGCTGCTAACCACACATCAACACAGTGTGGACTTCTGTCTTTCCAAACATGCCAATGGGTTTTCTATAAGCCTCCTACATTTTTTTGCTCGGTCTGCATATGACCAATGGCCCACACATGGAAAAGGATGCCTAAAGTTAGGCTGAAGCTGTGGAACAAAGAACAGTAAATTGGCTTCGATGGTGGACCAAGCAATGGCCTGGGAGCCCTTTGCTCATCTCCAACCATTGAGGTAAACCATGACTAGTTTTAACACCACTGAGGTTTTCCGTTTGTTGGGAGAGATCATAAGGGGATTTGCTGAAAACCTAGTTCAGAATTAATCCCAGGACCCATGCAAAGACTTTCTCACACCATCACCCAAGATCCAAGACTAATGCAACATTTCATCAATAACCCTGATGGAAGAAAATGTACCATTAATTTTGAAGAAGCTACCAGAGAGCCACCCCTTGGAAAGTGTGAGCAGTACCTAGTAATAACGGTAATGACATGAATACAGCATTTGTTACGTGCTGGGTACTGTTCTAAAGCATTTCCATGTATGGATTCATTGAATCCTCACAACCAACCCCAGGCATAGGAACTCACGCTCATTCTGCAGACAAGGAAATGGAAACTTTGTTTACTTTTTTATTTTTATGATTTTTTAAGAGACAGGGTCTTGCCCTGTCCCACAGGCTGGAGTACAGTGGTGTGATCATAGCTCACTGCAGCCTTGACCTCCTGGGCTCAAGCAATCCTCCCGCCTCAACTTCCTGAGTACCTGGAACTACAGGCATGCACCACTGCACCCAGTTTGTGTGTGTGTGTGTGTGGGGGGGGGTGGTAGGAATGGGGTCTTGCCATGTTGCCCAAGCTGGTCTCAAACTCCTGGGCTCAAGCCATCCTTCTGCTCAGCCTCCCGACGTGCTGGGATTACAGGTGTGAGCCACCCTGCCCGGCCAATGTTCATTAACTTCTCAAAGTTTCCCTTTTCTGGCCAGGCACAGTGGCTCACGCCTGTAATCCCAGCATTTTAAGAGGCTGAGACAGGTGTATCACTTGAGGCCAGGTGTTCAAGACTAGCCTGGCCTACATGGCAAACCCCCGTCTTTACTAAAAGCACAAAAATTAGCCAGGCATAATGGTGCACGCCAGTAATCCCTGCTACTTGGGAGACAGGCATCAGAATTGCTTGAATCTTGGAGGCGGAGGTTGCAGTGAGCTGAAATTGCCCCACTGCACTCCAGCCTGGGCGACAAAGCAAGAATCCATCTCAAAAAATAATAAAAAAAAGAAGTTAATGAACATGTTCAGCTAGGTAGAAATGGTGAAATACTAAGAGAATAAAATTCTAACAGGATTAGTTCAGAGAATGAAGAACAAACAGCGGAAACAAAATACAGTGGTAGAACTAAGGACAGTAGCAACAAAAGTACCTAGTGGCCTGATTTCCTGAGCTGCCATAACATATTACTATGAGCTTAAAACAACACAAATGTAGGGCTCCTGCTGGAGGCTCTGAAGGAGAATCCGCCTCTCTCCTAGCTTTGGTGGCTGCCAGCAATTCTTTCTTTTTCTTTTTTTCTTTTGAGACTGGGTCTCACTTTTTCTCCCAGGCTGGAGCGTAGTGGTGCGATCTCAGCTCACTGCAACCTCAACCTCCTATGCTCAGATGATCCTCCCACATCAGCCTCCTGAGTAGCTGGGACCACCACAGGCACATGCCACCACACCCAGCTAATGTTTGTATTTTTTGTAGAGATGGGGTTTTGCCAGTTTTCCCAGGCTGCTCTCCTGGGCTCAAGTAATCCACCTGCCTCAGCCTCCCAAAGTGCTGGGATTACAGGCCTCAGCCACCGTGCCTAGCTGCCAGCAATTCTTAGTGTTCCTTGGCTTGCAGGAACTCCCGTCTCTGTCTCTGTCTTCACATGGCCTTCCCTCTATGGTGTCTCTGTCCTTTTCTATCTCTCATGAGGACAATCACCATTGGATTTAAGGCCCACCCTAATCCAGGATGATTTTTATCTTGACATCCTTACCTTAATTACAATGGCAAAGACTCTTATGCTAAATAAGGTCTGGCAAAGACCTTTATTCTAAATAAGGTCACATTTTGTGGTTCTACGTAGACATATCTTCTGGGGACCAGAATTCAATCCACTTAGAAGCCCCAAGAAGTTGCTCCAGGGCTGGAGAGGTTTTCTCACACAGGCAAGGGAGACAGAAATAAGTGTAATCAATCCCTAAAGGGAAAATAAGCTAAGCAGGAGTTTTTAACCACCACCCCTCATCTCCAACTTAAGAAGAAAACCTAGAAGACAAGAAATTATTTATCAAATCTTAGGAGAAGATGAGAGTTCCCAACTTAAAAACCTTGGGAAAACAGTGTAAATTTGGATGCATTTTGACACTAGTGAACACCTGTGAAACCATCACCACAATGAAGATAGGAATATACTTATCACCCCAAAAACTTCCTTGGACCCCTTTGTAATCCCTCCCTTCCAGTCCTTCCTGCATCCCCCAGCTCCATCCCCAAGCATCCACTGACCCGTTTTCTGTCACTATCAATTGGTTTGCATTGCCTAAAATTTTATGTAAAGGGAATCATACAGATTATACTTTTTGTTTGGTTTCTTTCATTCCACTTAATCATTTTGAGGTTGATCCATGTTGTTGCATCAACCAAAATGATTAAGTGGAATGAAAATGATTTCATTTTGATTAAGTGGAATGAAAGAAACCAAAATGTTGTTCATTCTCTTTATTTCTAAGCAGTGTTTCTTTATATGCACATACCACAATTGGTTTATCCACTCACTTCTTAAAGAAGTTTTAATCGATGAATATATTTGATAATCTAAGATTAGGGGAGAGATGAGAGATTATGAATGCAAATTTCTGAGAATCTGTGTTTCCTCTCTCTTTCCTTCTTCACTCTTTCCCCATCTCACTCTTAAATTACATATACTTAGGCTCATGCCCACACTTGCTTCCCCAACCCTTGTTTTGCGTAAGCCACTGGCTGGATGCTGGCTCCTGAATTCCAGGCCGTAGTGAAGGGTCCCTGGGGGCCATCAGTGGACGCCTCATTCAGTTTGTCCAGGCTTCTCAGTCAGTCTCTCCTAGTGCCTGTGCTTCTCTCTGTATATCCTGGGGGCCCCGCATCCCTGTTCTCACCTGCACATCCTTCTCTCCATTTCTTTTGCCACTTCTGAGTCTCCCAGTTCGTCTCTCCCACACTTGGATTTGATTCACTGCCTCCTCTGCAGCATCTGTGCTCAATTCACCTTGCCCAGAAAGCTCTCCGTGGCTCGCCCCAGCCCAAATCTGTCCAATTTTGTGTTTCTGCTATATTTCAGTTATTTAATTAATAAAGGCAGCATGGTAGTGTTTGAGAGCAGACTCAGAATAGGCCACACGCCCACTGTGATTCATGACTGCGCCTATGTTTCCTTATCCACAAAATGGGGAAGATAATAGTCCTACCCCACATGATTGTTGTGAGGATTAAATGAGATATAGTTGTCAATCATTTAGAACAGTGTTTAGCATATAGCAAGCATTATATACATTCTCCATAAAATAAATAAATAAAAATGTTCAAGTGCTCTTCCTCACCACAAAGAATTCTACTTGCATTCATAGATTTCTTCACTTAAAGATTATTCATGGGCCAGGCGCGGTGGCTCATGCCTGTAATCCCAGCACTTTGGGAGGACAAGGCGGGCGGATCACGAGGTCAGGAGATCGAGACCATCCTAACTAACACAGTGAAACCCTGTCTCTACTAAAAATACAAAAAATTAGCCTGGCGTGGTGGCAGGCACCTGTAGTCCCAGCTACTCAGGAGGCTGAGGCAGGAGAATGTCATGAACCTGGGAGGCAGAGCTTGCAGGGAGCTGAGATCGCGACACTTCATTCCAGCCTGGGCGACAGAGTGAGACTCTGCCTCAAAAAAAAAAAAAAAAAAAAAAGATTATTCACTAAGGGTCCCTCTGTGGTAGGCAGGCATGCTCCTAAGAGATGAGGAATAAAGCAGTGAACAAAACATACAGAAGTTACATTCTACTAGGGTAGACAGACAATTACAGATAGACAACTAAAACTATAGACCATGTCCAGTAAGTGCTGCCAGGAAAAATAAAACAGCTTTAAAAGAGGATTGGGAACAACTGATGGTGGACTTGGGTGGGCTGGTCTGAACCAGAAAGTCACAGTTTTAAATAGGATGGTCAAGGAAAGCCTCACTGAGAAACACTTTCTGTGAGAAGATCTGGATGGGCCCATCAAGTGTGCCATGGGCTGTCTGGGAAAACAGCATCCTTGGTAGTGTTTGGAACAGTGGGTGCAAAGGCCCGGGGACTCCTGGATCTAGTGCTTAGTGGCTGTTTTGGATCTGCTGACTGTGATGGGCACAATATATCGAACTGTCATCATTAATTCCATTTGTTCTACTTGCTGTTAGACTCTTTTAACTTTCTTTTTTTTTTTTTTTTTTTGAGATAGGGTCTCTGTCACTCTGGCTGGGATGCAATGGCATGATCATGGCTCACCGTAAACTTGACCTTCCAGGCTCAGGTGGTCCTCCCACCTCAGTCTCCTGAGTAACTGGGACTACTGGCGCCCACCACTATGCCCAGCTAATTTTTGTATTTTTTGTAGAGATGGGGTTTTGCCATGTTTCCCAGGCTGGTCTCAAACTCCTGAGGTCAAGTGATCCACCTGCCTTGGCCTCCCAAAGTGTTGGGATTAGAGGTGTGAGCCACCACTCCCAGCCTAGATTCTCTTAACCTTGAGGTACATTTTCTCCCCCACTGTTTAGAGATTGATGCTTTGATTGTAATGTAGAGACTTGACACTTTTTAGAATACAGATACAATGCTGGTTATAGTGGAATTCAAATGCAACAAGTTGGCCTGTGGCCCTGTGCTTAAACAATCACTGTGGTGCGGGATGCCTGGGGAAGGGTGTGGGGTGAGGAATTGTCTTTGTTGCTCTGGGGTTTCACTAAAAGACTGACCAATTAGATCTGGGCTTGGCAACAAAAAGGGGTACGTGGAGATGGCAGAGGAGATTCACAGAGAGTAACTGAGATAATAAAAGGGCTGACTGGACAATAAACCCAGAGGGGACATGCTAGGAACTGAGGATGCAACTACGTGGTTTGATGAAGGGAAGCTTCTATGCTCATACCCATTTCTTCTGAGAACAAACTCAAAGAAAACAGGCTTAACTTGCGGCACGATGACTTTAGGGATGTTTATGAAAAGGAGCTTCTATATACTATAGGAAGGCTTGTTAAACATTGCAGACTGTGTGACTCCCAGTCTCTGAAATTACTGAAATGAAGAAGCTTATGAAAACAAAAATCCTTTCAACCTTGTCATCAGGCTCACTTATTTTCAGAACTATATCATCATGAAGGAAATCTACTGTTTAAAAAATAAATAAGAAGTACCAAACAATAGCTTAGAATGCCTCTCCAGAATTGTGCCTAAGAACAAAAAATCTGGGTACATTTTCTGAAAGCACAGACTGTCTGATTTCTGGGGAATCCCCATACAACTCAGTTATACAGCTATGCATTTCTCACTTAAATATTTTACGTTTAAAGTAACCTGTGTTCCTCATTATTGCATTTTTAAGCATCCACTCGGGGATGGATGTTCAATTTAAAGTGTTATCTCTTTCTCCAGGATTGTCCGGGACACAGGGATGGCCCCCAAGGCCGTGTTTGTGCTATATGATCTTGCTCATGATTAATCCAAGCTAAGCCAATAATTTTTCTCAGACTGTTTAGCCATAGATGACTGATCTGGAAAAGAGGGGTTGGGGAAAACAAGGGAGGCCCCAACTCAAACTAAGCCCATCATTGGACTTTTTGAACTAAAACTAAGGGAAAAGAACCAATCCTTCCTGCTGCTTGACTCCATAAGATAGGAGGTCACCAGCTTTAATCATCTGTATTCCTGCCAAGTGAAAAAAGCTAAGCTTCAGAAGAAGAGAATAAAGCTAAAAGGCATAGAGAAGGAGAAATAAGAGACAGAGAAAAAGAATAGCATTCCAGGCTGGGCGCGGTGGCTCACGCCTGTAATCCCAGCACTTTGGGAAGCTGAGGTGGTGGATCGCTTGGGGTCAGGAGTTCGAGACCAGCCTGGCCAACATGGTAAAACCCTGTCTCTACTAAAATACAAAAATTGGCTGGGCATGATGGCGGCCACTTGTAACCCCAGCTACCCGGGGTGCTGAGGCAGGAGAATTGCGTGAAACCAGGAGGCAGAGGTTGCAGTGAGCTGAAATCGTGCCACTGCATTCTAGCCTGGGCAACAGAGTGAGACTCCATCTCAAAAAATACAAAATAAAAAAAGAAAAGAATAGCATTCCAGACCCTGGTTGCAGCTGTCCCTAATGTCCAAATGCATCTCTGAGTCTTGTCAGATGCCCTAGTATTCCTCCCAATGACATCCATCTTTTTTCTGAGTTAGTTTGAGTTTTGTTTCTATTTCTTGTCATGAAAAGATGGTTAACAGTAGATTCTGGAGTCGGGCCCCATAACTTATATGCTTTGAGATTTTGGGCTGCTTTAAAAAAAAATCTTTAAGCCTCAACTTCTTCATATGTAAACTGGTGATAATATTAGCATCCTCCCCTAAGTCCTGTGAAGAATACAGAGATAAATCATAAAATGCACTTAGCACAGTGCCAGGCACAATGTAGGTGCTCAGTAAATGTTACTTACTGTAATGAATGGCACTAAAAATCAAGTCATACCCACCACTATCTGCTATTCTGTTTGTTTCCATCTGGCTATTGTTTAAGGTACAGCCTCTTTTTCCTGCTGTCATTCCCACATCTTCTCTTACATGTCTTTGGATACAGAATTCATCTTCTCTACAGTACTTCCTTTCTAGCAGAAAAACACCCTTCATTCTTGAATCACTAGCTTTCCTGAGAAACTAACTGTAACTCACCAATGTCAACTGTTTTTCCCAACTCCATCTGCAAGCCGAAAGGAATTTGCTGAGCTTTAAACTTAGATTTTATTACAGGGTTCTATTATATGCCCATCTGTTATAAACATTTCTCCCTTCCAAGATGGATTTGATTTAAATCAAATCTACATAAATATTAATTTAAATCACTAGTTAGGATAAGTTGAACCCCTACCAAGATATTCATATTGCCTCATACCATCATTCTCTACACCCCACTTCAATTCAAAACTACATTCTTTTGAATCTTGAAATGTCACTTCTAAAGAAATGTCTGTTGTGTATACTTTAGAGGAAACAATAGAAATGATAAATCTTCAATTTGCATATGCTATTGTTACTGATTCATTAAATAAACCGCAGGTGGCTACAGTGTTCCAGACATTGTTCTGGGTGCTGGACACACAAGGATTAATCAATGATTAAACAAGACACAGGGTGAGTGCCGTCACAGGGAGGCATGAGCCTGAGAGTTACAGCAGCACAGAGGAAGGGGCCTCCCTCAGTCGAGCTGGCGTGTAGGGTGGAATAGTGGACAGGGGATATTAGGCAGGAGAATTTCCCAGACACCATAATCCCCATTCTAGTGCCTCACAGCCACATCACAGACAAGTACACACCGTGATCCAGATGCGACCACAGCAGGTCACCTTCAGCCAGCTCTGTGGTTTCCTAATCAACAAGCCCAGATATCAGTCACCAATTAGAACATGCCAAGACTTTGCTCTCCTAAAATAGGATAGAGACAGTTCAATACGTTTTGGCTTTTAAAGACCTACCCCATTTCCTCTCCCTTGAATCTCATCCACCAGGGAAACTAGACTCTGTTTTGGATTAGATTTCCTGCTTGGCAGTGAAACTTTTCCCCTCATCTCTCAATCATTGGTCTCTCAGTCTTCATTTTATTCTTTACTGAAGTACAAGAAGCCAACAGCATTCTAGTTAGAAACGGCCTCTCCAGGCCGGTGCGGTGACTCATGCCTGTGATTATAGCATTTTGGGAGGCTGAGGTGGGAGAGTTGCTTGAGCCCAGGAGTTCGAGAACAGTCTGGACAACAGCCCCATCTCTATTTGATAAAATTAATTGTTTTTTTTTTTAAAGAAAGAAATGGCCTGTGCAAAGCCATGGAGATGTAAATGATTATCCACAAATGAAGGGAGTATGGGGAGTGGTAAGCAGGGGCCAGGTTATGAAAGACTTTGGATTTTCTGGGTATAAAATGTACAGTTTGAGAAATAAAATTAAACTTCTTCTGAAGGTAAAATGTTTTAATGTAAAACAAGATTCTTTATGTGAACACAGGACAGGACAGAAAATGATTTGGATGACTGTTTCCTCATCCTTCCTTTTTTTTTTTTTGTTTTCAGGGAAAGGCCGGTCTCAAACTCCTGGCCTCAAGTGATCCTCTCACCTCAGCCTCCCAAAGCACTGGGATTATAGGCATGAGCCACTGTGCCAGCCCCTCATCCCTTCCAAGGATGCTCAGAGAACCATTCTAACTGCAAAAGAGAGGAGTGAATTCAGAAATGGGTGCCTTGGGGCATGGGTTTATATCCCTCAGGGAACCCCAGGGAAGAACAAGGCTAATAGACTGACTGAGGAGCCATCAGTTTTTTGCTTTTGTTTTTTTATGGGGTTTTTGTTGTTTTGAGACAGAGTCTCACTTTGTTACCTAGGCTAAAGTGCAGTGGTATGGTCTCAGCTCACTGCAGCCTCTACCTCTCGAGCTCAGATGATCCTCCCACCTCAGCCTCCTGAGTAGCTGGGACTACAGGTGTGCGCCACCATGCCCCACTAACTTCTGTATTTTTTGTAGAGAAGGCGTTTCACCATGTTGCCCAGGCTGGTCTCAAACTCCAGGGTTCAAGCAATCCACCCACTGAAGACTCCCAAGGTGTTAGGATTACAGGCGTGAGCCACCGCGCCTGGCCCTCGCTCTTACAAGTATTCTGTACACTTTAAAAATGTTCCTTCCAGTGTTAGAATAACAACTCCAGCTTCTTATGATTTAGAGCTTCTGTGCTTTCGTCCTAGGAACCTGAAGGGCAGATATGGGAAAGCTTGGCTGCTTCTTTCTCTTTCTTCTAGATTCTACTTCCTCCTCCTGTAGCCTGTGAGGTCCTCCCAGAGTTGGCCTATGAAGGGGACTTAGGAAAAAATAGTCATAGTCTTTGGGTTATATAATAGGACCAGATATAATAGGACGTTGTGCACTCAGGACTTGGCGGACGTCTGAAGCTGGCATTTGTCTCCAGGAAAGCTTGTGTGGGGCCTTGGAGATGGCTCTGCTGTGAATCCCCCATTGAAACACCTATGATGCGGCCGCCATTTTTCTGCCTGTCACTGAACCTCAGTGCCGGATCATCCAGGGGTCTACCTCACACAGACTTCCCCTTTGTCAGGGCCCAGTCACTCCTCCATGCAGCCCACCTGGGCGAGGCTCTGTGACAGGCTCCTCACTGGACCCTCAGGAGAGGTCTGGTTGGCCTACTGAAAAACTGCATTCTTGCCCCAACAGCTGGGGTACAGCAGTGGCTCTCAACGCAGCCTTCTTCCTCTCTCTCTGCTCTTATCCATTCCTGCACTCCTCTAACCTGCGGATGAGCATCAAGCTCTCTCAGTATTCCTCTTGATCTCTCCCTTGTCACTTGGTGAGAAGGAAGCACCTCTTCCCTCTGCCATGGCCCTGGTGGGTCAGAGAAGCTGACACATTGACAACCTTTCCAAAGATCCAGAGTAATCCTCCACGTCGGTAAATGGGCTTAGGGTTGCAAAACAGCTACCGGCTGGCCCCTTAGTAAGTCCTTGACGGTGGACTTACCTTGCTTTGTAATATGAGAGTAATGGGCATCTACAAATTTTTTTTCATCCTTTGGGGCCCCAGTTTACATTGATAGAAAAAATGTGCTGTTTTAGCATTCTAATTACACATACATGATTTGTGACTGTAACGAAATTCCTGACACTTCCATGAAAACATTGCCAAACATTCTGAAATTTAAAATTATCATACGTACGACCTGGTGATAGATCCTTCATCAGGGTTATCTTCCTGTGGAATTTTCTCTTCATAAACAGCATGCTTTACAAGGATGATTTGAATTTTTAACATTGGATTTTTAAAATAGTTCATTAAACAGCCTTTACTATTTTGTGGCAAGGGGATTCTATTGGAAGCAATTGCTTTTTCTGGAAAGTCCCAGTACATGTAATAGCATGGCAATTCTGACAATCTGTTCTCCCTTTAGGCTGGCTTCCCCACACAGGTAGAGCTTGTTTTTTTTCTCATATTCTCCCTCTGGTCATTTCTTAAGGTCTAGAGGAGCAGGCTTTTTTTGATATGAACAGAGACAGGTATCAGGTGAGGGTGTGGCTCAAATTCAGCCAGAGGAGGTGGAATAATGGTGCAGGCGTGGGAAAGGCTTCCCCTTTCGGGGACTTGGCAGTGGGGACAAGACTTGAAAAGGGGCCCTCAGGTGCCCTTGGCTGGCATCTTAGTCCTGTGTAACTCGAGGAGAAGATTCTGCTCTGGGCTGTCCCTTGAGCGCCAACAAAAATTCCTTCCTTAGAGACAAAGCACTAGAACGAGGCCCTTTCAGCTCCTTGTACAGCTCCTTAAGAGGGTGAAATGGTTCAAAGTTTTAAGTATTTACCTGAGGTTAAGCGCTATTTCCTAGAAAGTCTCTTAAATGCCCTCCATATTTCTTCTGATTTTTTTAAAGCACGATATTCTAAAGACATTCACATCCCACCTTTAATCTCTAGTTAAAGTTAGCTTCACCAAATCACAGAATGTTAGGGCTGAATGTAACCTAAGAGATCATTACGTCACAGATAAGTAAACTGAGACCCAAGGAGGAAAAGTGACCCAGTTCCCAGCACTCAGACCACGCCCCGACGCTCACTCAGGCTGCCATGAGGTTTTTCAGCCTGGGCACTGCTGATGTTGTGGGACAGATGATTCTTTGTGGTGGGGGTCTGTGCTGTGCATTGCAGGATGTGTACCAGCCTCCCTGGCCTCTACCCACTCGATACCAGTAGCATTTCCCCCACCTTAGTTGTGAGAACCAACAATGTCTCTAGACATTGCCAAATTTTCCCTTGGGGGCAAAATCACCCCTGGTCTAGCAATTTCCTCAGCCCCCTGCCCACAGGAGCAGTCAGCAATAGTTGTCTGGAAAGTGCACTTTACTCTGTTCATGTCTCCTAATCAGCTGCTAATTGAACCCAGTCTTTCTTATCAAACTCCTCCTCAGGGAGAGAGAAGCCCTGGCAGGTTAACTGGCCCCCAGGAATCATGAAACCATCTTCTGGTTTCTCAGTGCTCCTCATGGAACCTCTCTTGTGTATGTCCTGTCTCCCCAGCTCCTTCCTAAGCTCCCCAGAGATAGAGGCATCTCCTCCCTGATGGGCACAATTTATCCCAGGGTTCCTACTGCTTACGTGGAGGGACAAAGCAGAAACTCAATAAATGCTACTGGCTACACAGCTCCTCAGTGAGACCTGGCTCTTTTCAAACACAAAGGCACAGCTGCTGAGATCACACATGAAAATATCAGAGCCAATAAAAAAGGAGTATTCCTCAGAAAATGACAGATTGGCAGTCCCTGCTGTGGCTCAAGATCCACTCATCACACCGAGACATGCAGTAGGCTGTGCAGAGTATGATCAAGCCTCTGCTTTATTGAAGTAAGGTTGAAACTGAGTAAACATGGTGTAAAAAGGCCAATGCAGTGAAAATCAAAATATTCCTGAGATTTCCAAATTTATGAACTGAGTGAATAGCTCTCTGACGGGGAGCCTGTCATGTAAGAAGCTAACACTTATTGGGCGATCTACTGGCCAGTAGGGTTTCTTTGTGTGTGTGGAAAGAAAGAATAAACTCTGCTCTTGGGGAACCACAATCACAATGAAAACAACTCATTCATTCATTCATTCACTCACTCATTTGTTTTGGAATTCATTCAATACATACACAGGAAGAATGCGTTAAAAAGAATACAAAGGGCAAATCACTGTGGAACGATGCTGCTGAAAGAATGTCGAGATTCCTGTCTGGGGAACTTGTCCTAGAAAACGGTATCTGGAAATGGAATAGGACACAATTTGACTCTAAAAAGAAGAAATGGCATTCCCCACAGGGAAAACGTTGTTGTTGTTTTGAGACAGAGTCTCACTCTGTCACCCAGGCTGGAGTGCAGTGGTATGGTCTCAGTGGTATGGTCTGTGGCTGCTCCAGATGGAAATGTGTCACCAGGCATGAAGGTGGCAGCAGAACATGTGCTTTCCTTCTGATGAGGTTTCTCGTATCTGAGAGACCCTACTCCACTTCCCAAAGACAGGATAAAAGCAGCAGTATTGATGGTGATTTCCCAATGAACTCTGAAGACTGAGTTTTCCAATATGCACAGTGGAATATCACTTTAAGGACAATTCCAGGTGAGCAAAACTGAATTCAACCATTCTCATATCTGGTATGAAAAGCCAGGCCACACTGGGGAGACTGGACTGGGGCTCTGTTCAGAGTGCTCAGAGGACTTCTTGTCACTTAAGCTACCCTTTACCCTACTTGTTATGAACCGAATGTTTGTGTCAACTCTAAATGCATCCATTGAAACCCTAGCCCCCAATGTGGCTGTATTTGGATATGAGGCCTCTAAGGAAGTAATTAAGTTAAACGAGGTCATAAGGCTGGACCCTGGTTTGACAGAATTAGTGTCCTTATAAGAAGAGCCATCAGAGCATGTGTTCTCTCTCTCTCCACGTGTGCACATCAAGGAAAGGCCATGTAAGCACATAGTCAGAAGACAGCTGTCTGCAAGCCAGGAAATGAGCCCTCATCAGGAACCAACCACACTGACACCCTGACCTTCGACTTCCAGCCTCCAAAACTGTGAGAAAATAAATTTCTGTTGTTGAAGACACCCAGTCCATGGTATTTTGCTATGGCAGCCCGAGCAGACTAAGACACCCTGTCTCCCCCATGAGCTAGAATCCCTGCCCAAGGTAAAGACCCTTGGTTCACCCATGCCCTTCAGGAAGCTCATCCCCATGCAGCTTAGCCTTCCACTGCTGCAGACATTACATTCTTGGGTAGTGCTACATGCTTCACCTTTGTCCTCCCATTTAATCCCTATGAGGTAGGCAATATTACCTTAATTTCCCAGAGGAGGAAGCCAAAGCTCAGAAAAGTTAAGACACTTACCCAGTTTAAGACTGACTAAGTAGAGGAGCTAGAACTGGAACACAGGTCTGCAAGGAGATTGTCTCCCTTACACCTACAAGGGATCCTAATCTCTGTTCAGTGTGGTCTAGCTTTTCCTTCAGTGGGTCCCCTGGGCTCTTTCTAACCCTTAGCAAAGCCCCTGCACTCCAGGCCTCCTCCTTTGGCCAAACTTCTTACACACTGGTACAAACTCAGATACACTGATCTGATGTCTTGAACCCAGCCCGTCCTCTCATATGAGTTTCAGCCTCTGCTCATCCCTGCACAACCATGCCTGGGGATATTATCTGCTTGCTTCTCAGGTTCAGCTGTGCTCCAGAACCTGGTCCCATAGCACCCTTCCTCCTTTGTCTATGGCCCTCTGGGCAATCATGCCCCACTCCTTGGGTGTCGCTCAGGTTCCCACACCTGTGCTCAGAGCTGGAGCCTCAGACATGCTCCACATCGCTGCTCCAACCCTTGTCACTCTCTTAAAGCAGCTGTTCTCCGCCCCTCAGCAGAGGACTTTTTCTTCTACTTCACAATACATGCCTTCAAGGAACATTTATCATTCAGCTGGGCACTGGGCTTTATCATGGGGAATGTGAAATAATGCAACTGTCAAATCATCAAAGCAGGTACAAGGAGGAGAAGCAGCCCATGCATCACTGCCCAGTGCTGGTGCAGACCACGACAGCTGTGTGTTCAGAGGAGAGAGGCAGCTCTGCACTGGCAAGACATGAGAGGCCTTGGAGGAAGTGGACTATGGCAGGGTCAGTCAGTGGATCACAGGCTTTGAGGCTAAACACACCAGCCCACACTTCCTATTCAGCCACTCATTCATTCATTCATTTATTCATTCTTTCATTCATCAAATCTTTAGTATGTTCCAAGTGCTATGCTAGGTGATACAGCAGTGAACAAGCACCCGGGGGAAATTAGACAATAAACAAATAAGGTCACGGCCTGGGACAGTGGCTCTGAAGGAATAACTGGGGTATTGGGATAGAGGGTCCCAGGGAAAAGGCATTTGAGAAGGTGGGTAGAGCATCTTAGACAGGGGAAAGGAACAAGTGCAATAGCCCCCAGGTAGGGAAGCACTTTTAGAGACTAAGGAACAAAAAGGGGAATGACGGGGCTGGGAGAATCTAAGTAACATTTTAAATAATTTAACCCAAGTATTAGGTTATTCTGAAACACCTAACAGATTTTAGGAGAAATCCATAAGATCATAAAATGAGCCATTCCATATTTGTGTGCACCCTAAATACTGAAATGAACTCTTGTTTATGGTTTGAATACTGAGTGGTTCCTGCTGCAGGGCAGGCACTGTGCTCACAGCTTTTATTTATATGAATCAGCTCACTTAGCCCTAATAACAATCCCATGGGGTGTGTACTATTTACAAATGAGGAAACCGAGTCACGGGCAACATGTTGCCCAAGGTCACAGAGCTGAGAAGTGGGGTCAGTGGGCGTGAGCTGTGCAGGTGGACTCTACGGTGGTGTTCAGCTGAGACACCACACACCTCTCAGGACTCTTTTTCCCAAGGTCCCATTTGTGGGCAATTACATCAAGGAGCCTGGTTGGACCCCAGTCTCTTCACTTGCCATTTCCAGGCACTACAATAACAAAAATACCTAGCATCTGCAGATCCAATGGTATCTGGCTACAGCCTTAGGAGGTGCCCCTCCTTGGCGCTCTTACCCCTTCTGGCTTCATTTCTGGTTCTGATTCTGAAGCAAAGAGCTTCTTCCTCACCTCCCCTCTACCACATCTTATCTCTCTGAGGGCCTCAGTTTCCTCATCTGTAAAATGGGCTGCTTGGGCACTCGGTAGACTGAGATGGGTGGGGAGCCTCATGCATCTTGTTCCCTTAAAATATGAAGAAAGCATCAGAGTTGAGGGTGGAGTAAAGCTGTTCATTAGGACCCAGTCACGTCTTTTTCTAGAACACACCCATTTCTAAAAGCAAAGTGTTCCATTGCCAGGCCCTCAGGGTAGGAACCTCTGTCTTCTGACTCCTGTGAGGCACCCGCCCTGGCACACAGCCCCCTCCTGAGTCATCTGGGGAGACATGAGCTGGGCCAAGAAAGGGGCAAGGCAGGGAACGGGCACCCAACGATCCTGAGTAGAGGGGATGCCTTTCACCTGCCCACCTCCAGCCCAGGTGTACAAGGCTGCTGGGATGAGTCCACACGAGACAAGAAGGGCCCTGGGGACTCATCGCTGCCACATCCCACCTCCTGTGCTCTGAGCGTGTCTAGCCCTATGCCCCATACATACATCTCATCCCTGGCGCATGAGGGAAGGTTGAACGCCAGAGCTGTCTTCAGCCTGGGAGGTGGCAGCATGTGTGGTCATGAGCCTCTCATGGCCTAGAAGGTCTCTGTGTGTCTCCCTGGCCTGTCCCCTGGGGCAAGGAGGGCAAGTGAGCCTTCATTCTGCTCAAATGGTGACTCAGCCTGACACAGAACCTGGCCATCACATGGTCGCTGCCTTGTTTATTGGAACCATTCCCCTCTCCTGAAACTGTGACCAGGGCCCACAGGGCCTCCAGAACTGTCTTCGTTTCCTGCCTGCCTTTGAAAGGCTTTCTAGAGAGCAGGAGAGCACAGTTAAATGCTAAATGCCTGCACTGAATCCCACCTGTTCTGTGAGACCTGGACAAGTCATGGAGCTGCTATGGGCCTCAATTTCATCATCTGAAAAGATGGATTCAATAATGGTATCCACATCAAAGAGGTGTTAGGAGAATACATAAGTTCGTACTTAGAATCATGCCAGCTCATCCTGTGAGAGTTCTCTCTTTTTATCATTATTATTGGAATTACAAACACCCACCCTGAGGTCCCACTCCTCAGCCCTTCTCACTTTTCTATATGCAAGGTGGGCTCACCAACCCCTGCTGGGGCTCTTTGTGACACTTGGGACAAGTGTATAGGCAATCTCTTTGAGGGCAGGGGCTTCCCCAGCACTCAGGACAATGCCTGGCACAAGCAGGCACTTAATAGATATTTATAGTATGAATGGATGGGTGGATGGAGTGCTCTGTGGGATGCCCACAGGAGTTGGCAGAGGAGTGTTAGTACTTTTCCCAAGGGACTCTTAAAAATATTTCTAGGTGGCCAGGTGCTGTGGCTCAGGCCTGTAATCCCAGCACTTCGGGAGGCTGAGGCGGGCAGATCACTTGAGCTCAGGAGTAGGAGACCAACCTGGCCAACATGGCGAAACACCCTCTCTACCCAAAATACAAAAATTAGCTGAGCGTGGTGGCACACGCCTGTGATCCCAGCTACTTGGGAGGCTGAGGCAGGAGAATCACTTGAACCCGGGAGGTGGAGTTTGCAGTGAGCCAAGATTGCGCAGCAAGACTCTGTCTCAAAAAACAAACAAATAAACAAACAAAAATATTTGTAGGTAAGATGGCAACTGGGAAAACGTGCCTTTCACAGGCTGTGTGCCCTGACAGCTAAGCCTCAGGACCAGGGGGTTCAAGGCTCTGTCTCTGGCAGGTCCCAATTAGCTGCATGACCCCAGGCTGTCGAGAACCTTGTTTTTCCTGGCAAAAATACTAACACCTAGGAGTATTGTAAAAATTAATGAGACAGCATGTGAAATGTGCCATGAGCATCACAAAAGAGAGCCTGACATTACTACACAGCAAAATAATGAAAAATGTACCCAAAATGAGTAGAGTTAATGGGGCTGTTGATTTCTTGAAGGCAAATCATTCTGCCCGTTTAGTTAGCATCAGAGGCCAGGCTGCAGTGTTATCACTTGACTCTCCCAAGAGAAAGCAAATACATTTCATTCACTGCGGGTTGCATATGGAAGGTGAAAATATCTGTCCTCATCTTCTCACCAGCTCACATAAAACTCACTTGAGTACTGAATTCTGATAACTTGACATGGTTTAGACGAAAACTCCAGGCCTCCAATGCTTGGCCAATTAACCGTATAGATTTAGCAATAAAAATCTCACCATTAAAGATTGTCCTCCGTCTGGAGGGGCATCTTCAACACAGTGGCTGGATATCTAAATAGAGGCTCCCGTTGTGAGCCTCAGTAGGGCCACGACGGCCCAAGTGTCACACACACAGTGACTGCAGTCTAGCCTTGCCACAAATAAGGTGCTGATTTTCTAAACACCCCTTTAAAAACTCTCAGGTGTCAATACACCTCCCCCCTTGAGAGTGCAGCTTCCATTTGCTTTCACATTCAGCCACGTGAAAAAAATCTTGTCATTATGCGTAAACAGTGACTTAAGTGCCTGTTCTGTGAAATACCCAGAACCCAGAATCCCTGCTCCAGAATAAAAGCTAAAGTCTGTGCAGTGCGGGCTTCAAGATCCAAAAGCGTGTCTTGGTACGGCATTTTCCAAGGGAGGCTCCTACTTGCAGGAGTGAAGCAGGTAGGTGGCAACAGAGGAAAAAAGTTGGGGAAATAAGTCTGGGAGGCTGTGAATTAAATAGACATCTTTTTGCAGGACTTCTCAGAGCTTTTATTTTATTAATAATCAAATAATAATATTTAACATTAAATATTAATTTTAATATCAATAAAATAATTTATTAAATACTTTAAAATTTATTTTAACATAAATTTAAGTATTAATATTAATAAATTAATTTTATTATTAAGTAGGTATTTACTTAACATTATTTATTTTAAAAATAAAATTAATGTATTAATATCAAAATTGCTATTAACAAATTACTGTTAATATTTGATATTAATTAACAATTAATTAATGGCTGGAGTGCAGTGGTGAGATCATGACTCACTGCAGCTTTGACCTTCACCAGCCTCAGTCTCCCAAGTAGCTGGGACCACAAGTAAGTGCCACCATACCTGGGCTAATTTTTAAATTTTTTGTAGAGATGAGGTCTCACTGTGTTTGTTGCCCAGGCTAGTCTCAAACTCCTGAGCTCAAGCCATCCTCCTACCTTGGCCTCCCAAAGTGTTGGAGCTTGAGACCTGACAACTTTCAGAAAACTTCTGGCAGATTCCTTTTACTTGAAGAGAAGTAAATTTTACTCTTGATTAAGCTACTGTCATGTGTTTTCTGTGACAGCTGCATTAAGTCTTAACTAATATAATAAATAGCACATAAAATTTTTCTTATTGGGAAATAATTTTAAACTTACAGAAAAGTTGCAGGAACAGAGGGCCTCTCAGAGCCTTTAAAGTATTAATGTGCATTGTGAATCTCTAAGAGAAGGCTACAGGATGCATGAGTCTCAAATTTTTTTGACCAGGAGTCATTCTGTATTATCCCCTGCCTTAAAGCCAACATCTCAAGGAACCAAAAACACTGTTTATTATCTAGCATAGTGAGCTTTTCAACAAAACAGGCATTTTTACCCTCTCTCAAACTGCAAAATAAGTGTGACTTCTGTTTCACTATAAGCACAGGAGGCAGCCAGAAGGCACAAGAGCCTTCATTCTGACTCAAGGTATTCTCTTCAGTTTTGTTTTCTTTTTTAATCGTTTGTTCTCTTAGACAAAAGCCACGTGAGGGATTAACCTTCAAGTACAGTAACTGGTCATCGACAAGTGGATCTCCTACAGTCCACAGAGTTCGGCGTGGGGTTGGGGCGCTGGGGGTGCATGCTTGAGATGGCAGGAGGTTACGGAACCTACAGCCTGCACATCAGCCCCTGTGCTAACCGAGCTGCATTACGAGACAGGGCCAGCCTGACCTCTCAGTGGGGCTCTTGGGTCCCAGATTTTATGGAGGCTGCCAGGAGCCAAACTGTCTTCTGAAGAGAACTTGATTTGATAGAAACTGCTAATCATGGCCAGGTGCGGTGGCTCACAGCTGTAATCCCAACACCTTGGGAGGCCGAGGTGTGCAGATTGCTTGAGCCCAGGAGTTTGGGAGTGGTCTGGGCAAACTGCTGAAATCCTATCTCTACAAAAAATACAAAAATTAGCCAGGCGTGGTGGTGTGCACCTGTAGTCCCACCTACTCGTTAGGCTGAGGTGGAAGGATCACTGGAGTCCTGGAGGTGGAGGTTGCAGTGAGCCAAGACCGCCCCACTGCACTTCAGCCTGGGTGACAAGATCGAGACTCCATCAAGGAAGAGAGGAAAGGGAGAAAGAGAAAGAAAGTAGAGGAAGGAAGGAGGGAGGATGGGAGGGAAAGAAGGAAGGAAGGAAGGAAGGAAGGAAGGAAGGAAGGAAGGAAGGAGCGAGCCACCATCCATTCTCCCTTTCTTCCATATTCTAGGACTCCTGATTTTTTTTTTTTTGGAGAAGGAGTCTTGCTCTGTTGCCCAGGCTGGAGTGAAGTGGCATGATCTCAGTTCACTGCAGCCTCTGTCTCCTAGGTTCAAGTGATTCTCCTGCCTCAGCCTCCCAAGTAGCTGGGATTACAGGCATGTGCCACCATGCCTGGCTAATTTTTGTATTTTTAGTAGAGACGGGGTTTCACCATGTTGGCCAGGCTGGTCTCAAACTCCTGATCCACCCACCTTGGCCTCCCAGAGTGCTGGGATTACAGGCATGAGCCACTGCGCCCAGCCAGACTCCTGTTTTTTAAGTGGGCCTAGGAATACCCAGAATAAAGACTTCATTTCCTGGTTGCTGTGCAGCTATCTGTGGTCATGAGACTATATTTTTGCCAATGGGGTGTACGTGAAAATACTGAGTGACAACTTTCAGAGAACCTCGTCTTATGACAAGAGCCAGCAGGAGCCCTTTTGTTCCCTTCCCCATTTTCTTCAAGCCTTTCCCTTCCTGCCAGCTGGAATGTAGGAAATGGCTGGTACTTAGCCATGCTAGCTCCTGAGGCGGAAGCCAGTTGCTGGGGATTCTCCAACAACAAAAGAGATGCAGCTGAGACCTGGAAACTTTATGAACTAGACTGCTCATCTGGAAGATTCCTTCTACTTGAAGAGAAGTAAACCTCACTCTTGATTAAGCTATTTTCATGGGTTTTCTGTCACAGCTGAATTAAGTCTTAACCAATACAATAAATAGCATGTAGGCTAGGTGCGGTGGCTCACACCTGTAATCACAGCAATTAGGGAAGCCGAGGCGGGTGGATCTCCTGAGGTCAGGAGTTCGAGACCAGCCTGGCCAACATGGTGAAACCCTGTCTCTACTAAAAATTCAAAAATTAGCCAGGTGTGGTGGCACACACCTGTGGTCCCAGCTACTTGGGAGGCTGAGGCTCGAGAATCTCTTGAACCTGGGAGGTGGAGGTTGTGGTGAGCCGAAATTGTGCCACTGCACTCCAGCCTGGGCAACAGAGTGAGACTCTGTCACAAAAATAAAATAAAAATAAGCAATAAGTAGCACATGAAATTTTTCTTATTGGGAAATAATTTTAAACCTATAGAAAATTTGCAAGAATAATACAGAGAACTCTGGTATACTCTTGACTTAGATTTACCTGTTGTTAACATTTTGCCACATTTGCTGTATCATTCCTTTTTTTTTTTGACACAGGATCTCACTCTGTCGCCCAGTCTGGAGTGCAGTAGTTTAACCAGAGCTCACTGCAGCCTCAACATTTTGGACTCAAACAATCCTCCCACCTCAGCCTCCCTAGTAGCTGGAATTACAAGTGCACATCACTGCACTTGGCTAATTTTTTATTTTTTGTAGACATGAGGTCGCACTGTGTTGCTCAGGCTGGTCTCAAACTCCTGGGCTCAAGTAACCCGCCTGCCTCCACCTCCCAAAGTGCCAAAATTATAGGTGGAAGCCACTGTGCCTAGCCATGCTTTATCATTCTTAATATCTTTCTCTTCACACATACATATAAAAATTTTAACCATCTTAGGGTGAAGTGCATATATCGTGCCCCTTTACTCTTAAAAAAAAGTTTTTTTTTTTAGAGGTGGAGTCTCACTATGTTGCCCAGGCTGGAGTGCAATGGCTATTCACACGCACGATCAGGGTGCACTATAGCCTCAAACTCCTGGGCCCCACTGATTCTCTCGCCTCAGCCTCCTAAGTATGAGACTACAGGTGCATACCAGAGCACTCGGCGGCCCCTTTACTCTGAAATACCTTAATGTGTATTTCCTAAGAGTTCCCACATAACCAGTTATCAAATTCAGGAATTTTCACAATACAGCACTGTTACCTAATCTATAGTCCATATTCCAACTTCACCAATTATCCCAATAATGTCCTTTCCAGTCCAGGATCCAATCAGGATCACATACTTAATTGTCATGTCTCAGATATCACTTTTTAAGAGAGTATTTTGTAAAAAGAAAGAGGAGAAAACTCCAAATTAAAAAGACATCATGTTGCATATGTAGCCTATTGCCACTTTGACCTCCTTACTCTTCCAAATTCACCATCCGCCTTCCTCCTGCTATTCAACTCCACCCAGGCCCTGTCCATGGAAGCTTCCTGAGTGTGTTTTCCTAGATCTGCCATGCACCCCCTCCCCCCGCTGTTTCCCAATCCAGTTCTGAGAGTCCAGTCTCGGTGAAGGCCACCATCACGGCAGTGTGAGAGTTCTTGCATTGCTCAAGGATAGGGAATATCCGGCTGTGCACATCACTTCCGATAACTGCCCAAGGAAATCAATACGCCGGAAAAAAACTGCACCAGTTGGGGCCGGGCTCGGTGGCTCAGGCCTGTAATGCCAGCACGTTGGGAAGCCGAGGCGGGTGGATCACGAGGTCAGCAGTTCGAGACCAGCCTGACCAATATGGTGAAACCCTGTCTCTACTAAAAATACAAAAAAATAATTAGCTGGGCATTGTGGCAGACGCCTGTAATTCCAGTGACTTGGGAGGCTGAGGCAGGAGAATCGCTTGAAACCGGAAGGCAGAAGGCGGAGGTTGCAGCGAGCCGAGATTGCACCACTGCACCTTAACCTGGGCAATAGGAGCAAAACTCTGTCTCAAAAAAAAACAAAACAAAACAAAAACAAAACAACAACAACAACAAAAACTGCACCAGTTGACAAAGATGTGGGAACTTGGATCATCTAAGCCTCCCGAATGGAAGCAGCCATTAAACGGTTACTTGTGTTCTGTTCACATACAGTGGCAATCTTGCCATGTATTTGATAAAGATGGCTGAGGAGATGTGATTTACTCATCCTTGAGAGTTTATTTTCCTCTCACCTGTCTTTATGGCAAGAACTAGGCTTGTTAATGACCTTTTATTCACATACTGCCGAGCTCTCTCTAGCGTCACTGAGTTTATTCTTCAGGCAGTAGTCAATTGCCTGCCTTTATAATAAAGAGAAACATAATTTTTTAAACTAATGAAATTCAGTGAGATGAATAATTGGTGAGTATATTGCTGCTGAAATCACCGCCCTGCTCTCAGGAAACTGTTCTGGAAGAATCCTGGTGCTGGCAGGTTGGCCGCAGCCCTGGGAAAGGGCAGCCTGTCTGATCTGTGGGCAAAAAGGCCCTGCTCCTTTGCACACCCGGTGGGGGCAGGGGGCCTGACCAGGAGCCAGAGAAGCCCCCACACTAACAGCGGGTACTGGGAGGCCTGGGAGGTGCTTATGTCCTTCTCTCTCTGTTCACCCTGAGTCTCAGGACTGATTCCTGGATCTTATACCAGGAGAGGAAAGAAAGAGGGAAGGGATGGAAAGGTCTGGCTTTCCTGGCAAATGGAATGCATCAGCCACACTTTCAGGGGGGGCCACCGTTCTTACACTTCTGGTGACTCTAAGTCAATGGCACTGCCACATCTTCAAACTGCAGTGCCATTGACTTAGAATCCCCAGAAGTGTAAGGAGAAGGAGAAATAAAACCCATAGGCAATGCAAGGGTTTCCACTGAAAACGGTGCTGTCATCTCTGCCATCGGGCACTTCAGGCACCCACGAGGGCTATTCCCACCCGGGGGCCTGGGGCTTCTGCTACTGTCCCTCCTGTGGCCACCTTGAGAATGTGTTGCTTGCATTTCCTTTTGTTTTTATGTATTTATTAATTATTATTCTTATATTTTGAGACAGTCTCACTTTGTCACCCAGGATAGACTGCAGTGGCACGATCTTGGCTCTGCAACCTCTGCCTCCCAGGTTCAAGCGATTCTTCTGCCTCAGCCTTCTGAGTAGCTGGGACCACAGGCGTGTGCCACCACACCCGGCTGATTTTTGTATTTTTAGTAGTGATGGGGTTTTTCCATGTTGGTCCGGCTGGTCTTGAACTCCTGACCTCAGGGATCCACCCGTCTTGGCCTCCCAAAGTGCAGGGATTGCAGGTGTGAGCCACCACGTCCGGCCTTATTATTATTATTATTATTTTGAGACGGAGTTTTGCTCTTGTCGTCCAGGCTGGAGTGCAATGGCGCGATCTCGGCTCACTGCAACCTCCGCCTCCCGGGTTCAAGCGATTCTGCTTGCCTCAGCCTCCCAAGTAGCTGGGACCACAGGCGCCCGCCACCACGCCCAGCTAATTGTTTGTACTTTTAGTAGAGATGGGGTTTTACCATGTTGCCAGGCTGGTCTCAAACTCCTGACCTCGTAATCCACCCCCCTCGGCCTCCCAAAGTGCTGGGATTACAGGTGTGAGCCACTGTGTCTGGTCTATTTTTTAATTTAAGAAAATTTAAATAGAGGTAGGGGCTCACCATGTTGGCCAGGCTGGTCTCAAACTCTTGGCCTCAAGCAATCCTCCAGACCCCAAAGCGTTGGGATTACAGGCGTGAGCCACTCCATGCCTGGCCTTTCTGGGCTTTGAACCTGATAGTGCAGACACCAGTGCTCTGCCTTCTGGGCCCTTCCAGCACTCCTTCCTCAACCCCTAAGCCTTGAGTGTGCGATGGCACAAGTGCAGGTGAGGGCGATTAGAGACACCTAAACCCAGGCCGAAGGGTGTCACTTTGGACTCCAGCCACATCCCCATGCCATTAGCTGGTAAGGAAATTTTTGAAACCTGGTTAAATCAGGGGTGATAACATGACATCAATCATTTTGCACTGTGCCCAGGTTAAAATCCATTCTCTTCCCAACCCCCTGGGGTTGTGGCCCCAAGGAGCCCTTCTACCTCCCACATTCATGCAGTGTGCTTGTTTCTCTGGCTGTAACTCACTGAGCTCTTTGCTGTCTCTGTCTTGAGCTCTTGTTCCTTCTGCCTGGAACACTGCTCTCCAGATCTTCATTACTGAGGTCTCAAAATGTTACTGCTTCAGTCCTTGTCGAACTACCCCCTCTAAAGCCACCACCTCCCTCCCCTGATCCTGGTTATTCTCTATGTTCCTATCCTGTTTTATGGCCACTCATCACTTTCCAGCAGACAGGGCACTGGGATACCACTGTATCTCCGGCATTGGGCAGAGGGTGGGCACACAGTGGGCATTCAGTACACATTTGCGCTGAATGAACAATTATGATCTAACCGAGAATTCCCAAATCTCCTGAAAACTGAGCATCAACTCCCTTCCAGGAAGTGTTTCCAGAGTCAGTTAAAAATCACTGTAATAGGCTGGGTGTAGTGGCTCATGCCTGTAATCCCAGCACTTTGGGAGGCCAAGGCGGGCGGATCATGGGGTCAGGAGATCGAGACCATCCTGGCTAACATGGTGAAACCCCATCTCTACTAAAAATACAAAAAATTAGCCGGGCGCGGTGGCGGGCGCCTGTAGTCCCAGCTACTCGGGAGGCTGAGGCAGGAGAATGGCGTGAACCCAGGAGGTGGAGCTTGCAGTGAGCCAAGATAGCACCACTGCACTCCGGCCTGGGTGAAAGAGCAAGACTCTGTCTCAAAAAATAAAAAATAAAAATAAAAATCACTGTAATAAATGCCGTGGTTTCTAAAAAAAAAAAAATTACTATCATAAAAGGGGAGGTGAAACTATGAGAGAAAATACAAGAGACATAACCAAATACACTGTGCACATAATTTCCATTCTGATTCCACAAACTAACTGCAGAAAGACACCTTTGAGGTAATCAATTTGAATATGGTCTAGGTATTACATTATATTTAAAAATTATTGTTAATATTAGGTATAATAATTCCATGGTGGTTACTTTTTAAAAACCCTTATCTGTTAGTTATCCATAGTGACATGTGAATCAAAATATCTGAGATTTGCTTTAAAATACATTAGCGAAAAAAAAAAAAAAGCCCCAAAACGAAAATATGGCAAAAAGCTGGGATGCGGGGAGGGACAAGGTTGGCAAAATGTTGGTAACTGTTGACACTGAATTTGGATTCATGGAGGTTTCATGCTCTTTCTACTTTTGTGTAATTTTCCAATTTTCCAAAAGAAACATATTTTAAATGTCACTGAAGCCCTTAAACCAGGACGTACTATCTTTTTTTTCCATTAACCAATCCAATTCATATATATATATTTTTTTGTTTTGTTTTGTGTTTTTGAGATGGAGTCTCGCTCTGTTGCCTAGGCTAGAGTGAAATTATGTGATCTCAGCTCACTGCAAACTCTGCCTCCTGGGTTCAAGTGATTCTTCTGCCTCAGCCTCCCAAGTAGCTGGGATTACAGGCACCCGCCACCATGCCTGGCTAATTTTTGTATTTTTAGTGGAGACGGGGTTTCACCATGTTGGTCAGGCTGGTCTGGAACTCCCAACCTCAGGTGATCCGCCTGCCTCAGCCTCCCAGATTGCTGGGATTACAGGTGTGAGTCACCACGTCTAGCCCCAATTCATACTGAGTGAAACTTTGCTGTGTTAAAGTGTGCTGGTAGGATTTGTGAGGGGTGCAGAGCTACATCAGACATGATCAAGTATCAAATATGTACAGGATAAGTATCTATAGTAGTTTACATTTGGCCACCTGGGCATGGAAAACGCTGACCCTTCCCAGATGCTGGATATGCTGATTCAACGAACTCTTGGGACCTGCTGTCCCACAGCCTCGGTCCTAAGGCTAGCAACCCATCCTTACTAAAAAAGGGAAGGTGGGACTATGAAAGCTATCTTGGGAAAGCCACTTACTTTTTCTAGATCTCCATTTCCTCATTTATAAAAAGCAGCTAATGGTAGTTATGAGTGTAAAGTAAGATAATAATAGTCTTAGCCTGGTGCCTGCCAAGTCTACTGGTCAGGTGTCAGTGGTTATAGCTAACATCACATCTAGTTGGGCAGCCCACCAGTAGCCCTTTGTGTGATTAGAAAAAGGTGTCCCTTTCTCAGGGCTGACATAGCCCTCAACAGGGTGAAGGGCTTGATGAGCAAAGGGACAGCTGTTTTTACCCCCTGGCTGAGCTCCCTGGCATAGGGTTCAATCTGGACATCATATACAGGGCCTCTGAGTAGGTTTCCCAGGCTCACCTCATCCCCAGCAAATTTCCCAAGAGGAGTAAAAGCTCCAGGGCTTGCCTACAATTTAGCTTGTGGGTGAATGTGCTCAGCATTCAAAAAGCAGTTGTGTGGTACTAACCAGCTTGTGTTTGGGGGTTGCTGTGGCATAACTGCAGGATTTTTTTAAAAAGCAACCATGCGGCAGATGCTTTGCAACTAATCTGCTCCCTGCCGCCACCCCCAATACCACCCCTTTTATAGCCACAATGCCCTGCACCATCAGCCTGAAGCTCACCAGGCTGGGGTCCGGTTAAACATGCCATTCCTAGTGTTCAAGGGATACCAGACAATTATATTGATTAGTTTAAAAACATATTCTAATGAACATATTCATATTCACTGAAAAGTGGTGATAGAGATGGTAACTAATTTGTCAATGTAGATTAACTTGTTTGTTACAATCAGAATGAAAGTTACTGTATAACTGAGGTTGATTAAACCTTGTCTTGTCTCTTACCCTTCATTCTCCTTCTCCTCCACCTCCCTTTTCCCCCTCTTCCTCCTCCTTCTCCTTCTTCTTCAGTAAAAAGGCTAACACTGTTATCCTCAACAATCAGGCCATTCACTTCAGCATGTATTTTGCTATGCAGTGGATTGAAATGTACCATCCACATCCCAGCTGCAGGCGCCATGAATACCTCCATGGATGGCCACACAAGTGCACATCTGTTCTTTAGATGCGGATGAAGTTAGAATGTGCCTGATTGTGTAGACGGCCATTGTGGAGAGACACGCGCCTCACTCACACGAAGTGCTGTGCTATAAAGGAAAATGAACATGGTTCACGTATCCCATATTTAGGCATGGAAAGATGCCACACGTAGACATTTGGAAATCTTGAAAATTCAAATACATTCCAATTATAGACTATGTGCAAGTCTGGAGGAATATTTCACAAGGTTGATTCTTTTGTCAATGTTAGAGTGAAGAATCACAGAGAGCTTTCATCAATATTAAAATCTTTACAAATTCTATGGCTTAATTTTTTTTGTTTTTTAGTAAAACATCATATAAATACATATACATTCATATATACAATATACACACACATACAGTTGTATATATTTACAAAACTTGAAATATGCCAGAAAAATGATAGGTCAAAAAAATGCTACCTCAAATAGGCAAGTGAAATTAAATCAAAAGTCACATACCAAGGTAGATCATCATAAGAAGAGCATATTACACAGTTTATCTTGGAATAATCTGATAACTAAGCCTGCTGTCTCCCAGAAAACAAACGTAGGGAACTGTTAAATAAAGCAAACTGGATAGGTTCAATGTGTACATTAAAGCATGGTGTGGGAGTCTAAGTTTTCTGAGGCAGGTCAGTCACAGCAAAGTTTCTTTCAAGACTCTGCCTGAAATATTGGCCCCAAGTGTGTCGTAAGTAACAGCCTCTCCACTCTTCAATATGTATCAAGTTCTTGAAGAGAACAAGATGCCTCCACTGTGGAAGGATTTTTTAATCAAATGAAACTCTTAAAGAATTTTGAATAAGTGCTAGGTTAGAGCTGAGAAGAATCAACACTATGAGAATGTATTTTAAAGACTTTTTTTTTTGAGATAAGTCTCGCTCTGTCATCCAGGTGGGAGTGCAGTGGTACAATCAGCTCACTGCAGCCTCGGCCTCTCAAGCTCAAGTGATCCTCCCACCTCAGCCTCCTGAGTATCTGGGACTACAGGCATGTGCCAACATGCCCAGCTATTGATTGATTGATTGATTAGTAGAGACGGGGTCTTGCTATATTGCTCAGGCTGGTCTTGAACTCCTAAGCTGAAGTAGTCCCTCCCAAAGTGCTGGGATTACAGGTGAGTGCCAATACACCCAGCCTTAGAGAACTTCTAAAAATGCAATTAAACCAACTGCTATATACAAATATACTTCCTAATTTAAGAAACACTATTTTATATCTTTAAGCCTACTCAATTGATTTTCTTTGATTTTTTTTTTTTTTCAGAAAAACTTCTTTGACACTCCCTTGCCTCCTCACCCAACTGGTTTTATTTGAGAAAATGAAAAAAATGTTTCGAGTTATTTCCCTTAAAGTCTCTACAGTGTTAATCCCAGGCAATCATGATTATCTAATTTGTTGTTATTAAGATCATTTTCATCTAACTCTGTGGTTCCCAGTGCCTGCCTTTGGTCACTGCCTATCTTTGGTCACTTTTTTCTCTAGTTCCAAAGCAATAAATGCTCTTTGCAAAAATTCATATAACATCCTACCACAGAGAAATCATTACTTAACAATTTAGTATCATGCAAGACGGTTTCCTAGGAAAACATATTATCAAAACAGTGCCTATTAAAACAAAACAATTTATGTAATTTATTATTTATTTTGCCTTCTTACCAAGAATATATCATGGATAACTTTCCTTATAGAAATATTTAGTTCTATATGCTCATTTGTGTGTGTGTGGTTGCATAGCATGCTATTTTATGAATGTAGCACAATTTATTTAACCAATTCCCTAATGTAGGTAAATGAATATAAACAAATGCAAAAAAAAAAATCCTTGTACAGACACCTTTGTAAATTTTTCCTATTTAAAATGTTTACTTATAAGTAGCTGGCTACATTTTCTCTATTTTTAAAAATCACAAATAAACCAAGAATTAATTAATGGCAAAGAAACTGGCAAATGAGCCTCATAAAGTACATGTTTTTATATTTCATGTTATCCAACACTTATGTGTTTTACCATTTCCTGTGCTTCCAAGTCAGAAAGTCTGCAGAAGAGAAATTCTGGGCAGAGGGATTCAGGATCACTTTCAGCAACCCCTGGAAGCCTAGGACCACTGGTGGACAGAACCTCATGCCTGTGTCCTTTAAATTAGGCACTGTTTGTGAAGGTTTGACCTAAGTCTGCGCTCTTTTCTCCTGCAGTTTTCTCCAGGCAATTGTTTTTCTCCTTCCAGTTACTGTGGAGGGTGTAGGATTCACTGCACCCCCATAGTTTTATACTTGTCCCAGGGGCAAAGGGAATTAAGAGCTGAGAAAGATCCCATGCTATTTCTAAGTATGGTGGTAAACTGAAAATAAATAACTTGGTAAGACTGCGAGAGTAAAGTCAAACATGAAAACTGAGTAAGACTTCAAAATAAACATTGTTTCTTTGCCATTTTGTTGGACAGTTTTTGATCTTTTTGTAATATAAAATTTTCATTCAGGACTTCTTTCCATGTTGCAATTTGCCATTGCGTCATCCTCAAATCATGGTATGTTTTTCAATGGGTTATTTGTTTAGAGACTTTTTTCCTTTTCTTATTGCCAAATTCTGTGAACAATGAATTACTTCAGTGGGAAACACCATACCATCTTCGCGGCAAGATCATGTGTGCAATTGTATTCCTTTGTGCTTTCATTGGTTTGGTTATGTGTTATAAAAGAAAGCATTCTTACAGTACAAAACTAATAGACCGTGAAGAAAAGAAATAAAATCCAAATGTGTTCTTTACCTCCCTGGACACTGTGGTATTCACCTTTAGTGTGGAGTCACCAACTGCAGGGCTTAGGGAACTTGACCAAGGTCATGCAACTAGTAACTACCACAGCCAGGATTTAAACTCAAACATTCTGGCTGTAGGGTCCATACTCTTGAGATCATTATGTGGCTAATTTTACCACACACACCCTGACAGCCCTGTGGTTAAGTAAAATGCTGAAAAATTAACAGCCTCTATTCAAGAGGAGAAATTTAATCTGAGGTCTCCAGACAGACCCCCGGGAGGTGGAAGCATACCAAACTGAAAGCTGGAGATTAAAGTGAATCTGTATACTGAATGGTAGGCATTCCAGATTCTGTTCCATTTCATGCTCCTAGAATGGTGGAAGTCACTTTTATTTACCCAAAGCAGAAGTATTCTTAGGAGGCTTCTTAGTCTTAGAAGAAACTAAATGGTCCCATTAAAGAAAAATACATCTGGGCATGGTGGCATAAGCCTCTGTAGTCCCACCTACTAGGGAGGCAGATGCAGGAGGATCACATGAGCCCAGGTTGAGGGTGAGGTTGCAATGAGCTATGATTGTGCCACTGCACTCCAGCCTGGGTGGTGGAGTGAGACCTCATCTCCAAAAAAAAAGAAAGAGAGAGAGAGAAAAGGAAGGAAGGAAGGAAGGAAAAGAAAAGAGGGAGGGAGGGAAGGAAGGGAGGGAGGGAGGGAAAATCCTTCCAGCACTGCCTTTTGGGATCACCCAAAGAAAAACCTAGATTACTGCCAGATCACCCTACAAAGGTCTTGTCCCAATTACCAAACCCATCAATCACGCAAAGACTCCAATCAAGTGTTATAGAACCTCACTCTTAAATACGAATGGACAGTCAGAGATCACTAGACATTTGTGAAAATAAGAAGTCTGAAACAAATAAACAAAAACAAACAAATGGAAAAAAGGAACTCAAAGGACAAAGAAACAATACAAGGGGTAGAAGAAAAGTTTTTTTAAATTCACTATATTTAGTATCTTCAGAGCAAAAAAAAGCTATTGCATCCGTGAAATAAGAACAGGATTTTTTTTTAAAAAAGAACAAGGAGTGAGCCCTTGGAAATTGAAAGTTTGAAAAGAAAAGATTTCAACGGCATTAAAGATAAGAAAATTAGAGGATCAATCTAAGTGGTGCAGTTTCCAGCCAACTGGAGTTCCAGAAGAGAGAACAGAGAAAATAAAAGGAAGAAGATTAGCAAAGATAAAAATAGAAGACATCTTCCCATAAATGAGAGGCATACATTTCCATATTTAAAAGAGCCAAGTAATCAAAATAATTAATAGAAAAACCCCTCAAATCATGGCAAGTCACCATGAAATATGAGAATACACAGTAAGAAAAAATAGTTCATAAGGAAGGAAAAGGAGAGTGAGGATGGCTATGGAGGACCCAGCAGCAATGGTAGAGACTAGAAGGAACACAGGGCATAGTGGAGAGTGGTACAGAATCATGGAGTCACCTACAAAATTCTGAAGAGAAATAATTTTTTACCTGAGGATTCTATATCTAGCCAAACTAAGAAGCGTCGGGGTAGAATAAATAAATTTTGAGACTTTGGGAGGCTTAGATGGGAGGATGGCTTGAGCCCGGGAGTTCGAGACCAGCCTGGGCAACACAGTGAGACTCCATATCTATAAACAAACAAACAAAAATAGCCAGGCATGGTGGCATGTGTTCGTAGTCCCAGTTACTTGGGAGGCTGAGGCAGGAGGATCACTTGAGCCCAGGAGGTTGAGGCTGCAGTGAGCCATGATCATGCCACTACACTCCAGCCTGGGCAACAGAGTGAGACCCTGTCTCAAAATAAGTAAAAATTTAAAAACTAAAAAGCAAGGGGCTCAAAAATTACCTTCAATGTATCCTTTCTTAAGAAACTACTGGAGGATTTATTTCAGAAAAACAGAATTAAACCAAGCAAGGAAAAGATATGGGGTTCTAGGAAAAGAGAATCTAATGTAGAAGAATTACAAAAGCAAGCCCCAAACAATAGCATCTTGGGGCGGAAATAAAACCAGTCCAAATTGGGGTGGGATTGAGAACTAAGAGAGGAAAATCCCAGAGGGAGTGGAGAAGTGGAACCCATAAAGTGTCGGGAACGTTTTGAATTAAACAAAAAACTTTAATAATCGTGACATATCTGTTGGACCATTTGAAGAAGACTAACAATAAACCCATAGAAAATCTAGTATAAAAAAATGAAGTAATAATTAGCTCTGGATAAAACAAAACAAAAAAAAATCCAGCCTATGAAAGGAAACACAACTATAGTAAACTACTTGACTCAGCAGTGACAATATTTACATGGTCCTAGTAATATAAATACAGACGTAATCAAGACTTGTACTATAAGTAAGTCATAAGAAAGGAAAGACAGAAAGTAGAGTGTAGAAGAGAAAGCTAAGTTCTCATCTACTATAAGTGAGAGTCAACAGATAATACAAAAAATTTATCAATAATCAGTAGTATATGTATATCCAAGGACATTTCAGGAAGGATATGGGAGAGGCTGGTAATACTGGTTGCCTGCCAAAAGAAAATTCGGGAGGCTGGGGACCAGGGTAGGAAAGAGACTTTGATTGTTTTTATCTTTTTTTTTCTTGAATGTTGAACTATGTAAATATATTACTTATTTGAATAAAAGAATGAAAAATGTAACAGAAATAGCAGAAAGAAGACAATTTTTAGAAACATGGAAGCAACTAGCAGAAGAATGGCTAAGAATGTTGAAAGGGGCTGTCTTTAGGGAGGAAGCCTCTTTTAGTAAGGAGAAAAGAGACTGCTGTATTTAGATATAAGCTTTTAAAAGTACCATCTTATTTTTAAAAATTAAGTGCATGTGAGCTGAGCATGGTGGTATATGCCTGTAAATGTAATCCCAGCACTTTGGGAGACTGAGTTAGGAAGATTGCTTGAGGCCAGGAGTTAAAGGTTACAGTGAGCTATGGCTGCACAACTGTACTTCAGCTTGGGTGACAGAGGGAGACCCTGTCTCAAAACAAAACAAAACAAAACAATAAGTACATGTGTTTATATAAGTAAAAAGTTATTAAAACAAAGTTAGAATATGAGAACTGCTTCTTTTCGGGGAGAAGTTAGCTTAATTGTACAGATAAACTAAATTAGATAAACAAAAACTTGCCACAGTAAGAAATCTGTGCAGTCCCAAGCCAAGTGAGCAAAATGCTAATATCATTAATAACAGTTTTTTTGTTTTCCCACAACATTGTCTTAAAAGGTACAGTCTAAAATGGATTTGTATGTGAATAACAAAAATACAGCTTAAATCACAAAGCAGGGATATGTTTCCTAGGCTTCTTTAGTTTGCAGCACGTTTTAAGATGTA